>NC_000003.12:138554058-138857089 GCF_000001405.40 Homo sapiens
GGCATGGTGGTGCATGCCTGTAATCCCAGCTACTCAGGAGACTGAGGCAGGAGAATCGCCTGAACCTGGGAGGCGGAGATTTCAGTGAGCCAAGATCATGCCACCGCACTCTAGCCTGGACAACAGAGTGAGACTCCATATGAAAAAAAAAAAAAAATCCAGCATCCTTTTGTCATTAGAACCCTCAGCAGAATCAGCATACAAGGGACATACCTCAAAGTAATAAAAGCCATCTATGATAAATCCACAGCCAACATAATACTGGAAAAGTATTATGAAAGCATTCCCTTTGAGAACTGGAACAAGATAAGGATGCCTACTCTCACCACTTCTATTGAGAACTAGAACAAGATGAGGATGCCTACTCTCACCACTTCTATTCAACAGTAATACTGGAAGTTCTAGTCAGAGCAATCAGACAAGAGAAAGAAATAAAGGGCACCCAAATCAGTAAAGAGGAAGTCGAACTACTGCTGTTCACTGGCAATATGACTGTATACCTAGAAAACTCCTTAGAGTTTTCTAAAAAGCTCCCAGAACTGATAAATGAATTTAGCAAAGTTTCAGGATACAAAATTAATGTACATAAATCAGTATCTCTGCTATACACCAACAGTGACCAAGCTGAGAATCTAATCAATAACTCAATCCCTTTTACTGTAAAAATAAAATAAAGTACTTAAGAATATACCTAACCAAGGAGGTGAAAGACCTCTTCAGCAAATGAGTTTCTTGTAGATTCTGGATATTAGTCCTTTGTCGGATGTATAGATTGTGATGATTTTTTCCCACTCTGTGGGTTGTTTGCTGACTGTTCCTTTTGCTGTGCAAATGGTGCTGGGATAATTGGCACGCCACATGTAGAAGAATGAAACTTGATCCTCATCTCTGACCTTATGCAAAAATCAACTCAAGGCCAGACACAGTGGTTCATGCCTGTAATCCCAGCACTCTGGGAGGCGGGTAGATCATCTGAGGTCAGGAGTTCAAGACCAGCCTGGCGAACATTGTGAAACCCTGTCTCTACTAAAAATACATAAATTAGCTGGTCATGGTGGCAGGCACCTGTAATCCCACCTACTCGGAAGGCTGAGGCAGGAGAATCACTTCTACCCAGTAGGGGGAGGTTGCAGTGAGCCAAGAGTATGCCATCGCACTCCAGTCTGGGTGACAGATTGAGACTCCATCTCAAAAAAAAAAAAAATCAACTCAAGATGGATCAAGGACTTAAATGACTTAAATCTAAGACCTAAACCATAAAAATTCTAGAATATAGTATCAGAAAAACCCTTCTAGACATTGGATTAGGCAAAGATTTCATGACCAAGAACTCAAAAGCAAATGAAACACAAAGATAAATAGGTGGGACTTAATTAAACTAAAGAGCTTTTGCACAGCAAAAGGAACAGTCAGCAAACAACCCACAGAGTGGGAAAAAATCATCACAATCTATACATCCGACAAAGGACTAATATCCAGAATCTACAAGAAACTCAAACAAATTAGCAAGAAAAAACAAATAATCCCATCAAAAAGTGAGCTAAGGATATGAATAGAGAATTCTGAAAAGAAGATATACAAATGGCCAACAAACACATGAAAACATGCTCAACAACACCAATGGTCAGGGAAATGCAGATCAAAACCACAATGTGATACCACCTCACTCCCACAAGAATGCCCATTATCAAAAAATCAAAAAACAGTAGATGTTGGTGTGGATGTGGTGAAAAGGGAAAACTTCTACACTGCTGGTGGGAATGTAAACTAGTACAACCACTATGGAAAACAGTGTGGAGATTCATTAAAGAACTAAAAGTAGAACTACCATTTGATCCAACAATCCCACTACTGGGTATCTACCCAGAGGAAAAGAAGTCATTACACAAATGTACAATTCATATAATGTATAACATTATACAAAAGCACAATTCACAATTGCAAAAATGTGGAAGCAGCTGAAATGCCCATCAATCAACAAGTGGATAAAGAAACTGTGGTATACATACACGATGGAATACTACTCAGCCATAAAAATGAATGAATCAATGGCATTCGCAGCAATCTGGACAGGATTGTAGACTATTATTCTAAGTGAAGTAACTCAGGAATGGAAAACTGAACATATGTTCTCACTTATAAGTGGGAGCTAAGCTATGACAATGCAAAGGCATGAGAAAGATACAACGGGCCGGGCACGGTGGCTCACGCCTGTAATCCCAACACTTTCGGAGGCTAAGGTGGGTGGATCATGAGGTCAGGAGATCAAGACCATCCTGGCCAATATGGTGAAACCCCATCTCTACTAAAAATACAAAAATTAGCTGGGCATGGTGGTGGGAGCCTGTAGTCCCAGCTACTCAGGAGGCTGATGCAGGAGAATTGCTTGAACCCGGGAGGCAGAGGTTGTGGTGAGCTTAGATTGTGCCACTGCACTCCAGCCTGGGTGACAGAGTGAGACTCTGTCTCAAAAAAAAAAAAAAAAAAAAAAAAGAATTATCAAGGAACCTGCCCCCGACAGTCACGTAAGTTCTTTTCTATTTTCCCTAAGCATCGTCCGGGTTGAGAAATAAAGGGACAGAGTACAAAAGAGAGAAATTTTAAAGCTGGGCGTCCGGGGGAGACATCACGTCGGTAGGTTCCGTGATGCCTCCTGAGCTGTAAAACCAGCAAGTTTTTATTAGGGATTTTCAAAAGGGGAGGCAGTGTACAAATAGGGTGTGGGTCACAGAGATCACGTACTTCACAAGGTAATAGAATATCACAAGGCAAATGGAGGCAGGGCGAGATCACAGGACCACAGACCGGGGCGAAATTAAAATTGCTAATGAAGTTTCGGGCATCATTGTCATTGATAACATCTTTTCAGAAGACAGGGTTTGAGAGCAACCGGTCTGACCAAAATTTATTTGGCGGGAATTTCCTCGTCCTAATAAGCCTGGGAGTGCTATGGGAGACTGGGGCTTATTTCATCCCTACAGTCTCGACCATAGAAGACAGCCACACCCAAGGGGGCCATTTTAGAGGCCTACCCTCAGGGGCGCATTCTCTTTCTCAGGGATGTTCCTTGCTGAGAAAAAGAATTCAGTGATATTTCTCCCATTTGCTTTTGAAAGAAGAGAAATATGGCTCTGTTCCGCCCAGCTCACCGGCGGTCAGAGTTTAAGGTTCTCTCTCTTATTCCCTGAACATTGCTGTTATCCTGTTCTTTTTTCAAGGTGCCCAGATTTCACATTGTTCAAACACACATGCTCTACAAACAATTTGTGCAGTTAACGCAATCATCACAGGGTCCTGAGGCGACATACATCCTCCTCAGCTGACAGGATTAAGAGATTAAAGTAAAGACAGGCATAGGAAATCACAAGGGTATTGATTGGGGAAGTGATAAGCGTCCATGAAATCTTCACAATTTATGTTCAGAGACTGCAGTAAAGACAGGCATAAGAAATTATAGAAGTATTAATTTGGGGAACTAATAAATGTCCACGAAATCTTCACAATCCACATTCATCTGTCATGGCTTCAGCCAGTCCCTCTGTTTGGGGTCCCTGACTTCCCACAACAAAGAATGATACAATGGACTTTGGGGACTCAGAGGGAAAGGGTGAAAAGGGAGTGAGGAACAAAAGACTACAAATTGGGTTCAGTGTATACTGCTTGGTGCACCAAATCTCACAAATCACCACTAAAGTAATTATAAATGTAACCAAATACCACCTGTTACCCCAAAGCCTATGGAAATAAAAAATTTTTAAAAAAGAAATAAGACATAACAGATCAAGCCCACAAAGAACATCCAATATTAGAGTTATCAGACACAGACAATTTTAAAACTATGCTTCTATGCTTAAGGAAATAAAAGAGAACTCCTGTTCTGTAAATAATAGACTAGGTAATTCAGACCAATTATCTTACTGAGAAAAACTTTAAAAAGATGATCAAAAAATTTTTAAATCTGTTTGAAAGTGCTAACAAGGAAATGAAAATTACAGGACCATGATTCTGGAGAAAAAAGAAAACTGGCCAGGCACAGTGGCTCATGCCTGTAATCCCAGCACTTTGCGAGGCCGAGGCAGGCGGATTGCCTGAGGTCAGGAGTTCGAGACTAGCCTGGCCAACATGGTGAAACCCTGTTTCCACTAAAAATACAAAAATTAACTGGGCGTGCTGGTGCACACCTGTAATTCCAGCTACTCAGGAGGCTGAAGTGGGCAAATCATGTGAACCTGGGAGGTGGAGGTTGCAGTGAGCTGAGATCACACCACTGCACTCCAGGCTGAGAGACAGAGCAAGACTCCGTCTCAAAAAAGAAAAGAAAAAGGAAACTCAAAGTAGCAAGTCTAGCTTTTGGAGCTACATTTCCCACAAGTGTGTTTTCAGACACCTGAAAAGGTGTCAGAAGCTAAGAAGGTGACCAAAGATATTTTTTCTTATGCCTGCCAGGGATATGAAACAAAAATTAGACACAAAGGCCTAACAAAGAAGGGAAGGTCCTAGGAAACTTCTCACACTACACCCTAGGAATAATGATGAACTAGAAATACACTAGTTTTCTTTGGGACTGAGGTATATTTCAAACCATCACAATCTCTAAAGCTGGATTAAGATGATCCCAGATTACTAGTACACCTAGATGTCTACCAGAAGCAATCATGATTACCTCTAGGGTAAAATAACACCACAGTAGATCTCAACTTATTTCTACAACTGTTCCTATACAAAGCTCAGCACTCAGTAAAAAACAACCAGGCACACCAGGAGTAAAAACAGCATAAAAGGAAACCTACAAAAACAGCAGGCTATAAAAAGTAATCCACTGAGAACCAGAGAGTCAAATTATCAGACATGCTGACTTCTAAAAATTGAGGTGAAGTTCACATAACATAAAATTAACCATTTTAAAGTGAGCAATTCAGTAGCATTTAGGACATTCACAATATTATGCAAACACCACCTCTATCTTGTTCCCAAAATCAGACACAGATTTTAAAATAAGTAAATTTAATATATTCAGAGACACAAAACAGATAATTTCAGCAGAAAGCTGGAAACCAAAGCAAAGACACTAGAAATTCTAAAACTAAAAAATACAATAACCGAAAGAAAATATCCAGAATAAAGTATCAAAAGACAAAAGGAAGAAACATAAAGAATAAACATGAAAGACATAGGGTAGTCAATGATAAATACTAATGGAATTGGACTCCTGGGCAAATTGAAAAGAGAAAATGAGGCAGAAACAATATTTGAAGACATAATAGCTAAGAATGTACCCAAACTGATGAAAGACATCAAGCTACACGCTCAAGAAATGCTGCAAAATCAAAGGAAGATAAATCAAAAGAAAACTCGCCTAGGCACAAAGTAAAAATGCTTTAAAACAAAAACAAGCTGAGCCTGGTGGCTCACGCCTGTAATCCCTGCACTTTGGGCAGCCAGGGCCAGCAGATCACTTGAGGCCAGGAGTTCAAGACCAGCCTGGCCAACCTGGTGAAACCCCATCTCTACTAAACATACAAAAATTAGCTGGGTGCACACCTGTAATCCCAGCTACTCAGGTGACTGAGGTGGGAGGATCACTTGATCCCAGGAGGCGGAGGGTGCAGTGAGCCAAGCTTGTGCCACTGCACTCTAGCCTGGGCAACAGAGCAAGACTCTATACCAAAAACAAAAAACAAACAAACAAAAACAAGGAGAAAAATATTAAAGGTAGTCAGAGATATTATAAATTGCCTTCAAAGGAACAGCAAATAGATTGACAATTGAATTCTCAGCAGAAACAATGAATCCAAGAGACAATGGAATATTTTCAAATGCTGAAAGTAACTACCAACTTATAATTCTATACCCAGTGAAAATATTCATCAAAATTAAGGTGACAAATACCAAGTGTTGATGAGGACATAAAGAAACTAGAATTCTCATACATTGGTCAGAATGTGAAATGATAGAGCTACTCTGAAAAAGTCTGACAGTTTCTTAAAAACTTAAATGTGAGGATTGCTGCCAAGATGGCTGAATAGGAACAGCTCCAGTCTGCAGCTCCCCAGCGAGATCGATGCAGAAGGCGGGTGATTTCTGCGTTTCCAACTGAGGTACCGTGTTCATCTAATTGGGATTGGTTGGACAGTGGGTACAGCCCACAGAGGGCAAACCGAAGGAGGGTGGGGTGTTGCCTCACCCAGGAAACACAAGGGGTTAGAGAACTTGCTCTACTAGCCAAGAGAAGCTGGGAGGGACTGTGCCGTGAGGAACAGTGCACTCTAGCCCAGATACTGCGCTTTTCCCATGGTCTTCACAACCTGCAGACCGGAAGATTCCCTCCAGTGTCTATGCCACCAGGGCCCTGGGTTTCAATCACAAAACTGGGCGGCCATTTGGACAGATACTGAGCTAGGTGCAGGAGTTTTTGTTTTTTTTTTTTCATACCCCAGTGGCACCTGGAATGCCAGTGAGACAGAACCGTTTGCTCCCCTGGAAAGGGGACTGAAGCCAGGGAGCCAAGAGGTCTGGGTAGGCAGGTCCCACCCCCATGGAGCCCAGCAAGCTAAGATATGCTGGCTTGAAATTCTCACTGCCAGCGCAGCAGTCTGAGGTCAACCTGGGACACTTGAGCTTGGTGGGGTGAGGGGCGTCCACCACTGCTGAGGCTTGAGTAGCAGTTTTACTCACAGTATAAACAAAGCCGCCCAGAAGTTCGAACTAGATGGAGCGCACCACAGCTCAGCAAGGCTGCTGTGGCCAGACTGCCTCTCTAGATTCCTCCTCTCTGGGTAGGGCACCTCTGAAAAAAAGGCAGCAGCCCCAGTCAGGGGCTTAGAGATAAAACCCCCATCTCCCTGGGACAGAGCACCTGGGGGAAGGGGCAGATGTGGGCACAGCGTCAGCAGACTTAAACGTCCTGGCCTGACGGCTCTGAAGAGAGCAGCAGATCTCCTAGCACGTTCGAGCAGCAGATCTCAGAGCGTTCGAGCTCTGCTAAAGGTCAAACTAACTCCTCAAGTGGATCACTGAACTCCGTGTCTCCTGATTGGGAGACACCTCCCAGTAGGAGCCAACAGACACCTCATACAGGAGAGCTCCAGCTGGCATCTGGCAGGTGCTCCTCTGGGATGAATCTTCCAGAGGAAGGAACAGACAGCAATCTTTGCTGTTCTGCAACCTCTGCTGGTGATACCCAGGCAAACGGGGTCTGGAGTGGGCCTCCAGCAAACTCCAGCAGACCTGCAGCAGAGGGGCCTGACTGTTAGAAGGAAAACTAACAAACAGAAAGGAGTAGCATCAACATCAGCAAAAAGGATGTCCACTCAGAGACCCCATCATAAGGTCATCAATATCAGAGACAAAAGGTAGATAAATCTACGAAGATGGGGAGAAACCAGCACAAAAAGGTTGAAAATTCCAAAAACCAGAACGCCTCTTCTCTGAAGGATCACAACTCCTCACCACCAAGGAAACAAAACTGGATGGAGAATGAGTCTGACGAACTGACAGAAGTAGGCTTCAGAAGGTGGGTAATAACAAATTCCTCTGAGCTAAAGGAGCATGTTCTAACCCAATGCAAGGAAGCTAAGAACCTTGAAAAAAGGTTAGACAAATTGCTAACTAGAATAACCGGTTTAGAGAAGAACATAAATAACCTGATGGAGCTGAAAAACACAGCATAAGAACTTCATGAAGCTGGCCGGGTGCGGTGGCTCACCCCTGTAATCCCAGCACTTTGGGAGTTCAAGGCGGGTGGATCACAAGGTCAGGAGATCAAGAAATCCTGGCTAACACAGTGAAACCCCGTCTGTACTAAAAATACAAAAAATTAGCTGGGCATGGTGGCAGGCACCTGTAGTCCCAGCTATTGGGAGGCTGAGGCAGGAGAATGGCGTGAACCTGGGAGATGGAGCTTGCAGTGAGCCGAGATTGTGCCACTGCACTCTGGCCCGGGCGACAATGCAAGACGCCGTCTCAAAAAAAAAAAAAAAAGAAGAACTTCGTGAAGCATACACAAGTATCAGTAGCCGAACTGATCAAGCAGAAGAAAGGATATCAGAGATTGAAGATCAACTTAATGAAATAAAGCGAGAAAACAAGATTAGAGAAAAAAGAATGAAAAGGAATGAACAAAGCCTCCAAGAAATATGCGACTATGTGAAAAGACCAAATCTACGTTTGATTATTGTACCTGAAAGTGACGGGGAGAAAGGAACCAAGTTGGAAAACACTCTTTAGGATACTATCCAGTAGAACTTCCCTAACCTAGCAATATTATAGGCCAACATTCAAGTTCAGAAAAAAACAGAGAACACCACAAAGATACTCCTTGAGAAGAGCAACCCCAAGACACGTGATTGTCAGATTCACCAAGGTTGAAATGAAGGAAAAAATGTTAAGGGCAGCCAGAGAAAAAGGTTGGGGTTACCCACAAAGGGAAGCCCATCAGACTAACACCAGATCTCTCTCCAGAAACCCTACAAGCCAGAGGAGAGTGGGGGCCAATATTCAACATTCTTAAAAAATATTCAACCCAGAATTTCATATCTAGCCAAACTAAGCTTCATAAGTGAAGGAGAAATAAAATCCTTTACAGACAAACAAATGCTGAGCAATTTTGTCACCACCAGGCCTGCCTTACAAGAGCTCCTGAAGGAAGCACTAAACATGGAAAGGAACAACCAGTACCAGCCACCGCAAAATCATACCAAACTGTAAAGACCATCGACACTATGAAGAAACTGCAGCAACTAACAGGCAAAATAACCAGCTGCCATCATAATTACAGGATCAAATTCACACATAACAATATTAACCTTAAATGTAAACGGCTAAATGCCCCACTTAAAAGACACAGATTGGCAAATTAGATAGAGTCAAGACCCATCAGTGTGCTGTATTCAGGAGACCCATCTCACTTGCAAAGATGCACATGGGCTCAAAATAAAGGGACGGAGGAATATTTACCAAGTAAATGGAAAGCAAAAAAAAAAAGCAGGGGTTGCAATCCTAGTCTCTGATAAAACAGACTTTAAACCAACAAAGATCAAAAGAGACAAGGGCATTGCATAATGGTAAAGGGATCAGTGCAACAAGAGCTAACTATCCTAAATATATATGCACCCAATACAGGAGCACCCAGATTCATAAAGTAAAGTTCTTAGAGACCTACAAAGAGACTCAGACTCCCACAAAATAATAGTGGGAGACTTTAACACCCCACTATCAATATTAGACAGATCAATGAGACAGATAATTAACAAGGATATTTAGGACTTGAACTCAGCTCTGGACCATGCAGACCTAATAGATATCTACAGAACTCTCCACCCCAAATCAACAGAATATACATTCTCAGCACCACATCACACTTATTCTAAAATTGACTACATAATTAGAAGTAAAACACTCCTCAGCAAATGCAAAAGAACAGAAATCATAACAAACAGTCTCTCAGACCACAGTGCAATCAACTTAGAACTAAGGATTAAGAAACTCACTCAAAACCACTCAACTACATGGAAACTGAACAACCTGCCTTTGAATGACTACTGGGTAAACAACGAAATGAAAGCAGAAATAAAGATGTTCTTTGAAACCAATGAGAACAAAGACACAATGTACCAGAATCTCTGGGACACATTTAAAGCAGTGTGTAGAGGGAAATTTATAACACTAAGTGCCCACAAGAGAAAGCAGGAAAGATCTAAAATCGACACCTAAAATCACAATTAAAAGAACTAGAGAAGCAAGAGCAAACAAACTCAAAAACTAGCAGAAGTCAAGGAATAACTAAGATTACAGCAGAAATGAAGGAGCTAGAGACACAAAAAACTCTTCAAAAAAATCAATGAATCCAGGAGCTGGTCTTTTGAAAAGATCAACAAAATGGATAGACCACTAGCCAGACTAATAAAGAAGAAAAGAGAGAAGAATCAAATAGATGCAATAAAAAATGATAAAGGGGATATCCCCACTGATCCCACAGAAATACAAACTGCCATCAGAGAATACTATAAACATGTCTATGCAAATAAACTAGAAAATCTAGAAGAAATTGATAAATTCCTGGACACATACACCCTCCCAAGTCTAAACCAGGAAGAAGTCAAATCCCTAAATAGACCAATAACAAGTTCTGAAATTGAGGCAGTAATTAATAGCCTACCAACCAAAAAAAGTCCAGGACCAGATGGATTCACAGTGAATTCTACCAGATGTACAAAGAGGAGCTGGTACCTTTCCTTCTGAAACTATTCCAATCAATAGAAGATAAGGGAATCCTTCCTAACTCATTTTCTGAGGCCAACATCATCCTGATACCAAAACCTGGCAGAGACACAACAAAAACAGAAAATTTCAGGCCAATAACCCTGATGAACATCGATGTGAAAATCCTCAATAAAATACTGGCAAACCAAATCCAGCAGCACATCAAAAACCGTATCCACCACGATCAAGTTGGCTTCATCTCTGGGATGCAAGGCTGGTTTGACACATGCAAATCAATAAATGTAATCCATCATGTAAACAGAACCAAAGACAAAAACCACATGATTATCTCAATAGATGCAGAAAAGGACTTCGACAAAATTCAACAGCCCTTCTTGCTAAAAACTCTCAATAAACTGGGGATTGATCGAACGTATCTCAAAATAATAAGAGCTAATTATGACAACCCACACCCAATATCATACTGAATGGGCAAAAACCAGAAGCACTCCCTTTGAAAACCAGCACAAAACAAAGATGCCCTCTCTCACCACTCCTATTCAACATAGTATTGGAAGTTCTGGCCAGGGCAATCAGGCAAGAGAAAGAAATAAAGGGTATTCAAATAGGAAAAGAGGAAGTCAAATTGTCTCTGTTTGCAGATGACATGATTGTATATTTAGAAAACCCCATTGTCTCAGCCCAAAATCTCCTTAAGCTGATAAGCAACTTCAGCAAAGTCTCAGGATACAAAATCAATGTGAAAAAATCACAAGCATTCCTATACACCAATAATAGACAAACAGGGCCAAATCATGAGTGAACTCCCATTCACAATTGCTACTAGGAGAATTAAATACCTAGCAATACAACTTACAAGAGATGTAAAGGACCTTTTCAAGGAGAACTACAAACTACTGCTCAAGGAAATAAGAGAGGACACAAACAAATGGAAAAACATTCCATGCTCATAGATAGGAAGAATCAATATTGTGAAAATGGCCATATTGCCCAAAGTAATTTATAGATTCAATGCTATCCCCATCAAGCTACCACTGACTTTCTTCACAGAATTGGAAAAAAACTAGTTTAAAGTTCATATGGAACCAAAAAAGAGCCTGCATAGCCAAGATAATTCTAAGCAAAAAGCTGGAGGCAACACACTACCTGACTTCAAACTATGGTACAAGGCTATATAACCAAAACAGCATGGTAAGGGTACCAAAACAGATATATAGATCAATGGGACAGAACAGAGGCCACAGAAATGACACCACACATCTACAACCATCTGATCTTTGACAAACCTGACAAAAACAAGAAATGGGGAAAGGATTCCCTATTTAATAAATGGTGCTGGGAAAACTGGCTAGCCATATGCAGAAAACTGAAACTGGACCCCTTTCTTACACCTTATACAAAAATTAACTCAAGATGGAATAAACACTTAAACCATAAAATCCCTAGAAGAAAACCTAGGCAATACCACTGAGGACACAGGAATGGGCTAAGACTTCATGACTAAAACACCAAAAGCAATGGCAACAAAAGCCAAATAGACAAGTGGGATCTAATTAAACTAAAGAGCTTCTGCACAGCAAAAGAAACTACCATCAGAGTGAACAGGCAACCTACAGAATGGGGGAAAATTTTTGCAATCTACCCATCTGACAAAGGGCTAATATCCAGAATCTACAAAGAATTTACACAAATTTACAAGAAAAAAAACAAACAACCCCATCAAAAAGTGGGTGAAGGATATGAACAGACACTTGTCAAAAGAAGACATTTATGTGGCCAACAAACATATGAAAAAAAGCTCATTATCACTGGTCATTAGAGAAATGCAAATCAAAATCACAATGAGATACCATCTCATGCCATTTAGAATGGCGATCATTAAAAAGTCAGAAAATAACAGATGCCGGAGAGGATGTGGAGAAATAGGAACACTTTTACACTGTTGGTGGGGGTGTAAATTAGTTCAACCATTGTGGAAGACAGTGTGGTGATTCCTCAAGGATCTAGAACCAGAAGAAATATCATTTGACCCAGCACTCCCATTACTGGGTATATACCCAAAGGATTATAAATAATTCTACTATAAAGACACATGCACACGTTTATTGCAGCACTATTCATGACAGCAAAAACTTGGAACTAACTCAAATGCCCATCAATGATAGACTGGATAAAGAAAATGTGGCACATATACATCACGGAATACTATGCAGCCATGAAAAGGAGGAGTGCATGTCCTTTGAATCTGGAAACCATTATTCTGAGCAAACTAACACAAGAATGGAAAACCAAACACTGCACATTCTCACTTATAAGTGGGAGCTGAACAATGAGAACACATGGACACAGCAAGGGGAACATCACACACTGGGGCCTGTCAGGGGCTTGGGGGCTAGGGGAGGGATAGCATTAGGAGAAATACCTAATGTAGATGACGGGTTGATGAGTGCAGCAAACCACCATGGCACGTGTATACCTATGCAACAAACCTGCATGTTCTGCACATGTACCCCAGAACTTAAAGTATATATATATATATAAAAAAAAAACTTAAATGTATACTTACCATATGACTCAGGAATTCTAATTCTAGGTATCTACCCAAGAAAACTGAAAGCATATGTCCACACAAATATTTGAACATACAGTTTACAAGAGCTTTCTTTGTAATAGCCAAAAACTAGAAACTAAAATGTCCATCAACAGATGAATGGATAAACAAACTGTGATATATCTATACAATGGAGTACTTCTCAGCAATAAAAAGGAATAAACTATGGATATGTGCAACTACATGGGTGAATCCTGAAATAATGCTGAATGAAAAAAACTGAATATCAATTATATTAATAGCCCATGCCAACTGAATTGTCTTTTCCCAAAAGTCTTTCAATATACCTCAAACATTTGCAAATTTCCTTGACCTCTTTGCATATACATACAAAACCAATGTTTCCTTTCTCCCAACTACCAAACATGCAGCACTAAACCATTCTAAAATTGGAAACAACTGTATACCAAAAATAGAAGAATGTGTCTTAAACTATGAAATAATTATTCTCCACAGGCACTTTCATCTTCTCAAGAAAGCAAAGATTGATTAGTATGGTGAAGAATAGAAGAAGCTGACACCTCAAAACATGCCACTTTGGCATAAGGATTATTCTGAGTTGAAGGCAACTAAGATGATAACACAAGAAAAGCTCTCTTCCCTTCCTTTATTAGCCTAAAGGAGGACATAAATCTGTATAGAAATTTATCCAGTGACAACCCTGGATCCTTATTAGCCCAGAGGTGGCACTAGAGGACTCTACATAACCAAGTTTACTGACTAGCCCTTATCTGTCATTAGTCCTTAATATATTTACCTTCCCACAATTTGCTTCCCTAGAGACTCAAAGTCCTTTTCCTTTGTCTTGCCACTTCTCTGCAAATTTATTGGGGGTGGCTGTTGTTAAGATGCTATGGAAGTCCAAGTTCTAGCAACCTCTTTAAGCCCAACATCCATGGGTTTCTCCCATGTATATATGATATAAACATATTCATAAACTTGTTTGTTTTTCACTTGTTAGTTTTTTGTTACAGAGTCCTGACTGAGAATCTGAAAGGGTAGAAGTAAAAATATTTTTTCCTTCTCTATAATAGAATGAGATGTTTGACTAGTATGTAATAGAAATGAGGCAACCTAGCAACATTCAGGGGCGGCAATTCCTTGGGTTTGCTGATTTCTGTTTACACTCTATAAAATACCCATCAGAGACTTAAAAAAACAAACAGCCAATTTCAGTTGATCATATTGGCACAGATAGCCTTCCCCAACCCCAGGTATCCACTCCTCAATCATATTTGCCTTTCCCCTTCTATGGGTGACTGAAGCATGAAACCTCCTCTGTACCAATTTATAAGCTACACGACAAATCTTTGGGACCTGGAACAAAGAGCTAAAGGCACGATAAATCATTTATGACAGATGAAACTATTTGATAGAAAATACATGGCATTACATTCAAGTCACCCCTTATCAATGAACTCTCATGTATCTGTTCTTTGAAGTGCTTAAAACCCTGGTAAATTTGTAAGCTTTGTATTTCTAATAATTTAATTTGTTATTAATTACATCTCAACCTGTCTGAAAGATAAATAGATATCTTCCCCCAACAAAGACCACTGGTCTTCCTGCTCTCAACTTGTTCACTCAGCCAAAGACCTGGCACAGCACCTTTACAGCTTCTGATGGCTGCTTTTTCACACCAATAAGTCAATGATTTAAAGAGCTTCAGATTTCCACATGCCCTATATCTAAGAGCAAGGTCAAAACCAATGCATATAGAAAGTATTTCCAAAATACCCCTCCATTTAGAGAGATTTTATAAATATACTATTGATGAGGAAAGCAACCTTGTTAACAAAGCCAACCTAGGCCGGGCGCAGTGGCTCACACCTATAATCTCAGCACTTTGGGAGGCTGAGGCGGGTGGATCACGAAGTCAGGAGTTCAAGACCAGCCTAGCCAAGATAGTGAAACCCCATCTCTACTAAAATACAAACAATTAGCCGGGCGTGGTGGTGCATGCCTGTAGTCCCAGCTACTTGGGAGGCTGAGGCAGGAGAATCGCTTCAACCCGGGAGGCAGAGGTTGCAGTGAGCCTAGATCACACCACTGCACACCACATCAGCCTGGGAAACAGAGTGAGACTCTGTCTAAAAAAACAAACAAAAAAAAAACACAAAAAAAAACAAAGCCAACCTAAAAATTTAGCATTCTAATGGTAGAGGAGTTTGTCAAACAATGTCTTCTCTGAAACTATGGTCAATACCAGCAGCTCTACTACTGCCTGCCCCAAGCTGGCACATAAACAAGGTCAGAGCACCAACTGCCTCTGTCCTCATACTAGAGCCCCCTAGTATCTCTGATTAATTCTCTCGGACTCCATGGAATTTATACTAACTCATCTGATCCTTCCAATACTGCCAGCACACACTGAGGGGACTTCCAGACCCTGCCTGATGAATACTGCTCCCTTTTAGATAGCCTGAACTCACATATGCAAACGTATATATAGTGTTGTGTCAGCAAAACCACTAAAATAAGGACTCAATGTTTATAATGACATAATGTTAGTAAAGATCAGAAACAACTCATACAACTAAACATTAGTTACCAGCATAAGATTCATTTCTTTTAATCACAATAAACACCCAAGTTTTAATAGTTTTTTAAAATTAGGGAGTTAATTATTTAATGTTATAAAATTGCCATTTCTATAAAAAGAACTCAGTTTTAGACATAAAAAGTTGTAGATGCCAGCCAGGTGCAGTGCCCCACACCTGTAATCCCAGCACTTTGGGAGGCCGAGGCAGGCGGATCACTTGAGCTCAGGAGTTTGAGACCAGCCTAGGTAACATGGCAAAAGCCTGTCTCTATAAAAAATATAAAAATTAGCCAGGCGTGGTGGCATGCGCCTGTAGTCCCAGCTACTCCAGAGGCTGAGGTGGAAGGATCACTTGAGTGCAGGAGGCAGAGGTTGCACTGGGCTGTGATTGCGCCACTGCACTCCAACCTGGGTGACAGAGCCAGACGCTGTCTCAAAAAAGTAAACAAATAAACAAACAAAGTTGTAGATGCCTATTAGATATCCAGTAGAGATATCAAGTAGGCAGCTGGATATGAGTCTGGAATTCGGGGAGAGGACTGGGCTACGGATATAAATTTTGGATCCTATGTTAGATTGACATCACCAAGGGCATCAGAGTATGTAAGAAAGAGAAAAGATCTAAGGACTGAGCACTGGGGAATTCCAACACTAAGAGGTTAGGGAGATGAGAAAAAAAAACAGCAAAAGAAATTAGAGAATGATCAGTGAGGTCAGAGGGAAATAAAGGACATTCTAGAAACCAAGTGAAGAGAATTTCAAGGTAGCAGTGATAAGCCAAAAAAGGTAAAAACCACTGAATCAAACAACATGGAAGTCACCTGGGACCATAATGAGCTGTTTTAGTACTAACTAACCATCATCTAAGAATTCATAACTCAGTACCTGTAAAGTTTTCTGCTCCTTTTGAAGATCTTTTATTTTATTCTGTTGGTGGCAAGCCCTACTTAGTGATTCATCCTCCAATTCACCAATTTTGGATTTCACACTTTCCATAATTTGTTCCAAGTCATTAGCTCGTTGTTCTTGATTGGCTGCTCGGCTTTGCTCTAGCTGAAGTTCATTTCTAAGTTAATAGACATACAATTTCTTCCCTTAGTATTAAAAATAAATCGAATTACCAAGCATATCCATATAAGAATGTATTGCCTTTCTAAAGTTTCTTTGCATTCTCTTTATCCAAAATGCTTGGAACCAGAAGTGATTCATATTTCAGATTTTTTCAGATTTTGGAATATTTGCATCATACTTACTAGTTAAGCATCTCAAATCTGAAAATCCAAAATCCAAAATGCTCCAATAAGCATTTCCTTTAAGCATCATGTTGGTGCTCAAAAAGTTTCAATTTTTGGAGCCTTTCAGATTTTCAGATTTGAGATGCTCATCCTGCAACAGAAACTAATAGAAGAAATATAGGGTACCATTAAACATCTATGCTAAGCTATTACCAAAAGATTTACCTATTAAAATTTTACCTACAAAAATATTTTTTAGTTTAATATTTAATCAAAATGGGAAATTAAATTTCAAGATTTTTTTCAAGGCAGTTATTTTTAGAACGCATACAAACAATTCAAAAGAAATCTTTTCCATTTTCTCACCTAAGCTGTTGATTAGTTTCTATAAGCTCCTGTATCATGTTCTGTTGACATGATGTTTCTTCCACCAACAATTTCAAATTCTGTCTCATCCTTTGTGATGACTGTTTGTCAAAAATGATGAGATCTACATTTAAAAAGTATATAATACAGATAGTAAAAATAAAAGGCAAAAAAAATTTTTTAAGGAAAAATAAACTTTTTACCTTAAGCATCAAGAATAGGATCTAATTACCTTTGAGATCTGTTCTTTTGACTAGAGACAAAGGTTTTAAGCCATGCATCATCAATAGCACATTTATGCTTTCCCATTCTGCTTCTTCCTGCTACAATTACAGAAAGAGAAGAAAGGGTTAACTTTAGATATAAAGTGAAGAAATTCTCTCATATATAATTTCCTGCATTTTCAGAATAGAACTTTTTCTTCAAAAGTTTTAAGTATAAATGTTTATGCATATATAATATCCAAAAAACACATTTATTGTTTCTAGCAAAATTAGTAATAGACTAGAAGTATGTAAATAAGCACAAATTGTTGCATTATACAGAATACTCATATGTAGGCCTCAATGGACAAAACCAACAACAACAACAAAAACACCTTGTAATTTCAGTGAATCAAATAAATCTAAGGTTTTAGATTTAACTAAGCCAAACCAAGCCCTGCTCAGAATAAACAGCTGTAAACTAGGCTATAATAACTGGATAGTAAAGAAAAGAAAAGGTGAGTCACTTCTAAGTATCACTTTCTTTTTTCTTTCTTTTTGAGACAGAGTCTTGCTCTGTCACCTAGGCTGGAGTGCAGCGGTACGATCTCGGCTCACTGCAAGCTCTGCCTCCCAGGTTCACACCATTCTCCTGCCTCAGCCTCCCGAGTAGCTGGGACTACAGGCGCCCGCCACCACGCCCGGCTAATTTTTTGTATTTTTAGTAGAGATGGGGTTTCACCGTGTTAGCCAGGTTGGTCTGGATCTCCTGACCTGGTGATCCACCCGCCCTGGCCTCCCAAAGTGCTGAGATTACAGGCGTGAGCCACCGCCCCAGCCCCTAAGTATCACTTTCATAATGACTAGGGTCACAAAAAAATCAAAACATACCTGACTAGTTGGAGCCAATATTTCAGACAGCTCCTTGTCAAATGGACAAGGTCTAACTATAAAAAGGAGCCCGTCCATCTGGATAACTGACTCTAACAGAATCACCCTGAAAGACACTCTCAAAGTCAAACAAGTCTTTCTTTTTGACTGTTGACTTCTTCCTCCTTTTTTTTACATCTCCTCCCACTCATAACTTTTCTCTCATTTATGCTTTAGTCTTTCTGATCACAGAGTTTAACTACGTGGTAGACACAACTAAAATTAACATTGATGTTGTTTTAGGAGCCAAAAGCTCTGAGTTAGTGTCTCAGAACTTCTACTGTAACTCATAAAAACAAAATGCTCTATACATAATAAAGTCACATATTTTGAATGATTAACTTATACATATTGTTTCCTGATACCTCTTACATTTTAAGATAAAGTAATTGTAAATTCTGAAAATAGTTGGGAATGGCATTTTCCAAAGTACATGCTACAGAACACTAGTCTAATGAAATGTTCATCAAACTAGTGTTAAGTATGTATGAAATGCTGTATACTAAATCCTCCCTTTGGAGACTAATATTGTGAAGTCTTAGAGTAATTAAACCATTTCATAGTCTTTAACCCAGCATTTCCTAAAATTATTTGAGAAAGAATCCTTTTAAAGTCAAATTTTCCTGTTTGTAGATGTAGCATTCTTTGGCACATATTTTGAGAAGCAGTGTCTTAAAATATTTTAAGTTTACCTGTTTTTCAGTCATGAGTCTGTCTGATGGTTGACTGGAATCCTGGGGTTTAGGGGCTACCGGAAACATAGTTACTTTTGTAGAATCAAAAGAAACAGAAATTGGCAATTAAAAAATTTGAGTTGCCTAAATGAAAAAAGACAAAAAGTGCAAAAGGAGTTAAAGAAAAGTATATTTAAAAGAATCCACTACTCTTGCAGGGCAATTCAGGTCATTCCTGCGTCAAAACTTTGTGACTTCTTAGATAGCTGATTGTAAGACTCATTTGAATAAACCCTATCTTATAATGTTCTCCTCTGGAAATAAAGCATTCTGGGATTTTACACATATACCACACACACACATACACTCTGTCCTGTCTAACCCCCCACCACAGAATGCATAACTGGTACCCAAGAACAGAGGAAAGAATGGAGTAGAAGGAGCATTTGAAGAGCTAATGGCTAAGAAAAATTTGAGAATCAATGAAAGACATAAATCCACACATTCTAGAAACCCAACATATTGCAACTGGGATACAGTAAAAAAAAAAAAGAAAAAAGAAAAAAAAAGTCAGTCATACCTAGACACTAATATCTTCAATGTGCTGAAAGAAAATAATTGCTTATCTAAAATTCCAAAGCCAGTGAAAACATTCATTAACGAATAATAAAGGCAAAAGTAATATATTTTCAAACACATGACACAAAATAAATCTGAGAGTGTTCATTGCATCTGCTCTGTAAAAAAATTCTAAAGAAGCTGCTTCATGCAGAAGACTCCCTGATGGAAAAGCAGAGATGTAGAAAAAAATAGAGCAAAAAAATGGGCGAGTTTAAACACAGACTACATAATGAGATCTTGTGAAGTATAAAATGTACAATTAAAATGCACAGTAACAGAAATATATTAGCTGAGAGTAGGGTAAATGGAGTAACAGTGTTCTAAGTTTGTTTACAATGGAGGTGGACACTGGTAAAGGTATCTGTTAACACTGGGCTTTTGTATAAGTTAAGGATGCTTGAGAATTTCTAGGACATCCACTGAAGAACTGAACAGAAGTATATAATTTTCTAACTAGTAAAGGGGAAAAACAAGACTATAATGATGCATTTTTAAAAATAAACCCAAGGGCATCCAAGATGGCCAAATATGAAAGGCTTCAGTCTGCAGCTCCCAGTGTGACTGATGCAGAAGACAGGTGATTTCTGCGTTTCCAACTGAGGTACCTGGTTCATCTCGTTGGGACTGGTTGGACAGTGGGTGCAGCCCACAAAGGGCGAGCCGAAGCAGGGTGGGGCATTGCCTCACCCAGGAAGTGCAAGAGTAGGGAGATTACCCATTCCTAGCCAAAGGAAGCCGTGACAGACTGTACCAGGAAAATCCAGACACTGCTACCCAAACACTGCGCTTTTCCAATGGTCTCAGCAAGTGGCACACCAGGAGATTATATCCCATGCCTGGCTCAGTGGGTCCCATGCCCATGGAGCCTTGCTCACTGCTAGCGCAGCAGTCCAAGATTGAACTGCAAGGTGGCAGCCTGGCTGAGGGAGGGGCATCTGCCATTGCTGAGGCTTGAGTAGGTAAACAAAGCGGCAGGAAAGCTTGAACTGGGTAGAGCCCACCGCAGCTCAAAGAGGCCTGCCTGCCTCTGTAGACTCCACCTCTGGGGGCAGGGCATAGCTGAACAAAAGGCAGCAGAAACTTCTGCAGACTTAAATGTCCCTGTCTGACAGCTCTGAAGACAGCAGTGGTTCTCCCAGCATGGTGTTTGAGCTCTGAGAACGGACAGACTGCCTACTCAAGTGGGTCCCTGACCTCCGTGTAGCCTAACTGGGAGACACCTCCCAGTAGGGCCCGACTGACACCTCATACAGCCAGGTGCCCCTCTGAGATGAAGATTTCAGAGGAAAGATCAGGCAGCAATATTTGCTGTTCTGCAGCCTCTGCTGGCGATACCCAGGCAAACAGGGTCTGGAGTGGACCTCCAGCAAACTCCCACAGACCTGCAGCTGAGGGACCTAACTGTTAGAAGGAAAACTAACAAACAGAAAGGAAAAGCATCAACATTAACAAAAAGGACATCCACACCAAAACCCTATCTGTAGGTCACCATCATCAAAGACCAAAGGAAGATAAAACTACAAAGATGGGGAGAAACCAGAGCAGAAAAGCTGAAAATTCCAAAAATCAAAGCGCCTCTTCTCCTCCAAAGGATCGCAGCTCCTCACTAGCAACAGAACAAAGCTGGATGGAGAATGACTTTGACGAGTTGACAGAAGTAGGCTTCAGAAGGTCGGTAATAACAAACTTCTCCAAGCTAAAGGAGGATGTTCAAACCCATCACAAGGAAGCTAAAAACCTTGAAAAAAGATTAGATGAATAGCTTACTAGAATAAACAGTGTAAAGAAGACCTTAAATGACCGGATGGAGCTGAAAACCATGGCACGAGAACTATGTGACACATGCACAAGCTTCAGTAGCTGATTTGATCAAGTGGCAGAAAGGGTATCAGTGATTGAAGATCAAATTAATGAAATGAAGCGAGAAGAGAAGTTTAGAGAAAAAAGTAAAAAGGAATGAACAAAGCCTCCAAGAAATATGGGACTATGTGAAAAGACCAAATCTATGTCTGTTTGGTGTACCCAAAAGTGATGGGGGGAATGGAACCAAGCTGGAAAACACTCCTCAGGATATTATCCAGGAGAACTTCCCCAACCTAGCAAGACAGGCCAACATTCAAATTCAGGAAATACAGAGAACACCACAAAGATACTCCTCGAGAAGAGCAACCCTAGGACACATAAGTGTCAGATTCACCAAGGTTGAAATGAAGGAAAAAATGTTAAGGGCAGCCAGAGAGAAAGCTCGGGTTACCCACAAAGGGAAGCCCATCAGACTAACAGCAGATCTCTTGGCCGAAACCCTACAAGCCAGAAGAGAGTGGGGGCCAATATTCAACATTCTTAAAGAAAAGAATTTTCAGTCCAGAATTTCATATCCAGCCAAACTAAGCTTCATAAATGAAGGAGAAATAAAATCCTTTACAGACAAGCAAATGCAAAGAGATTGTGTCACCACCAGGCCTGCCTTACAAGAGCTCCTGAAGGAAGCACTAAACATGGAAAGGAACAACCAGTACCAGCCACTGCAAAAACATGCCAAATTGTAAAGACCATCAATGCTAGGAAGAAATTGCATCAACTAATGGGCAAAATAACCAACTAACATCATAATGACAGGATCAGATTCACACATAACAATATTAACCTTAAATGTAAATGGGCTAAATGCCCCAATTAAAAGACACAGACTGGCAAATCGGATAAAGAGTCAAGACCCATCAGTGTGCTGTATTCAGGAGACCCATCTCATGTGCAGAGACACACATAGGCTCAAAATAAAGGGATGGAGGAAGATCTACCAAGCAAATGGAAAGCAAAAAAAAGCAGGGGTTGCAATCCTAGTCTCTGATAAAACAGACTTTAAACCAGCAAAGATCAAAAGAGATAAAGAAGACCATTACATAATGGTAAAGGGATCAATTCAACAAGAAGAGCTAACTATCCTAAATATACACGCACCCAATACAGGAGCACCCAGATTCATAAAGCAAGTCCTTAGAGACCTACAAAGAGACTTAGACTCCCACACAATAATAATAGGAGACTTTAACACCCTACTGTCAATATGAGACAGATCAACAAGACAGAAGGTTAACAAGGATATCCAGGACTTGAACTCAGCTCTGCACCAAGCAGACCTAATAGACATCTACAGAACTCTCCACCCCAAATCAATAGAATATACATTCTTCTCAGCACCACATCACACTTATTCAAAAATTGACCACTTAGTTGGAAGTAAAGCACTCCTCAGCAAATGTAAAACAACAGAAATCACAACAAACTGTCTCTCAGACCACAGTGCAGTCAAATTAGAACTCAGGATTAAGAAACTCACTCAAAACCGCACAACTACATGGAAACTGAACAACCTGCTCCTGAATGACTACTGTGTAAATAACAAAATGAAGGCAGAAATAAAGATGTTCTTTGAAACCAATGAGAACAAAGACACAACATACCAGAATCTTGGAACCAACCCAAATGTCCATCAATGATAGACTGGATTAAGAAAATGTGGCACATATACACCATGGAATACTATGCAGCCATTAAAAAGAATGAGTTCATGTCCTTTGTAGGGACATGGATAAAGCTGGAAACCATCATTCTGAGCAAACTATCGCAAGGATAGAAAACCAAACACTGCATGTTCTCACTCATAGGTGGGAACTGAACAATGAGAACACTTGGACACAGGAAGGGGAACATCACACACCAGGGCCTGTCGTGGGGTGGGGGGATGGGGGAGGGATAGCATTAGGAGAAGTACCTAATGTAAACGACGAGTTAATGGGTGCAGCACACCAACATGGCACATGTATACATATGTAACAAACCTGCACGCTGTCATGTACTCTAGAACTTAAAGTATAATAAATACATAAATAAATAAACCCAAGGGTCAGGCACAATGGCTCATGCCTCTAATCCCAGCACTTTGGGAGGCCAAGGCGGGCAGATCACGAAGTCAGGAGATCAAGACTAGCCTGGCCAACATGGCAAAACCCCATCTTTACTAAAAATATAAAAAATTAGCCGGGTGTGGTGGCTCATGCCTGTAATCCCAGCTACTTGAGAGGCTGAGACAGGAGAATCACTTGAACCCAGGAGATGGAAGTTGCAGTGAGACGAGATGGTGCCACTGCACTCCAGCCTGGGTGACAGAGAGAGACTCTGCCTCGGAAAAAATAAAAAAATTTTTAAAAACCCAAAAGAAGAGAAACACAAGCAGACAAGAGGTAAAACAAAGAGAAAAGCACATGGTACTTGACAATATGGTAGATTTAAATCCATATCAGTAATTACATTAATCATGAATGGCTCCAGTTAAAAGAGACTGTCAAACTAGATTTTTAAAAATCAAGCTATATGCTGTTGAAGGGAAAAAAGACTTCTAAAACACTAAAAAGCCACTTAAAATAAAAACATTAAAGCAGTTAAAAGTAAGAGAATAAAGAAACAATTCTGGGAAGACGGCATGGCCACAGCCTAGTTTTTTCATCTCTGCATCCCACATTAAAACAGAAGCAACTAGAGAGCAAAGCTAAAAACCCAAAAGCAATAGCAGGTCTTCCCTATACATGGGGATTGGTTTCAGAACCACCTGCAAGTACCAAAATCCATGGATGCTCAAGTTCCTTCAATAAAATGGTGTAGTACCGTTGGCCCTCCTTATCTGCAGGTTTCAATCTGCAGTCGGTTGAATCTGTGGATACAAAACTGGCAGATATAGAGAGCTAACTATTTATATCAAAAGCTGGTGAAAAGTTATTCTCACGAACACTAAAATATAAGTGGGGGAGGGCAAACCACTAACGGCCATAAAAGCTGCATGGTACCAGCATCTGTGCTGGAAGAAAAAAAAGCTACAGGCAGTGTCTGATGGTTATGAGAATGAGAGAACTCCCTAATTCATTGGTATCGCTAATATTCACTATGGCACTAACATGAAACAGGAAGTGAAACCAGAAGGGGTTTTACCCTTTCCTAGAAGAAAAACAGAAGATGCTGGAACCCTGTGAACACTCAAAATGGACATGTTACATTTCCATGACAGAGCCCATGATGAGAAGAAACTTTTGGGAATAGAATCAAAACTGAGCAAGATAGGGATAAGAGAGAAGGGAAGATCCACACCAAAATAGGGAAGAAAATAGAAGCAGGAAGTCTCAGAAAACAAACTGCCATATTTTCAAACACTACACAAAAATATTAGAAGTCCAAGATGTTAGAAAAGCTTTCCTGAACTCTCAACCATTATAAAAGTTCAGAAAAACTAATTTTACATAAAAGTGAGCAAAGAAAAGCACTGAGGTCTAACCCCATCAAAAGTTAATATTGAAGGCGGAGCAAAATGACTGAACAGAAGCCTCCACCGATTGTCCTCCCAACAGGAACACCAAATTTAAGAACTATCTTTACAAAAAAGCACCTTCATAAGAGCCAAAAATCAGGTGAGCAATCACAGTAACTGGTTTTAACTTCATATGGCTGAAAGAGGCACCGAAGAGGGTAGGAAAGACATTTATAAATTGCCAATACCATTCTCCCCCAATCCCCCGGTAACGGCCAGCCATGTGGCGCAGAGAGAGAATCTGTGCACTTAGGGGAAGTAAAGTGCAGTGACTGTGGAACTTTGCATTGAAAGGCAGTACCAACAACACCAGGAAGAATTCAACCCACTGGAGGGATCATTTAGACCAGTCCTAGCCAGAGGGGAATCACCCATCCCAGTAGTCAGAACTTGAGTTTCAGCAAGCCTTGCCAACGTGAGTTAAAGTGCTCTGGGGTCCTAAATAAACTTGAAACACTATCTAGGCCACAAGGACTGCAACTCCAAGGCAAGTCCTAGTGCTATGCTGGGCTCAGAGCTAGTGCTCTTGAGGGGCATGTGACCTAGTGAGACAACAGCCAGGGCAACTAAAGGAGCATTTGCATCACCCCTCCCCCAACCCCAGGCAGCACAGCTTGCAGTTCCAAAAGTAAACCTTTCCTTCTGCTTGAGAAGACAAGAGGGAAGAGTAAAGAGGACTTTGTCTTGCAACTCGGATACCAGCTCAGTCACAGTAGGATAGGGCACTGAGCAGAGTTATGAGGCCCCCATTCCAGACCCTAGCTCCCAAACAACATTTCTAGACACATCCTTGGCCAGAAAGGAGCCCACTGCCTTGGAGGGAAGGACCCAGTCCTGGCAGGATTTATCATCTGCTGATTAAAGAGCCCTTGGGCACTGAATAATCAGCAGCAGGAACCAGGTAGTATATGCCATGGGCATTGGGTGAGACTCAGACATGCTGGCTTCAGCTGTGATCCAGCACATTCACAGCTGTGGTGGCTATGAGGACAGACCCCTTCTGCTTGAGAAAAGTAGACGGAAGAGTAAAGAAGACTTTCTTGAGCTTAGATACCAACTTGGCCCAACTGGGGAAGAGCATTAAGAAAGCTCTTGGGGTTCCCAATTCCAGGCTTTGGCTCTTAGCTTCTCTGGACCTACTCTGGGCCAGAGGAGAAGCCACTGCCCTGAAAGGTGAGTCCCAGGCCTGGTAGCATTCACCAGCTGACTAAAGAGCCTTGGGCCTTAAGTGAACCTAGGCGGTACCCTGGCAGTACTCCCCATGGGTCTGTGGTGGCGGTAGACAAGTGGAGCCTTCTCTGCCTGGGGAAAGGGGAGGGAAAAATGGGAAGAACCTTTTCTCATGGTTGTGGCACCAGCTCAGCCTCAGTAGAATAGAGCACCAGGTAGGTTTCCAAGGATTCTGATTCCAGGCCCTGGCCAGACCAAGTACAGTCCCAGTAGGGCCGGCCACAGGGATGCCTGTGTCACCCCTCCCCCAATTCCAGGCAGCTCAGCACAGAGAGACTCCATTTGTTTCAGAGAAAGCAAGGGAAGACAAGAGTCTCTGCCTGGTAATCCAAAGAATTATTCCAGATCTTGTCCAAGACCAGCAAGGTGGCAACTCTGTAAGTCTGCAAAAACCACAGCTTTACTGAGCTTGGGGTATCCTGTAACTCAGATATATAGCTGCAGTGACCAAAAACTGAGATCACAACACTCAAGTCACTGGAAAGTCTTCCCAAGAAGGATGGGTACAAACAAGCCCAGACTACAAAGACTACAATAAATACCTAATTCTTCAATGCCCAGACACCAACAAACATCTACAAGTATCAAGCCCATCCAGGAGAACATGACCTCACCAAACTAAATAAGACACAAGGGACCAATCCCAGACAGACAGAGATATGTGACCTTTCAGATAGAATTCAAAATAGCTGTTTTGAGGAAACTCAAAGAAATTCAAGATGACACAGATAAGGAATTCAGGATCCTATTAGACAAATTTAACAAAGAAACTGAAATAATTTTTTAAAGTCAAGCAGAAATTCTGAGTGTGAGAAATGCAACTGACATAATGAAGAATGCATCAGAGCCTCTTCATAGCATAATTGATCAAGCAGAAGAATCAGTGAGCCTGAACACAGGCTATTTGAAAATACACGGTCAGAGGAGACAAGAGAAAAAAGAATAAAAAACAGGCCGGGCATGGTGGCTCATGCCTGTAATCCCAACACTCTGGGAGGCCAAGGCAGGTGGATCACCTAAGGTCAGGAGTTCGAGACCAGGCTGACCAATATGGTAAAACCCCATCTCTACTAAAAATACAAAAATTAGCTGGGCATGGTGGCGTGTGCCAGTAATCCCAGCTACTCGGGAGGCTGAGGCAGAATCGCTTGAACCCAGGAGATGGAGGTTGCAGTGAGCCGAGATCCCGCCACTGCACTCCAGACTGGGCGACACAGTGAGACTCCATCTCAAAAAAAAAAAAAAAGAAAGAAAAGAAAAAAGAATGAATCATGCCTATAAGATCTAGACAATAAGCTTCAAAAGGGCAAATCTAAGAGTTATTGGCCTTAAAGAGGAAGTAGAAAGAGATAGGGGTAGAAAGTTTATTCAGGCCGGGCGCAGTGGCTCATGCCTGTAATCTCAGCACTTTGAGAGGTGAAGGTGGGTGGATCACCTGTAGTCAGGAGTTCAAGACCAGCCTGGCCAACGTGGTGAAACCCTGTCTCTACTAAAAATACAAAATTAGCCAGGTGCAGTGGCACACGCATGTAATCCCAGGTATGCGGGAGACTGAGGCACAAGAATCGCCTGAACCTGGGAGGTAAAGGTTGCAGTGACCCGAGATCGCACCTGAGTCAGGGTGACAAGAGTGAAACTTGTCTCAAAAAAAAAAAAAAAAAAAAAGAATAAGAAAAGAAAAAGGAAAGAAAGAAAGTGTATTCAGAGGGATAACAGAGAACTTCCTAAACCCACAGAAAGATATCAATATTCAAGTACAAGAAAGCTGTAGAAAACTAAGCCGATTTAACCCAAGGAGACTACCTCAAGGCATTAATAAGCTCCCAAGGTCAAGAAAAAAAAAATTCTGTAAGCAGAAAGAGAAAAGAAACAAATAATATACAATGGAGCTCCGTATAGGCCAAGAGTGGCATGACATATTTAAAATGCTGAAGCAAAAAAAACTTTTACCCTAGAATACGTCAAACATGAATGAGCAATAAGTTTGTTCCCAGACAAACAAAAGCTGAGGAATTTCATCAACACCAGACCTGGCCTACAAGAAATGCTAAAGGGAGTTTTTTTAATCTGAAAGAAAACGACGTTAATGAGCAGAAATTATTTGAAGGTACAAAACTCACGGGTAATCAAAAGTACACAGAGTCTGGGCACAGTGGCTCATGCCTGTAATCTCAGCACTTTGGGAGGCCGAGATGGGTGGATCACGAGGTCAGGAGTTCAAGACCAGCCTGGCCAAGATGGTGAAACCCTGTCTCTACTAAAAATACAAAAATTAGCCAGGCGTGGTGGCACATGCCCATAGTCCCAGCTACTCGGGAGGCTGAGGCAGGAGAATCGCTTGAACCTGGGAGGTGGAGGCTGCAGTGAGCCAAGATAGCGCCACTGAACTCCAGCCTGGGTGACAGAGCGAGACTCCATCTCAAAAAATTAAAAAATAAAAAATAATGAGCCAGGCATGGTGGCCTTTAATCCCAGCACTTTGGGAGGCTGAGGCGGGCAGATCACAAGGTCATGTTCAAGATCAGCCTGGCCAACATAGTGAAACCCCATCTCTACTAAAAATACAAAAATTCTCTGGTGGCGTGTGCCTGTAGTCCCAGCTACTCGGGAGGCTGAGGCAGGAGAATCACTTGAACTCAGAAGCCAGAGGTTTCAGTGAGCCATAATCATGCCACTGCACTCCAGCCTGGGTGACAGAACTAGACTCCATCTCAAAAAAATAAAAATAAATAAATAAATAAGATAATGGATTATAAGATAGTATTTTCAAGCCTCATGGTGACCTTACATCCAAAAACATACAATGGATACACAAAAAATAAGAAGCAAGAAATTAAAACATACCACCTAAGAAAAATCACCTTCACTAAAAAAAGATAGGAAAGAAGGAAAAAAGAAGAGAAGACCACAAAACAACCAGAAAACAACAAAATGACAGTAGTAAGTCCCTATTTGTCAATAACATTGAACATAAATGGACTAAACTCACAATCAAAACACTAGAGTGGCCGAACTGAAATACACTTCACCTATAAAGACACATATAGACTGAAAATTAAGAAATGGAAAAGGATATTACATGCCAATGAATCCAGTATAGCAGGAGTAGCTATACTTATATCAGACAAAAGAGATTTTAAGACAAAAACTGTAAGAAGAGACAAACAAGGTCATTATATAATGATAAACAGGTCAATTCAGCAAGAGTATGTAACAATTGTAAATATTATACACCCAACATTGGAGTACCCTGATATATAAAGCAAATATTATTAGAGCTCGAGAGATAAATCTCAATTCAATAATAGTTGAAGACTTCAACACCACCCTTTCATCAGACAGATCATCCAGACATAAAATCAACAAAGAATCATCTGACTTAATCTGCACTATAGAACAAATGGACCTAACAGATATTTACAGACGTTTCATCCAATGGCTGAAGAATACACATTCTTCTCCTCAGCACATGGATCATTCCCAAGGATGGACCATATGTTAGGCCACAAAACAAGTGTTAAAACATTAAAAACAAACTGGAATAATATAAAGTATCTTCTCTGACCACAATGGAATAAAACTAGAAATCAGTTAACAGGAGGAATTTTGGAAACTATTCAAACATATGAAAATTAATCAATAGGCTCCTGAATCATCAGTGGGTCAATGAAGAGATTAAGAAGGAAACTGAAAAATGTCTTGAAACAAATGATAATGGAAACAGAACATACCAAAACCTATGGGATACAGTGAAAACAGTACTGAGAGAAATTTATAGCTTTAAGTGCCTACATGAAAAGAAAAACTTCAAATAAACAACCTAATGAACTAGAACTAGAAAAGCAGAGCAAACCAAACTGAAAGTAGAAGAAATAATAAAGATTACAGCAGAAATAATGAAATTGAAACAAATAAGACATAAGAACAATAAAACAAAAAGTTGGTTTTTTGAAAAGATGTAGAAAACTGATAAACCCTTAGCCAGACTAATGAAGAAAAAAGAGAAAAGATTCAAAATCAGAGATGAAAAAGGAGACATTACAACCAATACTGCAGAAATACAAAGGATCATTAGAGCCTACTAGGAGCAACTATATACCAATAAACTAGAAAATCTAGAAGAAATGGATAAATTCCTAGACACAAACAACCTACTAAGATTGAACCATAAAGAAATCCAAAACCTGAACAGACCAATAACAACTAACAACATTGAAGCTATAATAAAAAGTCCTCCAGCAAAGAAAAGCCTCGGACTCCATGGCTTCACTGCTGAATTCTACCAAACATTTAAAGAATTAACACCAACCCTACTCAAACTATTCTGAAGAATGGAAGAGGAGGGAATACATCCAAACTCATTCTATGAGGCCAGTATTACCCTGATACCAAAACCAGACAAAGACATATCAAAAAAAAAAAAAAAAAAGAGAGAGAGAGAGAAAAACCTACAGGCCAATATCCCTGATTAATATTGATGCAAAAATCTTCAACAAAATACTAGCAAACCAAATTCAACAACACATTAAAAAGATCATTCATCATCAACAAGTGGGATTTATCCCAGGGATGAAAGGATGATTCAACATATGCAAATCAATCAATGTGATACATCATTATCAACAGACTGAAAGACAAAAACCATATGATCGTTTCAACTGATACTGAAAAAGCACTTGATAAAATTCAACATTCCTTCATGATTTAAAAAAAAAACCCTAAAAAAACTAGGTATAAAAGGAACATACCTCCACATAATAAAAGCCATGTATGACAGACCCACAGGCAGTATCACACTGAATCGGGAAAAACTGAAAGCCTTTCCTCTAAGATCTAGAACAGAACAAGGATAAAAAATTGACAAACCTTTAGCCAGACTATGAAGGAAGAAAGGAAAAAAGATTCAAATAAAATCAGAGATGAAAAAGGACTGGAATTGCTGTAGTTAGGACTAGAATTGCTCTAGCTAGAGATGAAAAAGGACTGGAATTGCTCTAGCTAGCAGTTAGACATGAGAAAGGAAAAAAAGGCCATCAAAATTTGAAATCAAATTATCCTTGTTTGCAGGTGACATGATCTTATATTTGGAAAAACCTGAAGACTCCACCAAAAAGCTATTTGAACTGGTAAACAAATTCAGTAAAGCTGCAAGACACAAAATCAGCTTAGAAAAATCAGTAGCATTTCTATAAACCAACAAGGACAATCTGAAAAAGAAATCAAAACAGTAATCCCATTTACAATAGCCACAAAGAAAATTAAACACCTAGGAATTAACTGAACCAATGAAGTAAAACATCTCTACAATGAAAATTATAAAATACTGATGACAGAAATTGAAGAGGCCACAAAAAAATGAAAAGATATTCCATGTTCATAGATTGAAACAATCAATATTGTTAAAATATCTATATTACTCAAAGCAATCTACAGATTCAATGCAAATGCCTAGCAAAATACCAATGACATTCTTCACAGAAATAGACAAAATAATCCTAAAATTTAAAGCACAAAAGACCCAGAATAGCCAAAGCTATCCTGAGCAAAAAGAATAAAACTGGAGGAATCACATTAACTGACTTCAAATTATATTGCAGAGCTATATTAACTAAAACAGCATACTACTGCCACCAAAACAGACACATAGACCAATGGAACAGAACAGAAAACCCAGAAACAAATCCACATACTGACAGTGAACTCATTATTGACAAAGGTGCCAAGAACATACATTGGGGAAAGAAAAGTCTCTTCAATGAATGGTGCTGGGATATCCATATGCAGAAGAATGGAACTAGACCCCTATCTCTCACCATATACAAAAATCAAATAAAAATGAATCAAGACTTAAATCTAAGCCCTCAAACTATGAAAGTACTACAAAAAAATTGGGGAAACTCTCCAGGACATTGGATTGGGCAAAGATTTCTTGAGTAATATACCACAAGCACAGGCAACCAAAGCAAAAATAGACAGGTGGGGTCACATTGAGTTAAAAAGCTTCTGCACGGCAAAGGAAACAACAAAGTGAAGAGACAACCCACAGAATGGGAGAAAATATTTGTAAACTACCCATCTGACGAGGGTTAATAGCCAGGATGTATAAGGATCTGAAACAACTTTTTTTTTTTGAGTCTCACTCTGTCGCCCAGGCTGGAGTGCAGTGGCACAATCTCGGCTCACTGCAACCTCTGCCTCCCAGGTTCAAGCGATTCTCCTGCCTCAGCCTCCTGAGTAGCTGGGATTATAGGCACATGCCACCACACTGGCCAATTTTTTATATTTTTGGTAGGAAATCAGCATATTAAAGAGATATCTGCACTCTCATGTTTACTGCAGCATTATTCACAAAAGCCAAGATTTGGAAGCAACCCAAGTGTCCACTGACAGACAAATGGATAAAGAAAATCTGGTACATATACATAATGGAGTACTACTCAGCCATAAAAAAAGAATGAGCTCCTGTCATTTGCAACAACATGGATGGAACTGGAAGTCATTATTTTAAGTGAAATAAGCCAGGCACAGAAAGACAAACATCACATGTTCTCATTTATTTGTGGGATCCAAAAATCAAAACAATTGAACTCATGGAGACACAGAGTAGAAGGATGGTTACCAAAGGCTGGGAAGAGTAACAGGTGGGCTGAAAGGAAGAGGGGATGGTCAATGGGTACAAAAAAATAGAAAAAAAGAATAAGATCTAATATTTGCTAGCACAATGGGTTGACTATATTCAATAATAATATAATTGCACACTTTTAAGTAACTAAAAGAGAATAATTGGATTGTTTCTAACACAAAGGATAAATGCTTAAGATGGTGGCTACCTCATTTACCCTGATATGATTATTATATATTATATGGTGTATCAAAATATCCCATGTAACCCATAAACATACACATCTGTGCACCCATGAAATTAAAAAAATTTTAAATTGTAAAAGTTCATATTAAAAAAAATCTCTACAGACAAGAAAAATATACTAGAAAGACGTGCTCACAAAACAGATAGGAACTATAACCTCTATATTAAAACAAACTAAAATACATGTAAAACTCTGTAAGACATAAACAACATAATTAGAAATAAAACTTGGAAATGAGCTGATAGAATCTAGAAATTAGTAACTTTTAAAAACTAATTATTTCTGAAATGAAGATTAAAGAAGGAAAATGAATGAGTAAAGACTACAGACAATGCCTTAAGAGAAATAGAGATTAAAAGGAAAACAATTTTAAAAAATTAAAAAGAAATGAAGAAGAAATATGAAAATGACAAAGATAGGCAAAGAAGCTCAAACATACACATAATAGTGGTAATTGAAAAAGAAAACTAAAACAACAGAACCAATTAAAAAAACTATAATTCAGGAAACTTTCCTGATTTTAAAATTCATACAGAGCTGCAAAAGATCTATAAAAGACAAAACAACTTTGAAAAAGAACAGGCTGGCCATGGTGGCTCACACCTGTAATCCCAGCACTCTGGGAGGCTGAGGCAGGAGGACAGCTTGAGGCCCAGGAATTCAAGACCAGACTGGGCAACATAGCAAGACCCCATCTCTACAAAAAAAAGATTAGCCAGGCATTGTGGCATGAACCTGTAGTCCTCGCTACTTAGGTGGCTGAGGTGGGAAGACAACTTGAACCCAGGAGTTTAATCAGTGAGCTATGATTGTGCCACTGCACTCTAGGCTGGGTGACAAAGCAAGACCCTATCTCTAAATTAATAAATGAATGAATGAAAAAGAAGAACAAAGTTGAAGGACTAATACTATATCATTTCAAGGTTTATAAAGCTATAGTAATCAAGACAATATAGCATTGATATCAAGATAGACAAACAGATTAATGAAACTAAATAGATTCCAGAAACAGACTCATACATATATGGACAACTAATTTTCACCAAAGATACGAAGGTAATTTAGCAGGAAAAACGATAGTTTTTTTTTTTCAATAAATGATGCTAGAACAATGGGATGCCCATGTACAAAAAAAAGAGAAAGAAACAGGACTTTCAGCCATATCTCACACCATATACAAAAAAATTAAAATGAATGACATAAATCTAAAACTTAAAATCACAACATGTCTAGAAAAACACAGAAAAACTGTATGGCCTTGAGTTAGGCAAACATGTCTATGATATGACACCAAAAGCATGATACAATTCAAGAACAAATGGGGCTTCATAAAAATAATGTCTGCTCTTTAAAATATAACATTCTGAGAATGAAAAGAGAAACCACATACTCAGAGAAAATAGTCAGGAATCAGAAAAGGTTCATATCCAGAATATATAGGGAACTCTCAAAACTTAGTAAGGAAGTTAACATCAACAAGAAGTAAACAACTGAACTTAAAAATGGTCAAAAAATTTCAATAGACATTTCACAAAAGAAGACATACAGATGGCAGCTAGGCACACAAAAAGATGCTAAACATTGTTAGTCAGGAGGGAAATGCAAATTAAAACACACGATGTGACACCACTACACATATTAGAATGGCTAAGAATGACTAGACCAAGTGTTTTCGAGGATGTGAGGGAACTAGAACTCTCATATACTGCCGACGGGAATTTAAACTAGTACAACCACTTTGTAAATCACTTTGGCTATTTCTTAAAAGGTTAATAAGCACTTACCATAAGACCCAGTCATGCCATTCCTAGAATTTACCCAAGAGAAATGAAAGCATTATGTCCACACAAAGACTGTACACAAATGTTCGTAAGAGCTTTATCTATAATAGCCAGAAACTGGAAACAACTCAAATGTCCAGCAGCAGGTGAACAGACACACAAACTGTGGTATACCCATTGGATGGAATACCCCTCAGCAATAAAAAAGAATATGTGCAACATGGATAAATGTCAAAATAATTACGCTGAAAGCCAGCCATAAAATAGTACATACTATAACATTCCATTTATATAAAACTCTAGAAAATGAAAACCAACTGTGGTGATAGAAAGCAGATCAGTGGTTGCTGAGAGAATTGGAGGCTAGACACAGAGACTACTAACGAGAACAAGGGAATTTGGGGGGATGATGGATATATTGACAATCCTGATTGGGGTGGTTTCATAGGTGTATATGTAAGTCAAAACTTATACTACATATGTGCAGCTTATTGTATATTAAATATATCAATAAAGCTGTTTTAAAAATAAAGTTTTCCTGAAATTTAAAAAAAGATTTGAAACTACAAATGGAAAGAAAATATGAAGTACCTGAGAATACTGACCCAAAACAACCAACACAGTGATATATTCTAATATTATTAGCAGACTTTAATGAAAAAGAAAAAATTTGGCTGGGCGTAGTGGCTCATGCCTGTAATCTCAGCACTTTGGAAGCCTGAGGCAGGTGGATCACTTGAGCCTGGGTTCATGACCAGCCTGGGCAACTTGGCAAAACCCTGTCTCTCAAGAAAAAAAAAAAAAAAAATTAGCTGGGTGTGGCAGCATACACCTGTAGTCCTAGCTACTCAGGAGGCTGAGGTGGGAGGACTGCTTGAACCCAGGAGGTGGAGGCTGCAGTGAGCCAAGATCATACCACTGCACTACAGCCAGGGTGACAGAGTAAGACTGTATCTCAAAAAGAAAAAAAGAAAACAAATTATTTGGTTATCTACAAGAAAAAAACCCACATGACTTATAAGAAGAAGAAAAATTAGATAATAATCTGACTTTGATACCAATACTTTATTCCAGAAGAAAAAGGAGTAATGTATTTAAGAAATTCACGGAAAAGAAGTGTGAGCCAAAGACTTTATATCTGCAAAATTGACTTTGAAGTATAAAAAGAATAAACTTTGATCAATATATAAGAACTCAGACAATATTACTTCCCGAGGAATCTAACAATGTATTAGCTTCAGGTAGCCAAAATGCCTAGAGAGACCTCAGCATAAACACTGGTGGTAAACATTAAATATATTAATAGAACTAATAGGCTAAGAGGGAAAAAGCAGAACATGAAATGGCTATATACTCTGACAATGCAGATAGAGCATAACTGTTAAAACAGAGAGAGAAGAAAAAATGAGAAGAACATAAGCCAAAAAAAAAAGGTTTAATGTTTTCAGTAATCATATTGATGGTGATTTCAGAAATATAGTTCTGATACTGTCATATGTATAATACAGAATAATGAGTAAATATGGAATATTCTATTTTCTCCTATATTCTTGAGAATCATGATTCTCAGTATGGAAAAAAGGAGTTACAGTTGTGATAGAGAAGTTGTTAAGTAAAAGCTCTGTAATCTCAATCTGAAGACTGGAAGTAGAATACATTAGGTATCTTTTAACATGTGTGTCTATAGACAGATACAGGTATCCTAGCTCTGTCTACTGAAATGCCTGAAACAGTGACTAACTCAGGATCTTTAGCATTCAGACTGTAACTGAAATATTATTTCCCTCTAAATGAAACCCGGGCATTTTAAAGAAATGGCTGATTTCATATCTGCGATAGGAATTGTTCAATATATTATATAACAAGGAAGCTATCAAAAACTAGGAGGCCAGGCTCACAGTGCAGCTTGGCCAACATGGTGATACCCCGTTTCTACTAAAAATACTAAAAAAAAAAAAAAAATAGCCGATCCTGGTGGTGTGTGCCTATAATCCCAGCTACTTAGGAGGCTGAGGCAGGAGAATCACTTGAACCCAGGAGACAGAGGTTGCAGACAGCTGAGATCGTGCCACTGCACTCCAGCCTGGACAACAGAATGAGACTCTATCTCATAAATAAATAATAAAAAAAAAACAGGGAAGTGATTACTACAAAACTATAAAACCCAGAAGAATGGTGACTAAATGGGAACACAGGAGTTTTGACTGGGATAGGGTAATGGAGGGGATCTGGCATACCTGAATGGTATGGTCCTGTAATAATTTATTAAGCTATACATTTGGTATGTGATTTATAACAAAAATTTCATTTTACGCTAAAAAGATTTTGTTAAATAACAAAAAATAGAAAAGTAAAGGAAATGCTAACCTAACCAAAATAAAGCTGGTACGGGTTGAACGTTCCTAATATGAATATTTGAAATCCAAAATGCTCCAAAATCCAAAACTTTTTGAGCACCAACTTGACACCACAAGTAGAAAATTCCACACCTGACCTTATGTGACAGGTCACAGTCACAACTTCATTTCATGCATAAAACTATTAAAAATGTATAAAATTAGCTTCAGGCTGTGTGTATAAGCTGTATATGAAACAATAAATGAATTTTGTGTTTAGAGTTACCCAACTCTAAACAAGATACCTCATGTATATACAAATATTCCAATTTTTTTTTTAATCTAAAAGTCCAAAACATAGTTCCAAGCATTGCAGGTAAGGGATACTCAACCTGCAGAGCTCTGTAGCCAGACTGCCTGGGTTCAAATCATGGATTCTGCCACACAGCCAGGAGAGTACAGTACTAATCTCTGTGTGCTTCAATTTCCTCATCATAAAATAAGGATAATAAAAGTACTCAGCTCACGAGTTAAAGATTAGAAGAGTTAATATAGAAAGAACATAAAGCATTGTCTGGCACACAGCAGGATGGAGACTGTGATTAGAGTTGGTGATCAGCTTTCTGTGTTATCTTAAGTAGGTATTTAACCTCTCTGAGCTTCAGCTTCTTTGCTGAGTTGTAAAATATCTACCTGATAGGATTATCAGGAAGTCAAAAGGAAATATATGTAATGAACCTAGTATAGTACTCAATAAATATTAGATTTTTTTCCATGGCCTCCCAACATCTGGAGTCATCCGTTACATTAGACATACCTCAGTCATAGCATATTACTCTTGCACTTTACACCTGGTCATTCAGGTTGATCTCAATGAAATGATCACCCAACGAGTCTCATGTCTGAAACTGGATCTTCATCTAGGTTTCAAAAAGATAAAAAGAACAAAATCTTGAAATGTTCAACCTCCTAGTAAGAATGGTCTTGTGTTACTCCCAGAGCAGGCATCCAAGGTACTGGTAATCACAGATAAAGCAGGCACAACTGAAATAACTGCTAATGGCCTTCCCAGCTCACCATCATATGCCTCTTCCCTTCTCTTCTCTCTCCTTCTTATCTTTCCTCTCCCTACCTTGTTAAGACATTTAGCTGGGTATCCAAATCTATCATCATCTATCATCAATTCTGACTTCTGGCTCCACAGGTAGGATATTCTCATTTGCAAGGATACTAAAATGAAGCATCCTCAGACAAACTACCACTGATCACAAAAGCAAACACAGGAACAAAACTACTCCTCATTTGCACCTGTGACCAAGCCCTCCTTTTCAGAGGACCATTCTGTGAAATAAACGGGCCAATAGTTTGCAGCAGCCTTTTCCCCACTACAGGCTGTGACAGGACAAAGGTCTGGAACTTTAAAGTCACAGGAAGAGACCAAATGCTTTCTAGGGCCAAAACAGAAGCTACAGCTTTAATTACTGTCATAACACACTTAAAATAAGATTGTTGGGGGTAGGAGTCGGGGGGTAGGAGTCGGAGGGTAGGAGTTGATTTGTACATGGCATAGTAAGCCAAGCATAGAAAAGCAAAAACATAATTGCATCTTCTGGCACTTTCTAGGTTTCCCGAGTCTTTCAGCCAAATTGCCCTTTATAGGTCTGAAGCCCCTTGTAACATGCTCCATATCTTAAAATTTAATTATTTTTTTCACCATTTGGGGTGGGGGAGGGGAGCTGACAATAAACCATGGCCAATAACTGTTCCTTCTCAACTGAATCACACCAAAATCTGTAAGCATCTTCAAAAGTATATACTTCAAATTACTGCAATAAATGAACATGTAACCCTTTCGAAGTCTCTATTCCTTATTAAATGCAAAAGCTCTATTCTAAAAATATTGCAACTTGCTGTTTAATGTTCCTAAGAAAGAGCTGAACTTACCCCAAATAGGAAAGAGTTAAAATGGAATGTCATCTCAACCAAATCATTCTGTCTCAGGAGAGGTGACATGAAGGGGCAGAACCTTGCTTTGAAGCAAAAGCTGTAGGGAAAACTCCAAGTCAGCCACCTCTTCCCCAAAAGGCGGGGCAGGGGAGGCCAGAGTCTACTTGGCAATATTTAAAGTACAAAACTCATGCAGAGGCTTGAAACCAATATGGGTAATGCCTGCACAGAGTTTAATATATTATACATATATTTTTGAGACAGAGTCTCGCTCCGTCACCCAGGCTGGAGTGCAGTGGCGCGATCTCGGCTCACAGCAACCTCCGCCTCCCGAGTTCAAGCGATTCTGCTGCCTCACCCGCCCGAGTAGCTGGGATTACAGGCGCACACCACCATGCCCAGCTAATTTTTGTATTTTTAGTAGAGACGTGGTTTCATCATGTTGGCCAGGGTGGTCTCGAACTCCTGACCTCAGGGGATCCGCCCACCTCGGCCTCCCAAAGTGCTGAGATTACAGGCGTAAGCCACTGCGCCCTGCCTGTTTAATATCATTGATTGAAAAACAAAGTGGCAGTAAAAAAGGAAACTCTGATTGGTCTCTCTGTTACAGGTGACTTAGCCTTCTGGCATTTTTCACCTTGAAAAACTCCTATTAGGCCCTGTATAAAGTCAGAGGTCTCCTGAATCCGGAATGAGGTTAATAAACTGGAGAAAGAGATACTCACCTGTGCTATTCGCCTAACCGCCCCCTTCTGCTCCGAGTCCTCACTCCCCAAACAACCTTCGCGGTTGTTTGACACAAAACTAGCGCTTCAGCCCGGGTCGATTTTGGGGGATGGAGTAATTACCTACAGCTTAAATCGAGTCTGTGCCCGACGTGATTCTAAGCTTTACTCTTACTGCCTCATTTAACCCTCACAACCACCTTGTAAGGCAAGAATTACCAGCTTTAGTATACAAATAAAGAATCGGAGGCGCTGAGACATTAAAGGAGAAGCCAAAGAACACAAAGCCTGGGGAGCTGGGACTGGAGGCAGTTTTGTCCGATCCCCAAACCCTTACGCAGGGATTTTTAATTGGCGCGACCCTGTCCCAGATGGCTCCTCCCCGACAAGGGTCAGTCTGACCACTTTTAGGCCCAGGTGAGGTCAAGTCCGGGGTACTCCGGGAAGGGGCTCACGCCGACGCCTCTGAGAGCCCCGAGAGCCACTCACCTTACTCAGTCGCCGGCCTCCCACCAGCAGCCAGCCGGGCCAGGTTAGGCTGGGATCAGCTACGTCAGGCCCCGCCTCCGCGACCGTTACCACCGCCGGGGGAGGGCGGCCAATCGAGCCCGAGCGCGTCGAGGGCCAGCCCCTCTTTGGCCTGCGAATGCCCCCAAACGATTCTCTCCAGCCTCTCCGGGAAGCTGGGTCCGCCCCGCTCCCTCCGGTTGGCTCACTACGGGGGGCGGGGCTTACCGCAAACGAAGGCGTCGGTGCGATGTGCTGGTCTCGGGCACGCTGGCGCTTCCAACGCACTCCTTGGGTGCCCTGTCACTTACATGGAGGCTTATTTGCCCGGAAGACGTCAGAAATACTTGTGGCCGTGGGTGAAAGTGAAGCCTGGGTTACCTGGCCACCAGAGACTGCCCTCTCTCTCGCCCCCTACCCCGCCGCGACTACGAGCCCTTGCTGGGGTACGGGTCAGCATGTTCTCGATGTTCCAGACCTGAATGACCACTGTAGCAGCTGACATTTGGAGGACCCCAATAAATATTTGTTGACGACAGTTCATCTTCCCATTCAGCATTTTCCACATCTCGACGAAGCGTCAGGCCCTACCTGAGGCTGTAGCTGTCCACCATTGTCATTGTATCTTATAGCCACATGGTGTCGCTGTTGACAACTTGTCTTTTCAAATCAGTCAAATGATGTAGGTCTGTGTTACAGTCAAATGTTGCAACAGACTGTGTTGCAGTCAAATGATGCAGGTCCCACAGTAGCCAACAGGGATGTCCCATCTAGGGCATCAGCCAAGGGTCTCTCATCAGGAGATCCAAGGGCTCTTGGAGCTCAATACTTTCAGACCCTTCTTAGCCTTCTTCCAGGCAGCTGGGACTACACTTAGGTTTGATCTCTGTGTTTGCCCCATGCAAACATGTCCCTACCCCAACCTACGCCTACCCACTGTGCTTTCCATACCTGGATATTCACTCTAACGACGGTTAGCAGATTGCATTTTCAGTTCTCAAAATGCAAATAGTCTCAGTGCTTCCCTTTTCCAAGATAATAGGGTGCCCTTGCATACTCTTCTGAGAATGGCTGCCCTAATTGTAGAGGCCAAACATCTTTGAGTCAGTTATTATTATTTTGGATGCACGTGATATAGAATCTGAGTTAAACTGTCTTCCTAAAAAATAAAGAAGTTGCTTATCTCGCATAACAGAAAGCTCAGAGGCAAGGGAGACTTTGATTAATTCAGTGGCTAAGCAAGTTAACAAGGACCCAGTTGCTATTAGTCTCTGCTTTGTTGTAAAAAAAAAAAAGGGTAGACTTCAAATTCATACTAACGTGATTTTCCAGATGTCTACTTGGAGAAATCAGGACCACATACTTTCTTTTTCATCTAAAACCTTTCCTTCTGGTTTTTTGAGCCAATAAGTTCACACAGGCACACACTCTTCCTCTTTACCAGTAACTGCCTGGGAAATGTACAGACAGCTTAAGCCTGGGTTCCAGAAGTGAAAAGGAGCTATGACAATTGGAATTGGCAATGGTGTCAGTGCTCTTTGAGTCACATGAGTTGCAAGGTGGAGACATGGCTATTTGAATAAAACTGGAGACCTGTAAAGGAGAAGAGGAAAATGGATGCTAGATGGATGATCACCAGTATCTTTCACAGTCTTCAAAGCACAAGAAGGCTGATTCCTCTCTATTTTCTAACTGAATTTTTTATGTGGTGAATGGAGGGGAAGAGTTGCTATAGCACTGCCCTCCAAAACAATTCCCTTCTTATGGACCATGAAAGCCTTTCCAGCACCTCTCTTTGCTAGAGAAGGAAAACATCCCTGCACACAAACTTAGTCTTTCACTGAGAATCCTGCTACATTGGTCTCAAGAGTTTTCTATGGGCCTCATCTACCCAATAGAATTCTAATAATTCTAAACATTCATTTAACATTCATTCATTTATAAAAATGTGTTGGCCGGGCACAGTGGCTCACGCCTGTAATCCCAGCACTTTGGGAGGCCAAGGTAGGTGGATCACCTGAGGTCAGGAGTTCGACAACAGCCTAGCCAACATGGGGAAACCCCATCTCTACTAAAAATACAAAATTGGCCGGGTGTGGTGGCACATGCCTGTAATCCCAGCTACTTAGGAGGCTGAGGCAGGAGAATCGCTTGAACCCGGGAGGCGGAGGTTGCGGTGAGCCGAGATCTCACCATTGCACTCTAGCCTGGGCAACAAGAGCAAAACTCCGTCTCAAAAAAAAAAAAATTTTTTTGTTAAGCACCTGTTTTGTACCAGGGATTGAACTAGATGCTGAGTCAGATTTATAAGTGGGGGAGTTTACAATAGTAAGTAAGCCCAGTTGTGATTCCTGCCTTCGTGGATCTTATAGTCTAACTGCGGAGAAAATATGAAACAAATGCAATTAAGTATATATTATTAATATAATAAGTGATATCAAAGAAGAGAAGAGGGGCTATGGAGGAAGCCTCTCTGATGAAGTGACACTTAAGTTGAAAGCCAAGCATGTCTTCATTTCGGCTTTCTGCTTTCCTCTGTACTTTGGCTTCCTAGCATAAATTATAACTTTCATTAGCAGTTAAAACACATCTTTTATTTCTCAACTTCTTTTTTTTTTTTTTGAGACGGGAGTCTCGCTCTTGCCCAGGCTATAGTGCAGTGGCGTGATCGTGGCTCACTGCAAGCTCCACCCCCCAGTTCACGCCATTCTCCTGCCTCAGCCTCCCGAGTAGCTGTGACTACAGGCGCCTGCCACCACGCCTGGCTAATTTTTTTTTTTTTTTGGTATTTTTAGGGGTTTCACTGTGTTAGCCAGGATGGTATCAATCTCTTGACCTTGTGATCCACCTGCTTCGGCCTCCCAAAGTGCTGGGATTACAGGCGTGAGCCACTGCACCCGGCCTAATTTCTCAACTTCTAAACTGATTCTCAAATTTTCTTCTGGGTATAGAACTGTCATATTTCTCCCTAGAAAAACATGAGTATATCATATGTAATGGTAATCATGATGAATTCTCAAAGATTCTTCAACTCATAAGTTTTTTAGACTTAGATTCCTTTATTACATGAATACATTTGTTTCTGCCTTTTCCACAAGAATTTGAACCCCTGGGAACATGAACCATGTCTTACTAAACTTCATCCTGCAGCTAGCATATTTCCTTGGTGCACAGTAGGTGCTAAACACAGCTTTGAACTGTAGCAGGACTAACCACAGACAAAACCTCTCAGACGCTGAGTTGTATAAGGAAGGGCTTTATTCAGCTGGGAGCATCAGCAAGCTACTGCCTTAAAATCCGAGCTCCCTGAGTGCACAATGTCTGTCCCTTTTAAGGGCTCACAACACTAAAGATTTCACATGAAAGGGTTGTGATTGATTTGAGCAAGCAGGGGGTATGTGACAGGGACTGCATGTACTGGTGGTCAGAGAGAAACAGAACAGGGCAGGGAGTTTCACAATGTTCTTCTATACAATGTCTGGAATCTATGAATAACATCGGTTTCTAAGTTATGAGTTGATTTTTAACTACTGGGTTTAGGCCAGGCAGGCCCAGGCCTGGTTTCGGGCCAGGCGCCGGGCTGCCTGTCTTTGGTTTTACTTCCTTGTTGTTTTTTCTTAAAACAGGTACTGAGTATAAAACAATATAAAATAATATGAGAGGGTCTTTCTCTTCTTTCAGAACTACATTGTTAAATTTGAGTCAAATTTATTCAGAGCATTCACCTTCAGTAGTCATTTTCCAATGTGAAGGACAATATGCAAACAGCTGAGGCAAATATATTAATGACAAATGCTCAATAATCCATACAGAATAACAATAGTTATGTTAATTGGGCACTTAAAATGTGCTAGGCTCCGAGCTAAGCACTTTCATTTTCTAACTTGTTGAATCTTCGCAACAACCTTAATATAAGTACTGTTATTATCTGTTTTACAAATGAGCAAGTTAGGAAATAGAAGCCAAAAAAATTTTGAAATGATTTGCCACGGTCACACACTAGTATATGGCAAAGCCAGGATCTGAACCTAGGCATTCAGGCTCCAAAGCCTATGTCATTAACCACTTGACCATACCACTTCTTGTGACAGACATCTGCTTTACCATCAGATTGGTATATGCATTTATTACAATTTGCAATTATTTACTGTGTATTAGTTATTGCTAATGTCTGTGTATTAGTTATCTATTGGTACATAAAAATTACCCTAAAACATAGCAGCTTAAAATAAACATTTATCATCACAATGTTTCTGTGGGTCAGGAATACAGTAGGGCTTAGCTGGATGGTCTGGACAAGATCTTTCATGGGGTTTCAGTCAACCTTTTGGTCTGGGCTACTGTCATCTCAAGGTTCAGGTGGGGCTAAAGGATTCACATTCAAACTCACTCATGCGGCTATTGGCAAGCCTCAGTTCATTCCTCCTCAAGTGGGCCTTTCCCCAGGCTGCCTTAGTGTCCTCATAACATGGCAGCTTCCCACAGAGTACACAGCCCAAAGACAGCATGTGAGCAACTAAAACAGAAACCGCAGTCTTTTTTATAACCTAATCTCAGAAGTTACATATCACTACTTCTGCCATATGCTATTGGTCACATAGACCAACCGTGGTAAAATGTGAGAGGACTACACAAGGAGATGAATACCATGAAGTGGGGATCCCTGGGGCCCATCTTGAAGAATGGCTACCACAATTTATTTGTACATATTTTTGTGACTACCTCCTCCACTAGAATGTAAGTGTCATGAGTGGGAGAAATGATCAGTGTTGTTCACTGTTGTATTCCCTGCCACAGCACCTGCCAGGTAACAGATGACCAATAAGTACTGAGTAAATATAATGATGAAAGTGATATGAATTCCAGAGGATGAGCTCCCTATAATCCTCTCTTAATGTCAAACAAATTCCCAGTTGCCATTAATGGTACCATTTAAAGCTATATATTTCTTTCAGAGACATGGTCTCACTGTGTTGCCCAGCCTGGTCTCAAACTCCCGGCCTCAAGTAGTCCTCCCATCTCAGCCTCCCAAAGCACTGGGATTACAGGCATGAGCCCCTGTGTCCAACCCATTTAAATAATTTTTAAAAGCAGGAGAATATCATGCCCAAGAACATTTATTCATGTATATAAAATTATAGACTGTGGACTTGGAAGGAACACACAGATTAAAAGATCTGTTTTAACAGCTAATGAAGGCTATAATTTATACTAGGAAGTCTAACACAGTCTACACACCAAACTCAAGGGAATGTTGGCCTTTTGGAAGGAGAAAAGAGTAATAGTATTGGGATTTTCTTCTATTAAAATTTTAATACTAAGTCAATATTTAATGATGGTCAATTCTGGGAGGCAGGAATATGTGTATTATTCTCTGTATTTTTCTATAGCTTTAAAATTTCTCAAACAAGATAAAAAATGTTAAAAGTCTTGACCAGACCCAGTGCAGTGGCTCACACCTGTAATCCCAGCACTTGGGAGGCCAAGGCAGGCAGATCACTTGAGGTCAGGAGTTCAAGACTAGCCTGGCCAACATGGTGAAACCTCATTTCTACTAAAAATACAAAAATTATGGCCGGGTGCGGTGGCTCATGCCTGTAATCCCAGCACTTTGGGAGGCTGAGGCGGGAAGATCACGAGGTCAGGAGATCGAGACCATCCTGGCTAACATGGTGAAACCCCGTCTCTACTAAAAATACAAAAAATTAGCCAGGCGAGGTGGTGGGCGCCTGTAGTCCCAGCTACTTGGGAGCCTGAGGCAGGAGAATGGCGTGAACCCAGGGGGCGGAGCCTGCAGTGAGCCGAGATCGCGCCATAGCACTCCAGCTTGGGCGACAGCGAGACTCCGTCTCAAAAAAAAAAAAAAAAAAGAAAATTAGCCTGGCGTGGTGGTGCATGCCTGTAATCCCAGCTACTCGGGAGACTGAGACAGGAGAATCACTTTAACCTGGGAGGCTGAGGTTGCAATGAGCCGAGATCACACCACTGCACTCCAGCCTGGGTGATAGAATGAGACTCTGTCTCAAAAAAAAAAAGGTCTTGACCAATTGGAACACGTGTCTGTACTGCCTTCCTTTGCCTCTTGCTCTAATTAAGGCTGTACTATAAATTCCAGTCTCCAGATAACTCAGACCAGTACCTATTTTCTCCTGAAATTGTCCAAGCTTTTCTGGTCTGAAGTTCTACACAATCACCTTACTTGGCTGCTTGTTCCCTTTCCGTATTTTTGTAGAGACAGCCACAGCCTCCTTGTGCTGAGAAAGAAGTGCCTAAGCAGCGGCAGCCTGGCCAGCACTGGGAGACTGTGGTTACTGGCACTGGTTCTGTCACACAACCCTCTAAGGCGGGCGCAGAAGCCAGAATCCTGGGCCCTGGGGCTTGTTTCTAAAGTGCTAATGCCTCTTCCTTGAACACATAGCCAACAGTCATGCTAGACCAATGCTGGAAGGGAACATGGAAAATGTTAAAATTTGTAGATATCAGATTAACTTTTCCTTTTTATTTTGGTCTCCATGCTATTTAAAAAGTAAGCTCAGAAAATCAACCAAGCTAAGGGAGGTGGTGCATGCCTACAGTCCCACTACTCGGGAGGCAGAGGCAGAAGGATTGCTTGAGCCCAGGAATTCAAGACTAGCCTGAGCAATATAGCCTGTGAAGAAGAGGAAGAAAAGAAGAAGAAAGGAAAAAGAAGGAGGAGAAGGAGGGAGGAGGGGGAGGAGGAGAAGGAGGGAGGAGGGGGAGGAGGAAAAGAAAAAGAAGGAAAGGGGAAGAAGAAAGGAAGCAGAAAGAAGAAAGAAAAAGAAGAAGAGAAGGAGGAGGTTGGGAGAAAGGGAGAGAGAGAGAAAGAAAGAAAATCAGTCAATCCATTAACAATTCCCTTTTCAAAAGAAGGACCAATGAAAACATGGACTATTGTGAATGAAAGTGCTTTTAGCTGCTCTCTTTTTTTATTTTTATTTTTTGATACGGAGTTTTGCTCTTGTTGCCCAGGCTAGAGTGCAATGGTGCAATCTCGGCTCACCACAACCTCCGCCTCCCCGGGTTCAAGCGATTCTCCTGCCTCAGCCTCCTGAGTAGCTGGGATTACAGGCATGTGCCACCACGCCCGGCTAATTTTGTATTTTTAGTAGAGATGGGGTTTCTCCATGTTGGCCAGGCTGTTCTCGAACTCCTGACCTCAGGTGATCCACCCACCTCGGCCTCCCAAAGTGCTGGGATTACAGGCGTGAGCCACCGCACCCAGCCTTAGCTGCTCTCTTAAAATAAATCAGTGATGTCTATGGGGATGTTGCTGATAGGCAGTTTATGAAGTCAGAACAGCATCTAGGTACTTCCTGGGAAACAAGGTAACAATGTGAGAGTGAGATCACCTTCAAAAGCAGGATCAGCCTGAACAGGTATATTTTATATTGATGTTCAATACCTTCAACAATGTTCTGTTCAGACTTTGTTTCTCTCCATTAACAGTCCTGCCTGTCAGGTAATAAGTTACTATTCCTACCTGATATGGTTTGGCTGTGTCTCCATTCAAATCTCAACTGAAGTATATCTCCCAGAATTTCCACACGTTGTGGGAGGGACCTAGTGGGAGGTAATTGAATCATGGAGACCAGTCTTTGCTGTGCTATTCTCATGATGGTGAATAAGTCTCACAAGATCTGATGGGTTTATCAGGGGTTTCTGCTTTTGCTTCTTCCTCATTTTCTCTTGCTGTTGCCATGTAAGAAGTACTTTTTGCCTCCCCCCATGATTCTGAGGCCTCCCCTGCCATGTGGAACTGTAAGTCCAGTTAAACCTCTTTTTGTTCCCAGTTTTGGGTATGTCTTTATCAGCGGCATGAAAATGAACTAATACAGTAAACTGGTACCAGTAGAGTGGGATGTTGCTGAAAAGATACCCGAAAATGTGGAAGCGACTTTGGAACTGGGTAACAGGCAGAGGTTGGAACACTTTGGATGTGGGAAAGTTTGGAACCTCCTAGAAATTTGTTGAATGGCTTCAACAAAAATGCTGATAGTGATATGAACAATAGGGTCCACGCTGAGGTGGTCTCAGATGGAGATGAGGAACTTGTTGGGAACTGGAGCAAAGGTGACTCTTGTTATGTTTTAGCAAAGAGACTGGTGGCATTTTGCCCCTGCCCTAGAAATTTGTGGAACTTTGAACTTGAAAGAGATGATTTAGGGTATCTGGTGGGAGAAATTTCTAAGCAGCAAAGCATTCAAAATGTCACTTGGGTGCTGTTAAAAGCATTCCACTTTAAAAGGGAAACAGAGCATAAAATTTCAGAAAATTTGCAGCCTGCTGATGCAGCAGAAAAGAAAAGCCCATTTGCTGAGAAGAAATTCAAGCCAGCTGCGGAAATTTGCGTAAGTAGCAAGGAGCCTAATGTTAATCCCCAAGACCATGGGGAAAATGTCTCCAGGCCATGTCAGAGACCTTCACAACAGTCCCTCCCATCACAGGCCCAGAGGCCCAGGAGGAAAAAGTGGTTTCATGGGCTGGGCCCAAGGTCCCCATGCTGTGTGCAGCCTAGGGACTTGGTACACTGTGTCCCAGCTGCTCCAGCCATGGCTGAAAGAGGCCAACATAGAGCTTGGGCTGTGGCTTCAGAGGGTGGAAGCCTCAAGCCTTAGCAGCTTCCACATGGTGTTGCACCTGTGGGTGCACAGAAGTCGAGAAGTGAGGTTTGGGAACCCCCGCCTAGATTTCAGAAGATGTATGGAAATGCCTGGATGTCCAGGCAAAAGTTTGCTGCAGGGACGGGGCCCTCATGGAGAACCTCTGCTAGGGCAGTGCAGAAGGGAAATGTGGGGTGGGAGCCCCCACACAGGGTCCCTACTGGGGCACTGCCTAGTGGAGCTGTGAGAAAAGGGCCACTGTCCTCCAGACCCCAGAATGGTAGATCCATTGACAGCTTGCACCATGAGCCTGGAAAGTCGCACTCAATGCCAGCCATGAAAGCAGCTGGGAGGTAGGCCGTACCTGCAAAGCCACAGGGGTGGAGCTACCCAAGACCATGGGAACCTACCTTTTGCATCAGCCTGACCTGGATGTGAGACCTGGAGTCAAAGGAGATCATTTTGGAGCTTTAAAATTTGATGGCCCAGGCCGAGTGCAGTGGCTCACACCAGTAATCCCAGCACTTTCGGAGGCCGAGGTGGGCGGATCACCTGGGGTCAGGAGTTCGAGACCAGCCTGGCCAACATGGCGAAACCCTGTCTCTACTAAAAATACAAAAATTAGCTGGGCGTGGTGGTGGGTGCCTGTAGTCCCAGCTACTCAGGAGGCTGGGGCGGGAGAATCGCTTGAACCCAGGAGGTGGAAATTACAGTGAGCCGAGATCATGCCATTGCACTCCAGCCTGGGTGACAGGGCAAGACTCCATCTCAAAAAAAAAAAAAAAAAAAGTCAAAAGCAAGCTAGTTACTTCCTAGATACAATGATGGCGGTACAGGTATTGGGTAAGTACAGCCATTCCAAATGGGAGAAATTGGCCAAAACAAAGGCGTTACAGGGCCCATACAAGTCTGAAATCTAGTAGGGCAGTCAATTTGTTTTTTTTTTTTTTTGAGATGGAGTCTCGCTCTGTTGCCCAGGCTGGAGTGCAGTGATGTGATCTCAGCTCACTACAACCTCCACCTCCCAGGTTCAAGTGATTTTCCTGCCTCAGCTTCCAGAGTAGCTGGGACTATGGGCGCCCACCACGCCTGGCTGATTTTTGTATTTTTAGTAGAGACAGGGTTTCGCCATGTTGGCCAGGCTGGTCTCGAACTCCTGACCTCAGGTGATCCACCCACCTTGGCCTCCCAAACTGCTGGGATTACAGGTGTGAGTCACCATGCTTGGCTGCTTGCTTTTGATTTTACAGGCTCATAGGCGGAAGGGACTGCCTTGTCTCAGATGAGACTTTGGACTAGACTTTTGGGTTAATGCTGAAATTAATTAAGACTTTGGGGAACTGTTGGGAAGGCATAATTGACTTTGAAATGTGAGGACATAAGATTTGGAGGTGCCAGGGGTGGAATGATATGGTTTATCTGTGTCCCCGTTCACCTCTCAACTGAATCGTGTCTCCCAGAATTTTGATGTGTTGTGGGAAGGACCTAAGGGGAGGTAATTGAATCATGGAGGCTGGTCTTTCCCATGCTATTCTCATGATAGTGAATAAGTCTCACAAGATCTGATGGGTTTATCAGGGGTTTCTGCTTTTGCTTCTTCCTCATTTTCTCTTGTTGCCACCATGTAAGTGCCCTTTCACCTCTCGCCATGATTCTGAGGCCTCCCCAGCCATATGGAACTGTAAGTGCAATTAAACCTCTTTTTGTTCCCAGTTTCGAGTATGTCTTTATCAGCAGCGTGAAAATGAACTAATATACTACCTCAGATGTCCTGGGCTTGTAGGATAGGTAGGTGGAAAATGCAGCCCAAACTGGTATGTTCCTCAATTCCAGGTACCCCAGAAACTATGCCCAGAGAGGAGACAGTGGCACAGAACAAGCCAATGGAGGAATCGTGGACTGCTTTCCCTATTCTGGGCAGAGTTGGGTGTACCTCATGGGCAGGCCAGACTCTGCTGTACTCTGAAACCCCTGGGCAGAGGGGTTCCCAAGGCCTCTAAGAGTAGGCCCGGATTTTTCTTCAAGCACAATCAATACTTTTCTAGTAACAGGCTCTGTTAACATAAACTTTTCCAATCCCACAGGCCTGGCTCCCCATCTTGGCCCTGCAACTTCTGAAGGGCTTTGGGTCTTTTTGTAAAAGGAGGTAAACAGAATCATTGGGCTGTTGTGAGAACTAGAGGTAATGGCATATAAGTCACATAACAAGCATTTAATAAATTACACCTTATTGGTCTTGTAAAAGATATCCAGATTCTTCAAGTTTTTAAGAAAATATCCTTCATTCAATAATGTCTTTGAGCTGCTCCCCAACCAGGGTTTCCTGGTTCTAGCCCAGCAACTCAGGATTGTTTCTCAGAAGAAATAAAGACTGAGAAATCAGCTAGCTGTTTCTCGTCTCTGGGAATTTCCACTCTGGAGCCTTTTACCTTTACCCCCAATTCATTATTTCAACAATCATTTATTGCAAACTCTCTGTTCAAAACACTGCTGCAGCAGCTGGGGTTGGTGGTTCATGTCTATAATCCCAGCAACTTGGGAGGCTGAAGCAGGAGGATTGCTTGAGACCAGAAGTTTGAGGCTGCAGTGAGTTATGATCATGCCACTGCACTCCAGCCTGGGTGACAGAATGAAACTCTGTCTTAAAAAAAAAGACAAAAAACAAACAAACAACACTGCTGTAGAAGAAAATATAAATATGAAGTCTTTGTCTTCAGGAAGCTTTCAGTAAAGGGTAGCAAACAAGAAAGCAGTGCTCACTAGGTAGAATCCTTGTATCATAATTCGCTTGGTAATCAGCCTTTATCACTTTGCAGACTGGTTAACCTCATCAGTAGGTTGTTCCCTACTGTCTCTTAACTACTTTCTCTCACATATTTGCTTAGCACCTAAAAACTGCATCTATCCTACAAACCCCAAAGATGAAACAGTCCTTCTTTACATTAACATAAAGATGCAGAAAGAAATTACACAATAGGACCTAGATGTCCCTATCTTAAGTCCATTTTGGCTGCTGTAACAAAATGCTGTAACAAAATACTTGAAAAGGCCAGGTGTGGTGGCTCACGCCTGTAATCCCAGCACTTTGAGAGGCCAAGGTGGGTGCATCGCCTGAGGTCAGGAGTTCGAGACCAGCCTGGCCAACATGGCAAAACCCCATCTCTATTAAAAATATAAAAATAAGCTGGGTGTGGTGGCGTGCGCCTGTAGTCCCAGCTACTCAGGAGGCTGAGGCAGAAGAATTGCTTGAACCTGGGAGGCGGAGGTTGCAGTGAGCCAAGATCATGCCAGTGCACTCCAGCTTGGGCGACAGAGTGAGACTCTGTCTCAAACAACAACAACAACGATAAAAATACTCAAAAAAGAAGAAGAAGAAAGGAAGAGGAAGAAGAAGAAGAAAGAAGCAAGAAGGAGGAAGGAGGAGGAGCAGGAGAAAGGCTAGGTTCAGTTGCTCATGCCTGTAATCCCAGCACTTTGGAAGGCCAAGGTTGGAGAATTGCTTGAGCCCAGGAATTTGAGACCAGCCTGGGCAACATAGTGGGACCCTGTGTCTATAAAAAAATTTTAAAATATTAGCCGGGTGTGGTGGCATGTAGCCATAGTCCCAGCTCCTTTAGAGGCTGAGGTAGCAGGATCGCTTGAGCCCAGGACATGGATCATGGCTGCAGTGAGCTGTGATCATGCCACTGCACTCCAGCCTGGAATAAAACCCTGTCTCAAAAAAAAAAAAAAAAAAAAACAACAAAAATACAACAACTTAGACTGGGTAATTTATAAACAGTAGAATTGTATTGCTCACAGTTCTGGAGGCTGGGATATCCAAGATCAAGGCTCCAGCAGAGTCACAGTCTGCTAAGGGCTTGTTCTCTGCTTCAAACATGGTGCCTTCTCAGAGCATCCACACATGGCAGAAGGATCAAACAGGCTCCCTCAAGCCTCTTTCACAAGGGCACCAATTTCCCCCACAAAGGATCCATCCTGTTAATATGAATGTGTTGGGTCTTAGGTTTCAACATATGAATTTTGGGGAGATACCAGCATCCAAACCATAGCAGCCCCCAAATATGCTGGGCCCTCAAAACCCTCCAAAATCCCTTCACTTATCTCTATTCTATGACTGGGCCTACTCTCCACAGGGACCATTCACTGCTCCTCACATGGCCCACTCAACAACTTTTCTCGCTCTCTGTAGGCAACACTGTCTCCTCCTTAAATTGAAAATCAAGGCCACCTAAGACACTACCCAGGCCTGCTCTTCATTCATTCATTCATTTAATAAATATTTACCAGAGCTAACATGGGCCTGCACGGTACAGATGTGAGACATACAAGAATGAGAGCCAAGCGGCCATGGTCTCTGCCTTCATGGATCTCAGTCTACTGTTAAGTTACACATTAAGCAAAAATTACACAAATTATTGCACACCCTGAAAGGGGCTAGGAAGAAGAATCCCTGGTGCTGCAATTTTTGTGTTTTTTTTGTTTTTGTTTTTGAGACGAAGTATCACTCTGTGGCTCAGGCTGCAGTACAGTGAGGCGATCTCAGTTCGCTGCAACTGCCACCTCCCAAGGTCAAGTGATTCTCCTGCCTCAGCCTCCTGAGTAGCTGGGATTACAGACGCATGCCACCACGCCCGGCTAATTTTTGTATTTTTAGTAGAGCTAGGGTTTCACCACGTTGGCCAGGCTGGTCTCAAACTTCTGACCTCAGGCAATCCGCACCTGGCCTCCCAGAGTGCTGGGATTACAGGTGTAAGCCACTGTGCCCGGCTGTTTTTTTTTTTTTTTTTTTTTGAGACAGAGTCTTGCTCTTCGCCCAGGCTGGAGTGCAGTGGCTCAATCTCAGCTCACTCCAACCTCCACCTCCCAGGTTGAAGCGATTCTCCTGCCTCAGCCTCCCAAGTAGTTGGGACTACAGGCATGCACCACCACGCCCCTCTAAGTTTTATATTTTCAGTAGTGACGGGGTTTTGCCATGCCTGCCTCAGCATCCCAAAGTGCTGGGATTACAGGCGTGAGCCACTGAGCCCGGCTGTTTCTTTTTGTGTGTGTTTTTTTTAATGAAACAGGGTCTCGCTCTGTTGCCCAGGCTGGAGTGTAGTGGTGCAATCACAGCTCTCTGCAGCCTCTACCTCCCTTCAGGGCCCAAGCAATTCTCCCACCTCAGCGTCCCAAGTAGCTAGGATTACAGGCCTGAGCCGCTAATTATTTTCTTTTCTTCTTTCTCATTCTCTCTCTCTCTTTTTTTTTTTTTTTACCATGTTGCCCAGGCTGGTCTTGAACTCCTGGACTCAAGAGATCCGCCACTCTGCCTCCCAAAATGCCGTGATTACAGGTATGAGCCACCACACCCAGCAATGCTGCAAGTCTTATGGGCCAGGATAGTGTAATCTAAGAAATGATATATGAAGAACTCTCACAATAGGGAAGAGGTGAGGAGTGTCCAGGCAGAGAGAAGAGCATTTGCAGAGGCCCTGGGCGAGAAGAAACCTGCATCCTTTAAGGACCTAAATGAAGCCAAGCAGGCAGAGGCTAGATCACACATGGGGGCTTCATGCCCACCTTAAGTAGTTTGGGTCTTTAAAAAAGGAATGAGACTCATAAAGAGGTTTTAAGGAGCGAATGCTATTGCTGCCATGAACAGATATTCCTTCCCCATAGCTGCAGAGCAGGCACAGGGCTGTTTTTGCCCGCCAGTATGTCCCCACCGTCTAGCCCAGAGCGGGGCCAGCGGCCGGCTCCTACCCACACTTGCTGGCAGGAAGACTGGACGCACTGCGGGACATGGTGATGTCCTGGGTTGGGGCTGAGGAAGGCCTATGCGCGGAGGGTGCGGCCTTCGGCTAAGGCAGAGGACCAGGGTTGGGTCCGTGGCGGCGGGAGGGGTGGCCTCCTGCGCTGGTCGCCCCAGGGGACCTGAGAGGCGCGACAAACAGTCGGCGCGTTTGGTACTCGCGCCTGCAGAGCTTTCAACCTCCGCGCCGGCTGCGCCTGTTTCTCGGCCAGGGGAGCAAGGCCACGCGGCCTACGCAGCCGAGTCGGAACCAACCGGTTGTTTGGTGAAACCTACCCCAGAGCCTCCCGCGGCCCACAGAGCACAGGTGAGGCAGCAGACCGGGTGGGGTCGGTGTCGCGCCTGCGCCCGCCCGGACGCCTCGGGCCCGCCCGCTCCGCACCCTGGAAACCCCTGCACTCAGCCCCCCGGCGTCCCCACGCTCTCGGCCCTGCTGCGCCGGCGGCGGCCATCTCTGGGCGGCGGCGGCGGGCGGTGTTTGCGCGGTCGGTGAGACCCGCGCGGGTGAGACGCTGGGTGAGTTCCGGACGCTTCCAGCCGGCCCGCCGGTGATCCCAGACCTCGGGGCGGGACGCGGCTCCCGCTCACCGCCGGCAAAGGTGGAGGTGCGGCGGGGCGCGGGGCGCGGGGCCAGCCCGGGGCGGTGCGGGGGCGTCCCTGCCTAGCGAGGCCCTGCCCCGCGACCTGCCGCACCCTCCTCCGGCCTGTTCGCGACCTCTAAAGATAATACTTCTCACTGTCGAAAACGTGGAACAGAAAGCAAGGAAGCAAGCAAAGCAGCCGTGCCGCTGCTCCCCAGAGACAAGCTGCGTTAACATGAGGGTGTATATTCTTCCAGATGGTTTTTCCTTGTAACATGAGCGGGGCTTGTTTTTGCAGAACCTGCATCATAAAGTGCTGAAACTCTCTCTCTCTCTCTCTCTCTCTCTCTCTCTCTCTCTCTCTCGACTCTCTCTCTCTCGACTCTCTCTCTCTCTCTCTCGACTCTCTCTCTCTCTCTCTCTCTCTCTCGACTGTACATTCCTGTGTGTCAGGTTGACTACCTCATCCATCCCTGACTCTTGGCATGGCTTTGGACTGTGATTTACTAAATGTAGTTTCTCCCTGATGGTGAGCGTACAAGTGGTTTTCAGTTTTTAGTTATTGCAAAAAGTAATTCATTGAGCATCGTTGTATCTGGGTTTTTGAGCGTGATCATTTCTGTAGAAAGAATCGCACAAGATTCGTTCTAAAACAAGATAGAATCCACGGTCTATACCACAAGGCTTCTGGTATAGATTGTGAAATGGCCCTCAGAAAAGTTATTCTCCTTTTTGTACCTCCAGTAAGTAGCATTTGGGAATACTTGGCTCGAGGAGCTTCCTGAGTGATTTTACTGGAGACCCCCCTCACTTCATAAGGGGCCGGCCCGGAGATGAAGATGTCAACACTTGAGTGTGACTTGCATTATTGGCTGGCCCTACCTGGGGGCCTTTGCTGAAAAGGGAACCATGAGCATCTTAGTAACTACTATCATCTAGTAATTTTTAAACTGACTTCGGTTTATCTTGAACGAACCATTTCAGTCCCCAGTAAGAATAAACCTAAGTTAAGGCAAAATTCAGGTGGATTAGATGAACAGTGGCAACGTGTTGGTGTTTAAGTCATGCTCTGAAACTTAGGTGTTGGGTTGCTAGGGAAGGGATTTTAAAAGATTGATGGGTACGTATGAGATACGCAAAAAGCTTTCTTTAAAGACATGTAAAAAGTTTCAAGTGCTTGGTATCATCTCCATCAGTGAAAGTAAGTGGAATATGGTTTTTCATCTTTTTAAATTTACATTTTAATAAAATATTTGCAAAAATAGAGGGTTTTTTGTATTTATCATTTTCCAGTTTGGTCATAGAATCTTGAAAATTAAGTACATGCATAAGAGTTTAAAAACAACAGTGGATTAATTTCTTGCTCCCAAGTTTCATTTTTTTATTTTTCAGACAGAATCTCCCTCTGTCACCCAGGCTGGAGTGCAGTGGCATGATCTCGGCTCACTGCAACCTCCACCTCCCGGGTTCAAGCGATTCTTGTGCCTCAGCCTCCGGAGTAGCTGGGATTTACAGACGTGCGCTACCATGCCCGGCAAATTTTTCTATTTTTGCAAAGACAGGATTTCACCGTTTTGTCCAGGCTGGTCTTGAACTATTGACCTCAAGTGATCCGACCGCCTTGACCTCCCAAAGTGCTGGGATTACGGGGTGTGAGCCATCGCGCCTGGCCACTTTCTCCAAAGTTTTAAACCAAAGCCTTCTTCGGCAGAGCTACGACCCTTCCTCTATGGCCCATTCTATCCTATGCTGCTTCCCTTTATAAGGACACTCCCACTGTTGTGCTATAATCATCTCTTGGTATCTCCGGACTCTGCCACTCTGAGGTTAGTGCCCTGCCCAGAGCCTGGTACATAAGTACCCAATAACTATTGGTATGCTGGATGAACTTAGAATATGACATGTGTTTATTAAATTGAATTTGTAACTTAGAGATCTATGTGACAGATATTTCTGAGTGAAGTGGAAATTGGGGACAAGGACAGATGTTATCATCTTTTGGTTACAGGTGCAGTTGCATCCCAAGAAACACTACAGCCAGGACACCTGCATTTTTTTTTCTTTTTTTGTTTTTTTTTTTAACAACGTTACTGAAATATAACTCACATACCATAAAATTCACCCATTTAAAGTATACAATTCTTTCTAATATAATTAACTTTTTGAAGTGGTAAAATATATACAACATAGATTTGCCATTTTAACAATTTTTTAGTGTACAATTCAGGGGCATTAAGTACATTCACAATAGTGTGCGATCATTGTCACTATCTATTTGCCAAACTTTTCAATACCTTAAACAGAAACACAGTAACCATTAAGCAATAACTCTGTGCTATGGTTTGGATATTTGTACTTACCAAATCTCATGTTGAAATTTGATCCCCAGTGTGGCAGTATTGGGAAGTGGGGCCTAATGGGAGGTGTTTGGGTCATGGGGGCTGATCCCCAGTGAATACATTAATGCCCTCCCTTGGAGGTGAATGGGTTTTTGCTCTATCAGTTCTCACTAGAGCTGTTTGATAAAAAGAGCTTGTACCTCCCCGCTGTCTCTCCTGCTTTCTCTCTGGTCACATGCTCTCTACACAGCCAGCTCTCCTTTGCCTTCTGCCATGAGTAGAAGCAACTTGAGGCCCTCACCAAATGCAGATGCCCAATCTTGAGCTTCTCCAGACATCAGAATCATGAGCTAAATAAACCTTTTTTCTTTATAAATTATGCAACCTCGGGTATTCCTTTGTAGCAGCATGAAAGAGACTGAGACTTCTCATTGTTCCCTTCCCCCATTCCCAGGGAACATCTAATCTGCTTTCTGCCTCTACGAATGTCCCTTTTCTGGGTATTTTATATAAGTGGAATCATATTTGTCATTTTTTGTCTGGCTATTTTTTTTTTTTTTTTTTTTTTGAGACGGAGTCTCGCTCTGTCACCCAGGCTGGAGTGCAGTGGTGCGATCTCAGCTCACTGCAAGCTCCGCCTCCCGGGTTCACGCCATTCTCCTGCCTCGGCCTCTTGAGTAGCTGGGACTACAGGCGCCCGCCACCACGCCTGGCTAATTTTTTTGTAGTTTTAGTAGAGACGGGGTTTCACCGTGTTAGCCAGGATGGTCTCGAACTCCTGACCTCGTGATCCGCCCGCCTCGGCCTCCCAAAGTGCTGGGATTACAGGCGTGAGTCACCGCGCCCGGCCTTGTCTGGCTATTTCACTTAGCATAAAGTTTTCATAGTTCATCCATGTTATAGCATATGTCAGAATATCACTCCTTATTTTGGCTGAATGAAAAGGAATATCCTTTGTATATATATGCATTTTATCACTTCTCAGCCTTTTGGCCGAGATCAAGTGTATGTACCGCGTTTTGTTTATTCTTATGTTGATGGACAACTTGGGTTGTTTTCATCTTTTGGCTATTGGAAAATGCTACAATGAACAATAGTATACAGGTGTCTGAGTGGCTGATTTCAAAACTTTTTGAGTGCATTCCTAGCAGCAGAATTGCTAGGTCATATAGTAATTCTCTGTTTAGGTTTTGAGGAACTGTCATATCATTTTGTATGACAACTTCACCATTTTACAGTCCCACTAGCAATGTACAAGGATTCCAGTTTTTCCACATCCTTGCCAACACTGATTATTTTCTGTTTATTTTTAGTATAGCCATCCTAGTAGATGTGAAGTTGTATTTCATTGTTGTTTTGATTTGCATTTCTGTCGTGATTAATGTTGTTTAGCATCTTTTCATGTGCTTATTGACCATTTGTATGTCTTCTTTAGAATAATGTCTGTGGAAGTCCTTTGCCTTTTTTTTTTTTTTTTCCTGGAAACAGGCTTTTGCTCTTGTTGCCCAGGCTGGAGTGCAATGGCATGATCTTGGTTTACTGCAGCCTCCGCCTCCTGGGTTCAAGCGATTCTCCTGCCTCAGCCTCCCGAGTAGCTAGCTGGGATTACAGGTGCCTGCCACCACACTCGGCTAATTTTTTGTATTTTTAGTAGAAATGGGGTTTCACCATGTTGGCCAGGCTGGTCTCGGACTCCTGACCTCAGGTGATCCACCCGCCTCAGCCTCCCAAATTGCTGGGATTACAGGTGTGAGCCACTGCGCCCGGCCCCTTTCCCATTTTTAAATTGGGTTGTCTTTTGTGTTTATGAGCAGTAGAGTTCTTTATATATTCAGAATATGAAACCTCTATCAGATATATGATTTCCAAATATTTTCTCTCATCCTTGTCCTTTCACTTTCTAGATAATGTCCTTTGATGCACAAAAATTTTAGTTTGTTTTTGTTTTTTTGAGACAGGGTCTATTCTGTTGCCAAGGGTGGAGTGCAGTGGTGCAATCACAGCTCACCTGCAGCCTTGACCTCTCAGGCTTAAGTGATCCTCCCACTTCAGCCTCCCATGTAGCTGGGACTACAGGCATGCACCACCATGCCTGGCTAGTTTTTAAATTTTTTTGTAGAGATGGGGTCTCCCTATGTTGCCCAGGCTGGTCTTGAACTCCTGGGCTCAAGCAATCCTCCCACCTTGGCCTCCCAAATTGCTGGGAATGCGGGTGTGAGCCACCACACCCAGTCAGTTTTAACTTTTGATGAAGTTCAATTTATCTATTTTTTTCTTTTGCTGCTATCCTTTTGGTGTCCTATCTAAGAATCCATTGCCAAATCCAAGATCATGAGGATTTACCTCTATGTTTTCTTCTAAGAGTTTTGTGGTTTTAGCTCTTACATTTAGATCATTGAGATAACTTTTGTATATGGTGTGAGATAGGTGAGGTTCAACTTAATTCTCTTGTGTATGAAAATCTAGTTTTCCCCATAACATCTGTTGAAGAGACTATTCTTTCCCCACCAGTTAGAGTTGGCACCCTTGTCAAAAATCATTTGGCCACAGATATGTGGATTTATTTCTGAACTCTCAAATTCTTTAAGGACAGAAACATTTTCTTCAGGCTGGGCATGGTGGCTTATGCCTGTAATCCCAGCACTTTGGGTGGCCGAGGTGGGAGGATCACTTGAGTTCAGGAGTTTGAGACCAGCTGGGGCAACATGGTGAAACCTCATCTTCACAAAAAATTACAAAATTAGCTGGGTGTTGTGGCACATGCCTATGGTCCCAGCTACTAAGGAGGCTGAGGTGGGAGGATTGTTTGAGCCCAGGAGGTCGAGGCTGCAGTGAATTGAGATCGCACCACTGCACTCCAGCCTGGATGACTAGAGTGAGACCCTATCTCAAAAAACAAAAAAAAAGAAGGATTTTCTTCAAATTTCTGACAGCGTCTAGTACAGTATCTCTTGATAGCAGGTTCAAATGTTGAATGGAAAAACTGAAGCCTGGACATTTATCATAAGAAAACTTTTGTTGTGAAGGTACATCTCCCCTTGAGAAAACAAATAGAGCATAGCTGCTGCAAATCATACAAAACCATAGAAAAATTTAAAAGACATGTACGACCAGGTGCGGTGACTCATGCCTGTAATCTCAGCACCTTGGGAGGCCAAGTCAGGTGGATTACTTGAGCCCACAAATTCAAGACCAGCCTAGGTAACATGGTGAAACCTCATATCTACCATAAATACAAAAATGAGCCGGGTGTGGTGGTGTGTACCTGTAGTCCCAGCTACTTTGGAGGCTAAGGTGGGAGGATCCTTTGGGCCCAGGAGGTTGAGGCTGCAGTGAGCATTGAATATACCATTGCACTCCAGCCTGGGCAGCAGAACAAGACCCTGTCTCAAAACAAAAACAAAAACATGTACAGATGCTTCTTGACTTGTGATGGGGTTATATCCCAATAAACCCATTGCAAGTTGAAAATATTATAAGTTGAAAATGGATTTAGTACACCTAACCTATCAAACATCATGTCTTAGCCTTGCCTACCTTAAGTGTCCTCAGAATACTTACCTTAGCCCACATTTGGGCAAAATCATCTAACACAAAGCCTATGTTACAATGAAGTCTTGGCTGTCTCCTGTAATTTTTTGTACTGTAGTGAAAGTGAATGGTTGTATGGGTACTCAAAGTATGGTTCCTACCAAACACGTATCTCTTTTGCACCATCTTAAAGTCGGAAAATCATTAAGTCAAACCATTATAAGCCGGGGACCATCTGTATTTGACTTTGGAGTGCTTTCAGAACATTTGGTGGGCATTTAACTATTTGTTGAGTTAATGGATTACATTTGCTCATTCTGATATTACTTTGTATAGACCATCCAGAGAATCACCAGTTACGAAGAAGTAAGTTGACTTTTGTGTGAGGATATTCTCAAAATGAAAAATCAGCTGATGGGCCAAAGTATCTTAAAGTCTGTTTTAAGTAAACATTGATCTCTGTGCTTTAGTGCCTTTTAGAATAATTATTCATGTTTACTTCCTTTCAGACCTCTAACCTAAATCTCTATTTTATTTCATGTTTCCCTAAAGACTCACTAGTGGGCATATTTTTACGTGCATTTGATGAGTTGACTAGTGGTTTTTAATGATTTTCCCTGATATGAATGGCCAAAAAACAGATGTCAGTCTGTTAACCTGTTGCATTTGTGGCTATTAAGAGTGTTTTCTATGTGTGCTCTCCTGCTTTTGAGCCAGAAGAGCAATTTCAATTAAATTTTAAAGTGGTGAAATTGGAATGGAATGTGTAAACTGACAGAGGTCATAAGACTAGTGAAACTGCTGGGATAGGTGATAGAGAAGCCCAAAAGCAGGAGGCAGAGTTGATTTTGGACATTTTTCTTAAACATTAGATGGGATTTGTTGATGGGAATTATTGTTTGTGGTAAGATCATTTGAAAAGTTTTCTTTGCTCTGTGTGCATTATTGGCACCCTCTACAGCTTTGTTAGAAAGTTGGATAGGTAATAAGAACCCAGGACTGGCAGTGGAGATGGCACTTGGAGGGATATGTGTTACTGATTTCCCCGTAATGAAGGAGAGAGGCTAGACCAGGTGATTTTATTGTTTTTTGTTTTCCAGTGCTGAAAATTGTATGACTCTCTCATATTTTGGTTAAGGCTGTTGTTATAAGATACTGGTCACTTTAATCCTTGCATAGAAAGCAGTTTTTAAAGTTAATCTCTGCCTTTTAAAATGGTACAAAATTTGAAGTATTTCAGCCTTTTATAAGCTGAATATACTTTTAATGTTCCAAAGAATAATTTCGTTTGTTTTGTTGTTGTTGTTTTTTGCTTTTGGAACAGGGTCTTGCTCTGTTGGCCAGGTTAGAGTGCAGTGGCATGGTCATGGCTCACTGCAGTCTCAAACCCCTAGAATCGAGCGATCCTCCCTCCTCCCATGTAGCTGGGACTATAGGCACGTGCCACCACACCCAGCTAATTTTTTTTGGTGTTACTCTGTTGACCAGGCTGGTCTCGAGTTCCTGGCTTCAAATGATTCTCCTGTCTCAGCCTCTCAAAGTGCGGGGATTACAGGGATGAGCCACCATGCACACTCCAAGGAGTAATTATAACAGTATTTTATAATTATTAACCATTTATAAAAAGATTTTTTTAGTGTTTTGCTTAAAATAATGGATAGCATGAACAAGAAAATTGAAATATTACTTTGTATTAAAACAACATTTTATTTAATCAGAGAAAAACTGGCAAAGAGAGTAACAAATTTTATATTGATTTGTTACTTGGTTTAAGAAGAAACATCAATTTTGATATATAGTTATATAAGTAGAATTAGAATGCTTCAAATTTGCCAGATAATTGCTTCAGTACTTACTCTTATCTTTGTTTATAATCCTCTCCTGTCATGTACACTTTTAATTATTGGAGAATTAAAAATTGCTATTTTTTAAGTAGTCCTTAAATAATTGTTGAATGCCTGAATGATTGTTCATAGTTTAGAGAAGAAAAAATGTTTTAATGTGATCATGATTTCTAATCTTTCTTATAATTGGTGGTATTGCCTTTTATACTTCTCCATGAAAAGGTATTATAATTAAGATGTTGTATCTTAGTGTGATTTAGTAGTATTTGGAATTCCTTATAATAGAAAACAGAGCAATTGTTTTAGGTTTGAATACCTACATTACTGAACTTTCTAGAGTCTCTGAAAATTGAAGAGCAAAACTTGAATAGCACCCCTAAATACATTCTGATTTACAAAGGATGCCTTATCAAAGTTTATATTATGCTGTTTGGCTTATTTTTTATATTATATGTATGTATAATATGTATATATTATATATAATATGTATATATAATAAATATAATATGTATATAAATATATATATAGTATTTATATGTACTCCAGACTGGGCAACAGAGTGAGACCCTGTCTCAAAACAGATATGTATATCTATATATATCTCTCTCTATCTACCTATCTACCTATCTGTCTATCTATATCTGTCACCCAGGCTGGAGTACATGTAATTATACTATCTTATACTATCTGTCTATCTATAATAGATCTATATATCATATCTATATATATAATATATATATATATGTTTTGAGACAGGGTCTCACTCTGTCACCCAGGCTGGAGTACATATAATTACATTGTGTATATACGTGTGTGTGTATATATATATGTATGTATATAGTATCTACTATATATAATATATAATATATATTATTATTTTGGACATAGATACTATTTATATATAGTATATATCTATATATTATCTATCTATATTATCTAATTAGATATCTAATTAGATCATATAGATATAGATACTATATATACTATATTATATATAGTATATTTAGTATATATAGTGTATATAGTAACTATATATTATATATAGTATATATATAGATACCTGTTTTGAGACAGGGTCTCACTCTGTCATCCAGGCTGGAGTGCGGTGGCATGATCACTGCAGCCACTCACTGCAGCTTCTAACTCCTAGGCTCAAGCGATCCTCCCACCTTAGCCTCCCCCAGTAGCTGGGACTACAGGTGCATGCCACCATGCCTGGCTGGCTTATTATATTGCTATGTATTCTTTTTGTTTTTATTGTTGTAGGATACCCTCTGGTTTCATAGGGGATAATCCTTAAGAGTAGAAAAGTTCACAAATTTGTGTGGTGCTAATTTTATAAAAGAGAGATTTATTTTAGGTACAAATATTTATCTAGTTTTTATTCTAAAATCCTTGGCTTTTCTGGCCCGTTGGATTGCTTTTATGAGTGCTAATTTCTTCTTTAATATCTTTTTGGCTGGGTATGTGGTGGCTCATGCCTGTAATCCCAGCACTTTGGGAGGCCGAGGCAGGTGGATCACTTGAGACCAGGAGTTCGAGACCAGCCTGACCAACATGGCAAAACCCCATCTCTACTAAAAATACAAAAAATTAGCCGGATGTGGTGGCATGCAGTTGTAGTCCCAGCTACTCAAGAGGCTGAGACATGAGAATTGCCTGAACCCAGGAGGCAGAAGTTGCAGTGAGCCAAGATCATGCCACTGCACTCCAGCTTGGGGGACAGAGTGAGGCTTTGTCTCAAAAACAAACAAAAAACTTTTTAATAATTTGTGACTTCTGGCTGTTTCCAGACAGAAAGGGTTAGCAGTCTCCCATTTTTAACCAGGAGAGAGCATTCTTGAGCATCTGTAGGAAACAGGCACTAATTAAGGAAAGGGCTAAACTAGGATAGATCTTGGAAGCAAAAAATAGTTGAATTTAGGATACTTTGGCAGGAGTGAAACTGTTAATCCCAAATCTTCAAATGTGAGGGTTTCCTATGCATGTGAATTTATGTGCACTTCTGATTTTAGTACAGCTTAATTAACACTGCAGCCCAGTTACTGTTTAGTTCATTGCATAGTACAGTACTGGGCTCTAGTTCTGGGTTGGATCCTGCCAGTTACATGAGCAAGGCACATAACTTTTGTGGATTCATCATTGGCACTAGTAAATTAAATGGGCTTAAGTAAGGGGATAAATTAAGTTCACTCTTTGAGAGCAGACCAGCATATCCCTGTCTGCTTCTTGCAAACTCATTAGTTCTTTGAAGTTATCTAAACAGATTTTGAAAGTTATGTTCCACCATAGTGTAGCCTTCTAAAATAAAGATTACATTTTAAATTAGTTGCCACTTTAACATTGATGCTCCCAGAAGATACATTGTGTTTATCCTGGAGTTTGATGTATTCCCTGACTCATAGCCTTGGGGCTTCTTACGCTTCAACTTGAAAAGCATAGGACCCAGAGGATCTCTTAGGTCTCTTGCAGCTCTGATATGCTATAACACTTGCAACAAAGGAGAGTTTGTTCTTTAGTTTTGATAAAGTATACCTTTAAGAAATTATAAATCCATAACAGGGAAAAATATGACTGACTGATTTGCATGATGTAACATCTTTCTCTGAGAATTAAAGATTGCAATTCTATTTTATGTAGAAGCTGTTTCATCTGAAACTCCATGTAATTTAATAAATGGATTGCAAAATTAGAAAAACCCTTTGTAGATGTCATCATTGTTGCTTTCAATCTTTCTTTGCTGCAATTCTGCTTTTTTCTTTCCTGGCTGCTAATTGGATTAAAGACTGTTTTTGCCAACCATGGCATCTGGAGATGACAGTCCTATCTTTGAAGATGATGAAAGGTAAATGTCTTATATTGCAGTAAACTAGCCTTTGACATTTTCAAGATTGTTATCATTCAAAAGAGTGATTTATCCAAGATACTCTGTTAAGAATACATTTTGTAAAATTGCAGAATACATGGTTCTGCTTTTGTGTGATTTAAAGCAGGAGTAGTAAATACCTGGCGTGGAGGTAGCCACTAGAAACATGGCATCCATTTCAGTAGAGCCTTGATGTGAGGTCTTCTCATTTCTGTCAGCACAGAGTTCTTGGCAACCACTTCAAAATGATATAAAATCCATTTACCATCTTCAGTTTAGAGCGTACAGAGGAGATTAGGGCGAACAAAGAGGAAGATGTAGTTAAGAGAACAGGCTTTGGAGCCAGAATCCTAGGTTTAAATCCTACCTCTGCCACTTAATGTCATTGTGACCTTAGGTAAACCCTTAGCCTCTCTAAGCCTCATCTGTAAAATAAGGATACTAATAGTAGCCATCTCATGGTGATTCTATGAGTTAATATATTTAAAGCTCTTAGAACAATGACTGATACATAGTTATCACTTAATAGCTGTTAGCTATGATTATTATTACTGTAATAAATGATACTTCTGTCAAAGCTAAAAAGATACACCAATATCAAAATATTAATTAGATATTATGTATTATGTCATTCACATAGGATATATTAACATCAAAAATATATGTTGAAGTATATGCCAGAAATCTCTGACAAACCAAAATCCTTTATTTATTTCTTATTTTTGAGACAGTCTCACTCTTTCACCCGGGCTGGAACGTGGTGGTGCAATCATGGCTCACTGCAGCCTCAACCTCCTGGGCTAAGATGGCTCTCTTACCTCAGCATCCCAAGTAGCTGGGACTCCAGGCATGCGCCATCACGTGTGACTAATATGTTTGTAGAGACAGGGTTTCACCATGTTGTCCAGGCTGGTCTGGAACTCCTGGGCTCAAGTAATCTGCCCACCTCAGTCTCCCAAAGTGCTAGGATTACAGGCATGAGCCCCTGCACCCAGCCCAAAGTCCTTTATTTTTTTAAAATAAGATTTCCTGTAATAATGCCAAGAATATTTTTCATAACATTTAAAAATTATTTTTATCTTTATTATAGGGCATTTCTTCCATGACTTTTTTCTGTCTTAGTATAATAAATTAGAACCTTTTTGTTAAAACAAATCCCTAGTGCGAGTTTAAGTATGGGAGGTTTGGAGAGTTCTTGTTTTAGAGTGATTAGACCTGAAAAAGAGAAATAAAATTAATTACCATGGTTTTTACATGGGAGCTGGTGGGAGAAGAATAAAGACTTTTTACTGACCTTTCCATGCACTATACTGTAGCCTAACCTAGAATACTGACCAGGATAAACTGATGCATTCTTAATCCTATTAATATTAAGGTGGCTTTTTTTTAGAAGTAATCGGACTATGTACCCATATATAGTAGTTGTATCTTAAAGGAAGAGTGAATAAGAGGGAGAAAATAGTTACATGTACTGTGAGTAGAATTTCTTAGGTACTGTCACTTTAATATTTTGACATTTTAGAGGTTTTAATCTAATATTTTCATCTTGGAAGGATTAATTGGTTATTTAATTAGTATTTTGGCCTACTATAATTGCTTTATTTTATTCCTTTAGCCCTCCTTACAGCCTAGAAAAAATGACAGATCTCGTAGCTGTTTGGGATGTTGCTTTAAGTGACGGAGTCCACAAGATCGAATTTGAACATGGGACTACATCAGGCAAACGAGTAGTATATGTAGATGGAAAGGTAGGAAGAAAATATGTTACTTTGTAAAATATGATATATAGAGAAACTTGATTTTGTTAAAGTAGCATCTTCATATGTGAATTCAGGGCTTTTTTTTCTTGTAGTCATGTTTTTGATCTGTATCATTTTGCTGTGTAAAGCAAACATAGTTATAGAATTCATGGAATATAGCGTGTAATATTTAAACTTAAAATGCTTTTATTTTCTAAAACCTTGGCATCATAAATTAATAAAATTACATCTTTTTTTTTTCTTTTTTTTGAGACGGAGTCTCGCTGTGTCACCCAGGCTGGAGTGCAGTGGCGCAGTCTCAGCTCACCACAACCTCCACCTTCTGTGTTTAAGCTATTCTCCTGCCTCAGCCTCTCAAGTAGCTGGGATTACAGGCACCTGCCATTACGCCCTGCTGATTTTTTGTATTTTTAGTAGAGACGGGGTTTCACTGTTGGCCAGGCTGGTCTCAAACTCCTGACCTCATGATCCGCCCGCCTCAGCCTCCCAAAGCGCTGGGATTACAGGCATGAGCCACCACTCCCGGCAATGAAATTATATCTAAATGGCATTGCCTTTGTTCACTTTACGTTATTTCTAAAATTAGATATCAATTTTTCTTCCATTTGTTTCATATTTTTCTGTTTTATTATGTAGGAAGAGATAAGAAAAGAGTGGATGTTCAAATTAGTGGGCAAAGAAACATTCTATGTTGGAGCTGCAAAGACAAAAGCGACCATAAATATAGACGCTATCAGTGGTTTTGCTTATGAATATACTCTGGAAATTAATGGGAAAAGTCTCAAGAAGTATATGGAGGACAGATCAAAAACCACCAATACTTGGGTATTACACATGGATGGTGAGAACTTTAGAATTGTTTTGGGTAAGTTAGTGCTGTTTCCGCAGAACTTTTTTTTTTTTTTTATAATGTCTGTTTAATTCCTGTAACTGTATTCAGACCTTCTATGGAGGTTTGAAAAGAAGAGGGAGTGTAAGTGCAGGTGTATTTCATTTGTTTAGAAACATTAAAAAAATTTTTTGTTTCCTATCTGCTTGGGATTGTCTAGCAGGTGTGTATATTGTCCAGCAGGTGTATTTCTAATGTGTCCTGAGTAAATGAAGCATTCATTTAATCCACCATTTTATATATAAGATATCTTAAGCCAGGTTTTATAGTGATGGATTTGAGGATTATAAATTTAGGTTTTAAAAAAATGTAATATTGCCAGGCGCAGTGACTCATGCTTGTAATCCCAGCACTTTGGTAGGCTGAGGCGGGTGGATCACCTGAGGTCAGGAGTTTGAGACCAGCCTGGCCAACATGGTGAAACCCCGTCCCTACTAAAAATACAAAAATTAGCAGGACATAGTGGCACATGCCTGTAATCCCAGCTACTCGGGAGGCTGAGGCAGGGGAAATCACTTGAATCCAGGAGGCGGAGATTGCAATGAGCCGAGATCGCACCACTGCATTCCAGTCTCAAAAAAAGCAAGACTCCATCTCAAAAAAAAAAAAAAAAGTAATATTGATGTAGATTTTGGTATTATTTGGTATTTCTCTTTATAAATATATCTTAAAGGCAGTTGGAAATTTAGGATTTATCAGTAAGAAAGCAATATTTTCCTAGATAACAATAGGCTTAGGACTGCATCAGATCAAAATTATCAAAGTCTAGGACTTTTTGAAGAGTTTTTTTTGTTTGTTTTTCTAGGCTTTTCTGTTTGGGTTTCTCTTTTCTTATGGGAAGCAGATATATATCTTTTCTTTGCCCATATTCCTATGTCTTTTAGCAGTTTTACTCGTGTTCTCTATTGCTTGGAATTCTTTTCATTCTTTTATGTTTTTGAGACAGAGTCTCACTTTGTCGCCCAGGCTGGAATGCAGTGGTGTGCATGAACATGGCTCACTGCAGCCTTGTCCTCCTGGGCTCAAGTGATCCTCCAGCCTCAGCCTCCCGAGTAGCTGGGACCACAGGTCCATGTCACCATGCCAGGCTAACTTTAAAAAAATTTTTTGTAGAGACAGGGTCTTGCCATGTTGGCCAGGCTAATCTAGAGCTCCTGGGCTCAAGTGATCCTCCTGCCTCAGCCTCCAAAAGTGCTGGGATTACAGGTGTGAGCAGCTGTGCCCACCCTTCTTTTCATTCTTAACAACAATATTCTTGGAAGTCTGTTGCCCTCCTGTTCTAAGTATCCAAGTCTGCTGCTTTGTGGCCACCCTAGGCTTTCTTTCATGGAACCCTTTTGTTCTTCCAGTTATTGAACCCCACAACTCCTGCTTTCATCTTTGTTTACTGGAATATATTCCTTAGGTAATCTCCTGATAAAGGGTGTCTAAGAAATAAACATTACTTTGATCCTCATGCTAAGTTGATAGTTTTGTTCAGTACAGAGTTTTAATTTCAAACTCACTTTCTCTCAGAATTTTTGAAACCCTTATTCCAGTAGCTTCTATTCTCCATTGTTTTAAATGAAAAGTTTTGTGCCAATCTGAATCTCATTTTTTTCTTTCCAGAAGGTTTTGGGAGCTCATCTTATCCCTTATATTTCCAAATTTCATAGTGATATGTTTAGGAATATAGTTACTCAACCTGCAATAAAGTTTTAGAACCACTGGATCTCATTAATAATGGAAATTTTAGTTTTTAAAAGGATTATGATTAGTGTCAACACACTTAAACATATGGGACTTTAACAGATGATGAAACCAGGCCTTTAAATTAATTTTAGGTACTTAATCAGCTGCTTTGCCAACTTGTAATACAATTGATATTAACTTTTCCTAGGTGAAATGGAAGAGACTGCCTGAGCTATGCCTAGCATACAGTTAGTTCTCTTTTAAATGTCCAGGGGCCTGCTTATCTACTTGTGAATTATCTCGGGTCTTTAAAAAATATATTTTTCTGCTTTTACTCCTTGTCTGCCTTTACTCTTCTTTATCCATTTGCAATCCCTCATGAGCCTGGAAATGAGACAGAGTTCAGCCCCAACTTGTCCCTTTTGCTGTTTGGAAGGGATAAGGGACCAGAGTTGTTTACTGAGGTAAAGGCAAAATTGCATATGTTATTGATATTGCTTGCACTTCTGCTTCCAAGATCCATCAAACTTTGGACTATGCTGACTACAGCCTACATTTTACAGATTAGTTATGAAGAATGCAGGCTCCAGGATCAGAGCTGTGTGATGGGCAAATTACTTAACCTCTGAACCTTGGTTTCCTCATCTGTAAAATGGGGATAATGTAACTCCCTCACAGAGTTGTGATATGAGTGAAGTTTAATTGATTTAGTACATGTAAAGTACTTAACAGTGTTTCTCACATTGTGAATTCTTTAAAAATATTATTTGTCAGCCAGGTGCAGTGGCTCACACCTGTAATCCCAGCACTTTGGGAGGCTGAAGTGGGAGGATCGCTTGAGCCCAGGAGTTCAAGACCAGCCTGGGCAACATAGGGAGACCTCATCTCTTCAAAATATTTAAAAATTAGCTAAGTGTAGTGGCACATGCCTGTAGTCCCAACTACTTGGGAGGCTGAGGCGAGAGGATCACTTGAGCCTAGGGGTTCAAGGTTGCAGTGAGCTAAATTGCACCACTGCATTCCAGCATGGATGACAGAGTGAGACCCTGCCTCAAAATTTTAATAATTTGGCTGGGCATGGTAGCTCACACCTGTAATCCCAGCACTGTGGGAGGCCAAGGCAGGTGGATCACTTGAGGTCAGGAGTTCGAGACCAGCCTGACCAACATGGTGAAACCCCATCTCTACTAAAAATACAAAAATTAGCTGGGCGTGGTGGTGGGCACCTGTAATCCCAGCTACTCGGGAGGCTGAGGCAGGAGAATTGCTTGAGCCTGGGAGGCGGAGGTTGCAGTGAGCTGAGATTGCGCCACTGCACTCCAGCCTGGGTGACCAAGCAAGACTCTGTCTCAAAAAAAAAAAAAATTGATAATAATTTAAAAATATTATTTGTGGTGATTATTACTACTCATGGGCAAAGAATGGGCTTATCTAGAGTCTCCTGGTAAAATTCACTCTTGTATGTTATGTGGCAAGTTTCAAATAACAATATTATATGACTTGCTAAATTTTATATTGAGAAATTAGAGCAAGGCCACAAAAAAGCTTTGAATAACAAAACATTATGATTTACTAAGGTCATATTATGTGCCAGATACTATACTAGGCACTTTATATAATTATTTCTAACCCTTATAACAGCCTATGGGAAAGGTGGTATCATCTTCATTTGCCCCTGAGGAAATGGAAGCTCAGAGTGGTGGTGACTTGCCAAAGGGTACTGCTAGTAAAGAGTGATGCTGAGAGCTGACCTCAAAGATCATGTGCATTTTTTTTCACCACCTAAAAAATGTGAGGCATATAAGGGCAATGAAAACAGGGTTGGTTAGCATTCTCAGCTCTTGTAGTCTCCACACCACTGAATACCATGGGAGGAAAATAAAGCTGGCAGGAGGAAAGTACATATGAAACTTCACGCTGGAAGGAAATTCTCTTTCTGTTCTGAAAAGTTTCTCTTTGATAGCATTTACAGAACATAACCTGCTCAGGACTCACCTGGGAAGTCCCTAGCTATTGTTCATGCGGCTGAGGGAATCCGCAGGCAAAGAGGAGATGCTCCAAGATGAACATGCAGCAGCAACTCCCATGAGTCACTAAATCCAGCACTGAGTCATAATAGATTTGAAATTTTATCAGCTAGATATGTCCTTTTATTAACATACCACTTTGAATAGGTTACATACTCAAGATTCAGAAATCAAAATGCTATTAAAAGACACATTAAAAAGTCTTGCTTCCATCCCTGTTCCCATCTGCCATGTTCCCCCATCAAGATAACCATTTTTAGTGTCACTCTAGTGTTTCTTTATTCAGATTCAAGCGAGTACACATATTCTCTCTTACCACATAAAAGCATCTTGCTTTATTCACTTATTATATTCCGAAGATCCTTTTATATCAGAACCTAAAGAACTTTTTCATATTTTTTATAGCTGCAGAGTAAATTTCAATAGTAAATGGTGTATTTAGCTCATTCCCAACTGATGAACACTTGAGCTGTTTCTAATCTTTTGCTGTTAGAAGCAATGCTGCATGAATAGCTTTGTTTGCATGCCTCTTGGAACAGGACACATATTATATTAGTACACATTTCTGGAAGTAGGAAAGTAGGACTTCTATTCTTCTGGGTCAAAGACTAATTGTATTTGTCATCTTAATAGATTTTGCCCATTTGCCTTCCATGGTACTTTTACCATTTTGTACCCCCGTTAGCTATTTTCCCCAGGTTCTCCAGCAGAACATGTAGCCAAACTTTTGGATTTTTTGGCATTCTGCTAGGTGAAGCAATGGTATTTCAGGGTTGTTTTTGTCTTTTTCATAAGTGAGGTTGAGCATCTTAGTTTTAAGTTTCTTTTGTATTTCCTTTCTCATGATGCCTGTTCATGCCCTTTGCCCCATTTTCTTTTGGTTGTTGGTCTTTTTCTCCTTGATTTCTCATAGTCTTCACATTAGTAAGTTTAGTCCTTTGTTCATGCTGTGAGTTTGACATATTTTTTTCAGAGTTTGTCATTTATTACATGACTTTGCTAATGTGTGTGCATTTTTCTTCAATTGTGCTGTGGCTTTTTTACTTTTTTTTTTTTTTCCCAAGACAGGATCTCACTCTGTCGCCCAGGCTGGAGTGCAGTGGTGCAATTTTGGCTCACTGCAACCTCTGCCTCCTGGGTTCAAGCAATTCTCCTGCCTCAGCCTCCTGAGTAGCTGGGATTACAGGCGCCCGCCACTACGTCCAGCTAATTTTTTGTATTTTTAGTAGAGACGGGGTTTCACCATGTTGGCCAGACTGGTCTTGAACTCCTGACCTTGTGATTTGCCTGCCTCAGCTTCCCAAAGTGCTGGGATTACAGGCATGAGCCACCGTGCCTGGCCTTTTTTTGTACTTTTATGTAGTCAAATTTAATACATTTTCTTTTAGGGCTTCTGGATTAGTAGTGTTCTTCAGAGGCATGCTAATACGCTATTGTAGAAACTCTGAGTACACGTACATGTTCAGTAAGCATAGCAAGTAAAATACCAGTTTCTACCATCATCGTGGTTTATCATAGCACTGTGTGCACTGATCATGTCTTGGGACAAGTTGAGTTTACCTGCACCTGTGACTATAGCAGCTTTCTATGAAGGCTGCCACTGAGGTGACCCCTGCCCATATCTCCTGGACCCCTCTGGCTTTCTCTTTTTCCATCTAGCGCACCTCAAAGGCTTTTCTCCCATCTCTAAGTGAGGCTCCCATCTCAAGGTATGGGGAGAGAAAGAACCCCCTTTAGACTGTGCTCCTGGAGCAGATGGCCAGGCAGTAAGACCCTGGACTGGTGCCTCAAACCTGACCCCCAGACTCCTTGTGCACATACAGGCCATACTTCCTTCTCTTCTTCACTGTAATACCCAAAGCTCAACTTCTGGCTTCTTGATTAGTGTAGTCTTCTCTCCTGCTACTCCTGAGGACACTAACATTTGCAAGGGGCTCTGGGGACTCCTCCACCCTGAGATGAGCTATGGCAAGTTAACTGATCCATTTAAGTGTGTCGGGGCAGCATTTTGTTCCATATTGTTCCTTAGTGTGCAGTCCACCAGCTATACCTATTTTTTACTTGTAATCCAATAATTTTTCTCTAAACTGAAACCATTATGAAAAGGAATAGACATTATTGTACTACCTAGTAAGAAGCTGGACTAGATTTCTAAAGCGGACATGCTGTCTATCCTATATAAATCCCGTGGCAGCTGCTTTCAGTGGTCTTTTGTGCCATCACCCAGTTGGGTGAGTGTGGGAGGCAGGGGAGTCATCTGGTCAATATTGAAGGGCATTTTGTATGGAAGGGTCCCTCCTCACATTCATCTGTATGCATCCTTCTTTTTTATTTATTTATTTATTTATTTATTTATTTATTTTTGAGATGGAGTCTTTCTCTGTTGCCCAGGCTAGAGTGCAGTGGTGCGGTCTCGGCTCACTGCAAGCTCCACCTCCCAGGTTCACGCCATTCTCCTGCCTCAGCCTCCCAAGTAGCTGGGACTACAGGCACCCACCACCATGCCCGGCTAATTATTGTATTTTTAGTAGAGATGGGGTTTCACCGTATTAGCCAGGATGGTCTCGATCTCCTGACCTTGTGATCCGCCTGCCTCAGTCTCCCAAAGTGCTGGGATTACAGGCGTGAGCCACCGCGCCCGGCCTGTATGCATCCTTCTTTAAAGATTGTCCTTTTGGATTCATTTTGTTTCATAAGGCTTCATCAATTTGTATTAAGACCATAACTTTCTCTTAAAAGGTTGTTTTGTTTCATTATAGTTTTATGAACAAAGAACAAACACAGCTTCTTCAAATTTTAGGAGAGTCTGCAAGCCATGAAAGCCATGAAAAAGTGTTGGGTTTTGGAATATTAATGGAGTTTTAGAGATCTGGTATATCAATCCTTTCCTAAAGTAATAAATAGGAAAAGTTAACTTTATCTTTAAATCACAGAATTATAACTTAAAGTTTTTATGTTACCTTTACAGAAAAAGATGCTATGGACGTATGGTGCAATGGTAAAAAATTGGAGACAGCGGTAAGTTGACTATTTGATGACTCTAAGTGCCATGTGTCTCAGTTACCATTGAATTGTTGCTGCATTTCCTAATTATAGAGATCTTATAATGAATCAAGGCCCTCTTGATAAAAACAAAAAAGGGATTAAGTACTCCTGACTTCAGATTCTGAAAACCTTTGCCAGATGGTGCCTGGTACCGTGAGTTTGGAAACAACTCATGTTCTTAGCTGGCACTAGCTTCATACTCTCCCTTTCCTGTCCTGGACCAGGCTCCAGCATAGCAAGTAAAATACCTAAAAAGAGCCCCTAGTTAAAAAATTATATCCCCAGAGGTTGGTGTCCTCTTGTGTTGATCCATTTGAAGTGGTGCGTTATCACTGCTTCTCAAACTTGCATGCACAGAAATTGCCTGGAATCTTGTTAAAATGCTAATTCTAACATTTCCCTAGGTGCTGCTAATGCTACTGGTCCACAGATCACACTTTAGGAATGCTTTACACCATACACTCAAAGCAGATGGTTCTTTTCTGAAAGCGAGATTTTTGTAAAATGAGTGATACAATATCAGATGACACGAAGGTAGACGAACAGGAAAGGGCACTCTCACGAACCCCGGAGGACAAGTGGAATTTTAGACCAGCAGTGCCAATGCGAGGAGAAAGAGGCTCCCCCAGTCACTGTGGCCAGGCACACTGAAATCCCCATCTAGATAGACTCCAGTGTGTTTGACTTTTGCTATCAGGTGCTTGGATTACTATGGCTGTGGATGGGATGAATGTAGGAGTGAATTTCAAGCAGGAGTGAAACAGTAGTAGTGTGCACAGGGGAGAGAGTGGGAAACAGAAAGTGTGGGACTAGGAGCCGAAATCACTGGGTGGTAATCCCCATGTCTTATGGGGTCTGTGGGCCAAGCAGGGAGTGCTATCCCTGGGACCCACCTTTCATGCTGGCTCCAGATGTGAACATCAGGGCTAGAGATAATCGGAAGCTCTCTTCTCTGGTCACATTTTGCATGTTGTAGTTGCTTTTATCTCATTTGTATAGTATAGGTTTAAGACAGTGAGAAAAGGTGATTTTGGTAGTTGGAGGAAAGGAGGTCTGGGATTAATTCATTCAGAAGACCACCTAGAACCTACTTGGTCTGATAGCTGTTTCTGAGGAGGTGACAAAACCAGAAATCAAAAATTACAAAGATGAAGCCACACGTGGTAGCACAGGTCTGTAGTGGCTTCCTACTTGGGAGGCTGACGTGAGAGGGACCCTTGAGCCTAGGAGTTTTAGGCCAGCCTGAGCAACATAGTGAGACCCATCTCTAAAAAAATTAATCAATCAATTGAAATTTAAAAGTTACGAAGATGAATGCTTTTCTGTTTCTGAGTCCTGAAGAATTTAATTTGGGCTCACTCTAAATTGAGTGCTTGAGCTGTTCTCTGGGTTAAATCTACTGATAGAGACTTCTTTTATGCAGAGAGGCTTGGAGAGTGCTTCAGTATTTTATGGCCCCCTTTGGAAAAACTCCAGTTACCACTAACATGGATCAGATACCTACTGTGTGCCCAATGCCATACCTGGTGGTTCTTCCTGTTCTTTTTTTCCTACCCTGGAATTCTCTAGATAGGGAATCAGCACTTTTGAATTGCATTTCCTCCCATATTCAAGAAATTCTCCAGTGCACATGTAAAGAGAATGCTGTTTTATGGTATTAAGAATATGGTTGTACTGGGCGAGGTGACTCATGCATGTAATCCCAGCACTTTGGGAGGCTGAGGCGGGCAGATTGCTTGAACCTAGGAGTTAGAGACTAGTCTGGGTGACATGGCGAAACCCCTCTCTACTAAAAATACAAAAATTAATAGAGCATGGTGGCACATGCCTATAGTCCCAGCTACTCAGGAGGCTGAGGTGGAAGAATTACCTGAGCCCAGGGAGATTGAGGCTGCAGTGAGCCAAGGTTGCACCACGGCACTCCAGCCTCGGTAACAGAATGTGAGACCCTGTCTCAAAAAAAAAAAAAAAAATGCAGTTGTAACTTTGGGAGGCCAAGATGGGAGGATCATTTGAGGCCAGGAGCTCATGACCATCCTGGGCAACATGATGAGGCCCTATCTCTATAAATTTTTTTTTTTAAGTTAGCTGTGTATGGTGGTGTGTACCTGGTCCCCGCTGCTCAGGAGGCTGAGGCAGGAGGACTGCTTGAGCCCAGGAGTTCAAGGCTGCAATGAACTACAGTTGTACCCCTGTACTCCAGCCTGGGTGGCAAGAGCAAGACCCTGTCACACACATACACAAGGAATGTTGTTGTGGTTGTAAAAAGGTGAAAATAATATTCATCCACATGTCTTTGTTTTGTAGTAATTAACAGGAAACTACATGTGTTTGGAAATAGCTCTTTATAACACAGTTGCCTTCTCATTGTAACTACAACCTAGTTTGCAGGGCAGTTTGGGCAGCCCCATATCTAGGCAGCCTTCCCCAGTACTGTACGTACCCACAACAAACTCATCTTGTTGCCTGTGAGTTACAGCTTATTTTCTCCTTTTTATCTCAAAGCATCGTGCCAAAATTATATATTTGTCCAATTGCCAAGAAGCTACGTATATAGATTGTATTACCTAACCCTTGCCCTTTCTTCCGAAGTCTTTTTTCAAGGCTCAATATTAAAAATGGGGACAAGAACACACTGCACCCAAGGACATGCTTGTGGTATTCAGCATACCTCCCATAAGGAGCCACGGGCCACATCCTTCCCAGAGCTAGGAAAAGGCTTCTCTCCCTGAGGCATCCTGTGCCTTCTTTGGCTTGGTTTGTTAACTGGGGGGCCTTGTTCTATCTACTTTGGCTGCCAGGAAGCTAATAGCCAGGGGGTTTAAGTCTGATTTTTGGTTTCTTTGCTTTCTGGCATAAATCTTTTTTTTATCCTCTAAGCCTCTTCTTTCTTCCTTCCTTCTCTGCGCTACCTGGCGCTAATCTTTTTACTCTAGATCACTGCTACTCAATCAAAGCATAATATGAGGCACAGATAGGACCTTCATGTGTAATTTTAATTTATCTAGTATCCATATTTGAAAAAATTTTAGGTGAAGTTAAATATTATATTTGATTTAAATCAATATACCAAAAATAGTATTTAACATGTAATCAGTATAAAAAGTTATTTTATACATTTTTTTGTTTCATACTAGGTCTTCTAAATCCAGTGTCTATTTTATATTTAAACAGCATATCTATTTTCAGACTAGTCAATTTGAAGTGCCCAATAGCCACATGTGGCCAGTGGCTACTGTATTGAACAGAACAGGTATAGATTTAGTGGTGTTTGGTTTTGTTATATGTATATTTTACTGTAAGCCACCTTATACCCAGAGGAATCAGATTTTCAGAGTGGCTAAGAACACTCCATCCCTGGCTGGATGCAGTGGCTCACACCTGTAATCCCAGCACTGTGGGAGGCTAAGGTGGGTAGATCACTTGAGGTATATTATAAATAACTAATAAATGTCATATTTATCATTTTTATTTTTGAAAACATAGACACATAGTCATGAGGTTTATATTCCTCCCCCAAGAATTTAAGATTCTTAAGGATTGTAGGGGTTATGAAAAGGAAACTTTCAATTCATAACAGAAATGTAAAAGCATCTAAGTACAAGCTTTAGACTTTGTTTTTCAAAGCTTATTGTTTAACTAATACATTATTTTATTGCACTACTAGTACTTTTAGATGGTGTGAATGCTCTAGACAGAGATAAAAGTTTCTGCACCACTAATTCCTTCTTCTTTTGTTGCTCCAGGGTGAGTTTGTAGATGATGGGACTGAAACTCACTTCAGTATCGGGAACCATGACTGTTACATAAAGGCTGTCAGTAGTGGGAAGCGGAAAGAAGGGATTATTCATACTCTCATTGTGGATAATAGAGAAATCCCAGAGATTGCAAGTTAATGAATTTTCATCTTAAGAAGTAAAGATCAGGACTTTTTAATTACTGTGGTAATTAAATGTGTTCAGTATGTACTTATCAGTACATTTAGTCTGCAATGTTTTAATTTTTTAAAAAGTTACATGAAACTAACATTCCAAGGGTCAGGAAAAAAACCAATTATGTATAGTCATAAAAATTACAATTTATGATGCAAATAATGTAAAATGTTTTAAAGACAAATGGCAAATAAGATATGGACCAAAGTCACTAATGTTTTACAACAGTAACCTTTACTATAATAAATACTTTTAAAAAAATCTGCTTGATTTGTGTTTATATGTATGGGTAAGTATGTGTTTTTAACCTGTGCAGATAGGTTTTCTCTCTAGTTTAAAGCAGTTGGTACATAATGATACAATTAGTTTAACTGAAGAAAATGAGAAACTTTTTTTTATTTGGAAACATTAAGGAAACTTCAGATAGTGTCACAAGAATTTAATTTAAAATGTGGGTTTCTGAAAATGTAGTTGTTTTGTTTAATTAACATGGTGAAGACATAAACCAAAAGGAAAAGAAGCAAAAACTCCTTTACACCAGATTGTATCAAGTGCTTCCTCAGGCAGTATTTAAAAAGTCTGAGTTGCGTATCTGTGCCTGGATGTGGTGCCAGTGTTTGTTTGTTAGTGCTTCTGTGACTGAATCGGCCTGTGCAGGCATACTCACAAAGACCAGCCAAGTCAGTACATTAAGTGCCTGAGGGTTGGTCACTTCAATACTCTGAAAGTCTTTCAAGGCAGGATATAGTTTAATAGTAGACCACATTGGGGCATTTCACATCTGTTATCACTGCTGATCTTCTGTGTGAAGGGGCATTCTCCATTTTTTTGACTTGCTCTGTCCAATATGGTTGCCATTAGTCACATGGCTATTTAAGTTAATTAAAATTAAGTACAATCAAAAATTCAGTTTCTTAGTCACGCTAGCTACACTTCAAGTGCTCAACAGTCACATGTGGCTAGTGGCTATCATACCAGACAGTATATAGAACATTTCCGTCACCACACCAAGTTCTGTTGGACAGCACTGGTCTAGATAGATAGATAGATAGATTGTCTCAGGCTGAGTGAGTTGCTCAGTAGTGGCATAGGATTTTAAATCCAGGTTTTTCTGATACTAAGACTTAGGCCCTTTACTACGATCTCCCTGTCATTAACATATTTTGAAGAGATTTTGGGCAGAACAGAGGCAGAACCAGGTTCTAACAGCAGGAAAGAGAAATTGAGGGGCAGGAGAGCAGTGAGGGAAGACATTTTGGAGAGGCCAGGACCCGGCAGGCAACATGCAGGGTTGCAGGGCGGCAGCGTGGGTGTATTGAAAAGCCTTGACTCCTTCTTTCTTCTAACACCTTTTATTTTGAAGTCTTTACCACTGGCAGCTCAGCGTACTACCTTTACAAAAACGTTTACAAGGCTGGGCTGGTGGCTCATGCCTCTAATCCCAACATTTTGGAAGGCTGAGACAGTAGGATTGCTTTAGCCCAAGAGTTCAAGACCAGCCTGAGCAACATAGTGAGACCCTGTCTCTACAAAATAAAACAAAAATTTAAGTTTATAAAAGATTTTTACCAAAAAACCTCCCTGGTCTTCCCATTCCACCCCCTAGTTTTGCTTCAATGCCAATGGAAGACCAGGAAACAGTCTAACAGGGACTCTGAGGCTTGTTAAACTCACATTTGGGTTTGCTTTCATGGATTTGGGAGTTGTGGTTTGTTTTCATTTTTCTTGAGTAAAAGTCTTCTTTTAATGGCCATATTTTATCTGCTAGAAAAATATTTTGTGTCATGTCCAAAAGCAAAGCAATTATTTTTAGGCATTGGGCTTTGAACTGTAGTTATTAGAGGTCAAAATCCGTGATTTGCAGGGGTTGTCGTGTACCTAAGCAAACACTTGCGAGTACAGTTTGATTCCGTCTTTATGGAGACCAACCCCAGGAATATAGTCTTGCCTTTGACATGGTAAATCCACGTTTGTTTCGTTTTGTTAATTCAAAGTAGCACAATAATGTGGAAAGAGTATAGCCTAGATCTGAAGTTTGGCACAGCAAGTTAAGTTCTTGAGCCTCAGTTTCCTCACCTTAAAACTTGAGGCTATTACTTGTCTTAGTTATTTAATTAGATATTTCAGATGTACAAAAAAATAGAAAATATAACACAGCTGTATTATTAAACTAGGTGTACCTATTACCCAGTTTAATAACTAAAGCATTACCAATGCAACTGAATACCCATATACCCTCCCTGTTCCCTTCCCCTCCCTTGTGCAACTAATCACTAATGTGTATTTGATGTTTATCATTCCCATGTGCAAGTTTGTATTATTTTACTTTTGATATATATTTTTTGATATATATCAAAAAAGTACAGTATTATTTTAAAATTTAAATGTTATCACATTCTGTGTATCCTTCCTACATCATGGTTTTCCCTCACTCAACAATGTTTTTTGATCTAGGTTGGTATGTGTATCTCCAGTTCCTTTAACTTTTGCATTCAACCATACAAATTTAGCTGCGCATACCCCTAGTTTTCAGATGATCATCAACACATCAGTGGCTCTAATGAACATCTTTGTGTATGTCCCTTGAGTTTATGTTCAAGAGTTTCTCTTGGGTCTTGGTATTTTAAGTGTGCCCCTGTACCAACAGCAATGACATCACCTGGGAGCTTGTTAGAAATTAAGAATCACGGGTTCTTCCCCAGGCCTATTGAAGGAGAATCTGTGTTTTAACAAGACCCCCGTGGTGATTTGTACATCAAAGATTTAGAAGCACTGTTCCAGGTCTATTGAGGAGCAGAATTGCTAAATCAAAGGGTAGGTGCATCTTCAGTACTATTAGATATTTGCCAGACTGCCCTCCAGGGCAGTTGTGCTGTTGTATACTTTGGCCAGCAGTAGAGTTTTCTTTTCCTAATATTTTCACCACACTTGATATGTGGTCAGGCTTTTAAAGTTTTGCCAATCTGAGGGTTTAAACAATATTGCATTTTAATCTTATTTTTTCTCATTTTGTTTTCTCACTTTATTTTTTGAGTATCTTACATGTTTATTGTCGATTCAGGTTTCCTTTTCTGAGAATTGTCTTTTTATTTCCTTTGCTTATTTTTCTGTTGAGTTGTTTGACAATTTCTAATAGATTTGTAGTAGTTCTACATATATCACAGAACTAATCCTTTGTTGCCTTTCCCTTACAGCAATATAAAATGTGCAATATATCAAGTCTCCCAGGCATCCCTTCAATTTAACACATAGTACCTACTTCCTCTAGTGAGTTATGAGGGTAGGAACCACATACCACTGTCTCCCCCAGGACCTAGCATACCCTTCATAGATGGTAGGCAGTGAGATTCATATTACTGCAGCTCAAAGGAGAGGGCTGGGCTGGAGATATACATGTGGACATCATGAGCACATGCGGGAGATTTAAAGCTATGGAAATGGGTAAGATCAACTAGAGAGCTTGTAAAGAAAGTAGAAAGGGAACCTAAAATTAAACTCCAAAAAGCTACAACATTTCTGACTGGCTAAGGCCAACAGAATCCTTAATTAAGTCAGAAAATTTGGAAGTTATAAAACAAAAGACAAACATATTTGACTAGGAAGTTTGTATGGCAAAATACACCATTAAAAAAGCCAGTATACAAACAATAGATTTGGGGAAAATATTTGCAATGTAGATGAAAAGAGCCAACATACATGTAAAGGGCTCTTACAAATTGATAAGCCAGGCTAATCACAAAATGGACAAATAATAGAAATAGAAGAGGAAATCCAAAGAGCCAACCAATTTTTAAAATAAGTTAATTAGTAGTTAGGGAAATTATTTTAACAATGCAACCAGCAAAAAAAAAAAAAAAAAAAAGAAGAAGCAATGATATATTTTTGTCTAAGATGTGGTAGAAAGAGTACCCACCTCACACTTTGATGGTGAAAATAGGTATTAAAAGTTCTTAGGAAACCAATCTGACAGTATTAAACATTCCATTTTATAAAGTAGGAATTTTATAAAATTCCATTTTATAAAAACAGGCAAAACCTAATATATATATAGTCTTTGAAGTTCACAAGATGCGCACTTTACAGGGGAGTTAGTAACTAGAAGGTGGCGTGAAAGGAACTTCTGAGACTGGTAATTTTCTATTTTTGATCTGGGTGCTGGTCACAAAGACAATTCAGTTTGTGAAAAATAAGCTATATTCCTATATGATTTTTATCTTTATGTTATGTTCTAAAAGCATGTTAAACTTCAATAAAGATTTTAAAATGTACTTACAATAAAGATTTTAAAACGTACTTACAATAAAGCTTTTAAAAATATGCCCCACACATCTTCTTCTCTTGGGAATCTATTCCATGAGAATAAAGGTGTTAGTGTTGGTATATAAGGATATATACAAGGACATTTATTGCAGTATTGTTCATAGTGGGGAAGAAAAGAAACTGGAAATTGTAAATGCCCGTCTACAGATAAATGATTGAATAAATTATTATACATCATGAGTTACAACTCAGCCATTCAGAAGAATGAATTGGAGAGGTTTCCAGGAAGTATTTTTGAGTCAAGAAATAATATAGTACAATTTTATAAAACAATGGCAGAGCATCCTATCTAATGTATGTATGTATGTCTTTACAGATTTTTTTTCTGTATATGATTACACAAGCATGGAGAGAAATAGAGGTTGCAAACAAGTATAATGACATGAGTCGCCTAGTAGGAATGGGAGTGGGATTGATTGAGAGAGGTGGGGAGTAACCAAAATTCAAGAAAAAAAAGGTTTCACTTAAAAAATAAGCAGTTATGATCACATTTATGCATTTATATAAAATTGTTTATAAGAAGCAAAGAAAAAATTAAAATTGGATAAAGGAGAAAGACTTAGTGAAACATTGAAAAGGAAGTGAGCTTTTGACTGGGAGGTGGAGACTGCAGTGAGCCGAGATCATGCCATTGCACTCCAGCCTGGGCAACAAGAGTGAAACTCTGTCTCAAAAAAAAGAGAAAGAAAAAAGAAAAGTGTTTTGAGATGGTAGAAAACCCTAAGATTAGAAGGCAAGGCAAGAAAGCATAAAACAGGAATAGTTAACTATGTCAAATTGCTGCTGAGAGGAGAAAAGCATGAGAACTGAAATGTATCTATTAGATTTGGCATCATGGAGGATGTGGGTGAGAAAATGAACAAAATCAGGCTCAATGAAATGAGACAGAAGCCATATTAAAATGGATGAATAGTTAGTGGGGGTAAGAGAAAAGATGGAAAAGGTAATGCTGACAACTCTCTTGCAAAAAAAAAAAAAAAAAAAAAAAGGCCAAAATAAGCTGGACGTGGTGGCTCACACCTGTAATCCCAGCACTTTGGGAGGCTGAGGAGGGCAGATCACCTGAGAGCAGGAGTTCGAGACCAGCCTGGTCAACATGGCGAAACCCCGTCTCTATCAAAAATACAAAAATTAGCTGGGCATGGTGGCGGGCACCTGTAATCCAGCTACTTGGGAGGCTGAGGCAAGAGAATCGCTTGAACCCAGGAAGCAGAGGTTGCAATGAGCTGAGATGGCGCCATTGCACTCCAGCCTGGGCGACAAGAGCAAAACTCCATTAAAAAAAAAAAAGGCAAAATATAAAAAGTCTTGAAGTTATCATAAAGCTAAAAAGACAATCTAAGCCAAGATGTAGCAGAAGATGGAAAACCAGAGAGATGAGCCAAGCATTTGGAACCACTTAACCCTGGAAATGTTTATTTATTCCAGAACAGGAGGTCAAGAGTCTAAGCAGTACTTATAACAGCCTTGAAGGGATGGGGAGACAAAAATTAGGGTAAGGGAATGCCAAGGTTGGGATACTCTAGCAAAACTTCCACATTTTGGGCAGGAACCCCCAAAGAACAGTACTTAAGGAATAAGAATAAATAGTTTATCTGTCCTTGAAATTAGAGTTATCACGGATGTAATTATCCAACATAAATAAACATGCAAGCAAATGAGACAGGACAACACAAATAGGGTCAGCAGAAATAACAAAAACAGACACATAGGTTGTAAATTAAGAGTTAATTAGATGTACAGCTTAATGTAACTATGTTTGTTTTTTGTTTTGTTTTGTCTTTTGTGACGGAGTCTCGCTCTGTTGCTGGATGTGTTGCTGGATTCAGTTTTTTTTGTATTTTTTAGTAGAGACGGGGTTTCACCATGTTAGCCAGGATGGTCTCGATCTCCTGACCTCGTGATCCGCCCGCCTCGGCCTCCCAAAGTGCTGGGATTACAGGCGTGAGCCACCGCGCCCGGTCTGTAACTATGTTTAAAATGTTCAAGATGATTCAAAAAAGAAAAAAAAAAGTCTGAGAATATCAGCATGGAATAGGAAAATTTTAAAAAGGGCATAGCAGAACTGAAAAGAACTAAAGAGAAACTATAGAGTCAAAAAGTACAATAGTGAAACTAAGAACTCAAAATCAGAGAAACAGTAAACTGGAATATAGGTGAGACAAATATATATAAGAAAAATACAACAGATTATAGAGAAGACAGTAGTAAATATAGACTATATAGTTAAAAGCATGTGTAATTATAGTTCCAAAGAAGAAAGAATGATGCAGAAAAAGGTTTAAAGAGATAATGCCTTGGAATTTCCCAAATGATGAAAAGCATCAAGCTACAGATTTGAGCCCTGCAAACACCAACCAGGAAGGAGACACAGAAAACCATCTCTAGGCCTATCATAGTAAAACTGCTAAAAACCAAAGACAACAAGAAAATCATTAAAAGTGGCTAGTGGGAGGCCAGACGCGGTGGCTCACGCCTGTAATCCCAGCACTTTGGGAGGCCGAGGCGGGTGGATCTCGTCAGGAGATTGAGACCATCCTGGCTAACACGGTGCAACCCCGTCTCTACTAAAAATACAAAAAATTAGCCAGTCATGGTGGCGGGCGCCTGTAGTCCCAGCTACTCGGGAGGCTGAGGCAGGAGATGGCGTGAACCCGGGAGGCAGAGCTTGCAGTGAGCCAAGATCGTGCCACTGCACTCCAGCCTGGGTGACAGAGTGAGATTCTGCCTCAAAAAAAAAAAAAAAAAAAAAAAGTGGCTAGTGGAAAAAACACACACCAAAACATAAGGCTAACTTTTCCATAGAAATGACAGAAGCAAGAAGACAATGGAAAAATACCTTCAAAGTGCTGAAAAACAACTAACTAAATATCTATACCCAGCAAAACTACTGTTTATTACCAGGCAAAATAAAGTTGAGGTAATTCATCCAGAGCAGACCAACCAAAGGAAATATTAAAGTATATTCTTTGGTCTAAGAAGAAAAAATTATTTCAGTTGAAAGTTTAAAAATGCAAGAGAAAGGATTTGAAAAGCAACAATGGTAAAAACGGACATAGATCTAAATAAATTGTGACTGTATAAACAATCTCTTGTGGGGTTAATATTGGGAGGCCAAGGCAGGAGGATGACTTGAGCCCAGGAGTTCAGTCTAGGAAAAGACTATTTGACTTTGCCGTATGTTTCCTTGTAGTAGTTTTATAGTTTCAGGTGTTTTTGTTGTTGTTTGTTTGTTTGCAGAGACAAGGTCTCATTATGTTGCCTAGGCTAGTCTAGAACTCGTTGGCTGAAGCGATGCTCCTGCCTGATTACAGGTGTGAGTCACCACACTTGGCTAGTTTCAGGTCTTATGTTTAACTCTTTAATCCAACTCTTTATTGTTGTACACAGTGAGAATTAGGGGGCCTACATTCATTCTTCTGCATATGGATATCCGGTTTTCCCAGTAGCATTTATTGAAGAGGGATCCTTTTTCCCATGTGTGTTCATGGCACCTTTGACAAAAATCAGTTGGCTGTCAACATGTGGAATTACTTCTAGGTTCTCTATTACGTTTCATGGGTCTATATGTCTGTTTTTATACCAGTACCATGCTGGTTTTTTTTTTTTTTTTTTGAGATGGAATCTTGCTCTGTCACCCAGCCTGGAGTGCACTGGCGTGATCTTGGCCCACGCAACCTCCACCTTCCGGGTTCAAGTGATTCTCCTTCCTCAGCTTCCCGAGTAGCTGGGACTACAGGCGATGCCACCACGCCTGGCTAGTTTTTTGTATTTTTATTAGAGACGGGGTTTCACCGTGTTAGCCAGGATGGTCTTGATCTCCTGACCTCGTGATCTGCCCACCTTGGTCTCCCAAAGTGCTGGGATTACAGGCATAAGCCACCGCGCCTGGCTGCTGTTTTAATTACTATAGGTTTGTAGCATACTTTGAAGTCAAGCAGCGTGATACCACCAGCTTTTTTTTTTTTTTTTTAAAGGCAGGGTTTCATTCTGTCACCCAGGCTGGAGTGCAGTAGTATGATCACAGCTCAGTGCAGCCTTGACCTCCTGGGTTCAAATGATCCTCCTACCTCACCCTCCTGAGTAGCTGGGACTACAGATGCATGCCACCACACTAATTTTAATTTTTGTGTGTGTGTGGAGATGAGGGTCTTACTATGTTGGCCAGGCTGGTCTTGAACTCCTCAGCTCAGGCGATCCTCCTGCCTCAGCCATTCAAAGTGTTAGGATTACAGGCATGAGATACCATGCCTGCCCAGTTTTCTTTGCTCAGTACTGTTTTAGCTACTTGGGATCTTTTGTGGTTCCATATGAATTATAGGATTGTTTTTTCTATTTCTGTGAAGAGTATCATCGGCGTTTTGATAGGGATCGCATGAATCTACAGATGGTTTTGGGTAGTATGGTCATTTTAACAATGTTGATTCTTCCAGTCCGTGAGCATGAGATGTCTTTCCATTTGTTTGTGTCCTCTACAATTTCTTTTTATCAGTGTTTCATAGTTTTCCTTGTAGAGGTATTTTATCTCCATATATATATTATATATGTGTGTGTGTGTGTGTATTCCTATATATACATATTCCTATACATATATATATACATATTCCTATATATATACATATTCCTATACATATATATATATATACACCTAGGTATTTTGGTAGGGGGGATAGTGATTGTAAATGGGATTGCTTTCTTGATTTCTTTTTCAGCTAGTTCATTGTTGGTGGATAAAAACACCACTGACGTTTTAATGTTGATTTTGTATCCTATAACTTTACTGAATTCATTTATCAGTTCTAAGAGCTTTATGCTGGAGTCTTCAGGTTTTTAAAATATAAGGTCAATTCATATGCAAAGAGGGACAATTTAACTTCCTCTTTTCCAATTTGGAGGCCTTTTTAAAATTTCTGTTACCTGATTGTTCTGGCTAGGACTTCCAGTACTATATGTTGATTAGTAGAGGTGAAAGTGGGCAACTTTGGTTCCAGTTCTTAGAAGAAAGGCTTTAAGCTTTTCCCTCTTCAGTATGATGTTAGCTGTGTTTCTCATATATGGCTTTTATTACACTGAGTATGTTCCTTCTATGCTAAATTTGTTTTTATCATGAAGTGATGTTTAATTTTAGCAAATGCGATTGCTGCATCTATTGAGAAGATTAATATGATTTGGCTCTATGTCCCCACCCAAATCTCATCTCGAATTATAATCCCCACATGTTGAGGGAGGGACCTGTAATCCCCACGTGTTGAGGGAGGGAGGTGATTGGATCATGGGGGCAGATTCCTCCATGTTGTTCTGATAGTGAGTTCTCTGAGATTTGATGGTTTTGTAAGCGTCTGGCATTTCCCCTGCTTGCACTTCTCTCTCCTGTTGCCATGTGAAGAGCTTCTTGCTTTCTGTTTGCCTTCTGCCATGAATGTAAGTTTCCATAGGCCTCCCCAGCCATGTGGAATGTTGAGTTAATTAAACCTCTTTCCTTTACAAATTACCCAGTCTCAGGTTTATTTATAGCAGTGTGAAAATGGACTAATATGAAGATCATATGGTTTTTGTCCTTCATTCTGTTGGAAATGATGTATCATGTTTATTGATTTGTGTATGTCAAACCATCCTTGCATCCCTGAGATAAATCCCATTGGATCATCGTATTATTTTTTTGATGTGTTGCTGGATTCAGTTTGCTAGCATTTTGTTAAGGATTTTTGCATTTATTTTCATCAAAGATATTGGCCTGTAGTTTTATTTTTCATTTGATTATGTCTAGTTTTGTATCAGGGTAATGCTGGCATCACAGAATGAGTTAAGAAGAATTCCTTCCTCTTCAATTTTTTGGAATAGTTTGATAAAAGTTGGTGTTATTTCTTTTTTTGTGTGATTTAATTTTTATTTCATAATCATAAACTTAACTCTGGAATCCAGCTAGGCATGGAAGGGAACAAGGAAAACATGGAACCCAAAGGGAAATGCAGTGAGAGCACAAAGATTATAGGATACTGTGAGCAAATGGGGTGGAGGGGTGCTCTCTTGAGCTACAGAAGGAATGGTCTGGTGGTTAAGATAAAACACAAGTTGGCTGGGCACGGTGGCTCATGCCTGTAATCCCAGCAATTTGGGAGGCCAAGGTGGGTGGATCATGAGGTCAGGAGATCAAGACCATCCTGGCCAACATGGAAAAAACCTTGTCGCTACTAAAAATACAAAAATTAGCTGGGTGTGGTGGTGTGTGTCTGTAATCCCAGCTACTTGGGAGGCTGAGGCAGGAGAATTTCTTGAACCAGGGAGTTGGAGGTTGCAGTGAGCCGAGATTGCATCACTGTACTCCAGCCTGGTGACAGGGTGAGACTCCATCTCAAACAAAGCAAAACAAAACAAAACAAAACAAAACAAAACAAAACAAAACACCACCAAAAAGATAAAACACAAGTCAAACTTATTAGAGGGTCCACAATCAGCAGTGGTGATCTTCTTGCAGGTCTTGCCATTCCAGGACCCAAAGTCCCCCATGGCCTCCACAAATATTCATGCCTTCTTTTTTTTTTTGTTTTGAGACAGAGTCTTGCTCTGTCGCCCAGGCTGGAGTGCAGTCACGTGATCTCAACTCACTGCAAGGTCCGCCTTCCAAGTTCATGCTATTCTCCTGCCTCAGCCTCCTGAGTAGCTGGGACTACAGGTGCCTGCCACCACATCTGGCTAATTTTTTTTTTTTTCTATTTTTAGTAGAGACAGGGCTTCACCTTGTTAGTCAGGATGGTCTCAATTTCCTGACCTTGTGATCCACCCACCTTAGCCTCCCAAAGTGCTGGGATTACAGGTGTAAGCCACCACGCCTGGCCATTAATGCCTTCTTTCACCTTGCCAAAGACCATATGCTTGCCATCCAACCACTCAGTCTTGGCAGTGCAGATGAAAAACTGGGAACTGTTTGTGTTGGATCCAGCCTTTGCCATGGACAAGATGCCAGGACCTGTATGCATTAGGATGAAGTTCTCATCATCAAATTTCTCCCTGTAGATGGACTTGCTACCAGTGCCATTATGGCGTGTGAAGTCACCACCCTGACACATAAACCCTGGAATAATTATCTGAAAGCAGGAACCCTTATAACCAAATCCTTTCTCTCCAATGCTCAGAGCATGAAAGTTTTCTGCTGTCTTTGGAAACTTGTCTGCAAAAGGCTCAAAGGAGACACACCTCAAGGGCTCACCATCGACGGCGATGTCGAAGAACATGGTGGGGTTGATCATGGGTGATAATACGGGGCTCCCAGTGGTGACAACTGCAAAGCCGGTGTTATTTCTTCTTTAAAAGTTTGTTAGAATTTAGCAGTAAATCTGGTTCTGGGCTTTTCTCTATTGGGAGAGTTTTTTATTACTGCTTCAATCTTATTACTTGTTATTGGTATCTTTGTTTTCTATTTCTTCCTGGTTCAATGTTGGTAGGTTGCATGTGTCCAGGAATGTATATATTTCCAGTAGGTTTTCCATTTTTGTTATTGTATAGTTGCTCATAATTGTCTCTAATGATCTTTTGTATTTCTGTTGCATCCGTTGTAATTTTTTTTTTAGATGAAGTTTTGCTTCTGTTGCCCAAGCTGAAGTGCAATGGCGTGATCTCAGCTCACCACAACCTCTGCCTCCCAGGTTCAAGCAATTCTCCTACCTCAGTCTCCCGAGTAGCTGGGATTACAGGCATGAGCCACCATACCTGGCTAATTTTGTATTTTTAGTAGAGACAGGGTTTCTCCATGTTGGTCAGGCTGGTATTGAACTCCCGACCTCAGGTAATTTGCCTGCCTCGGCCTCCCAAAGTGCTGGGATTACAGGTGTCAGCCACCGTGACCAGCCATGTCTCTTTTTTTACTTCTATTTGTTTGGATCCTTTTTCTTGGTTAGACTAGCTAGTGGTTTATTGATTGAGTTTATATTTTCAAAGAACCAATTTTTCATTTTGTTGATTCTTTGTATTGTTTTTTTCAGTTTCTATTTCATTTTGCTTTGCTTTGCTCTTTATTCTTTCTTTCCTTTTACTAATTTTAGGTTTAGTCTGTTCTTGCTTTTCTAGTTTTTTGAGGTGGATTTTTTAGGTTGTTTATTCAACATCTTTCTACTTTTCAGGTATAGACGTTAATTGCTATAAACTTCCCTCTTAGCATTGCTTTTTCTGTGTCACAAAGGTTTTGGTATGTTTTTCCATTTTCATTTGTTTCAAGAATTTTTACTTTCTTTCTTAATTTTTACATTGACCCATTGGTTATTCAGGTGTATGTTGTTTAATTTCCACATATTTGTTCCCAAAGTTCCTGTTGTTGATTCCTAATTTTCACTGTGGTCTTAGAAGATACTTGATATGATTTCAATTTTTAAAACTTTCTTGAGGCTTGTTTTATGGCCTAACATATGGTCCATCCTGGAGAATGTTCCATGTGTTCATGAGAAGAATTTATTTTCTGCTGCTGTTGCCTGAAATGTTCTCTAAATGTTAGATCCATTTGGTCTAAAGTGCAGTTTAAATCCAATGTTTCTTGAATTTCTGTCTAGATAATCTCTTCCATGCTGAATGTGGGAGTGGTGAAATCCCCAACTATTGTTGTATTAGCCTGTCTTTTTAGCTGTAATAATATTTGTTTTATATATTTTGGTTTCTGATGTTGGGTGCATAGATATTTACAATTGTTATATCCTCTTGCCTAATTGATTCCTTTATTATAATTTTCTTGTCTCATTTTTTTTGACTTAAACTCTCCTTTGATATAAGTGTAGCTACTCCTGCATGCTTTTGTTTTGTTTGCATGAGGTATTTTTTTCCATCCCTTCATTTTCAGTCTATGTGTCTTTATAGGTGAGATGAGTTTCATGTAGACAGCATATATCTGGGTCTTATTTTTGTTAGCCATTCAGCCAGTCTATATCTTTTAGTTGGGGGAGCTTAAACTTTGACATTCCAGCTTGTTATTAATAGGTGAGGACTTCCTGTCATTTTGTTGTTTTCTGATTGTTCTGAATATCCTTTCTTCCTTTATTCTTCTTTTACTTTCTTTTATGATCTGGTGGTTTTTTTTTTTTTTTTTTTTTTTTTTAGAGTAACAACACTCCTATTCCTGTTTTGTGTATCTGCTCTACACTACTTTTGTTAAGTTTTCATGATGGTAGATGTTGTCCTTTTGTTTCCTGGTGTAGGGCTCCCTTAAATATTTCTTGTGGGGCTAGTCTAGTGGTAATGAATTATCTCCATTTTTGTTTTTCTGAGAAAGACTACTTTCCCTTCATTTTTCCAGGATACCTTTGCTGGACACAGGATTCTTGGTTGACAGTTTCTTTTTTTTTTTTTCTCTCAGTACTTTGACTATTTTATTCCTTTCTCTCCTGACCTACAAAGATTCTGCTGAGAAATTCATTGTTAGTCTCATGGAGATTCCCTTATATGTGGTTTGATGCTTTTTTTTTTAAATTATACTTTAAGTTCTAGGGTACATGTGCACAACATGCAGGTTTGTTACATACATATACATGTGCCATGTTGGTGTGCTGCACCCATTAACTCGTCGTTTACATTAGGTATATCTCCTAATGCTATCCCTCCCCCCTCCCCTCACCCCATGACAGACCCCAGTGTGTGGTGTTCCCCTTCCTGTGTCCAAGTGTTCTCACTGTTCAATTCCCACCTATGAGTAAGAACATGCAGTGTTTGGTTTTCTGTCCTTGCGATAGTTTGCTGAGAACGATGGTTTCCAGCTTCATCCATGTCCCTACAAAGGACATGAACTCATCATTTTTTATGGCTCCATAGTATTCCATGGTGTATATGTGCCACATTTTCTTAATCCACTCTATCATTGATGGACATTTGGGTTGGTTCCAAGTCTTGCTATTGTGAATAGTGCCGTAAAAAACATATGTGTGCATGTGCCTTTATAGCAGCATGATTTATAATCCTTTGGATATATACCCAGTAATGGGATGGCTGGATCAAATGGTATTTCTAGTTCTAGAACCTTGAGGAATCGCCACACTGTCTTCCACAATGGTTGAACTAGTTTACAGTCCCACCAACAGTGTAAAAGTGTTCCTATTTCTCCACATCCTCTCCAGCACCTGTTGTTTCCTGACTTTTTAATGATCGCCACTGTAACTGATGTCAGATAGTATCTCATTGCAGTTTTGATTTGCATTTCTCTGATGGCCAGTGATGGTGAGCATTTTTTCATGTGTCTGTTGGCTGCATAAATGTCTTCTTTTGAGAAGTGTCTGTTCATATCCTTTGCCCACTTGTTGATGGGATTGTTTTTTTCTTGTAAATTTGTTTGAGTTCATTGTAGATTCTGGATATTAGCCCTGTGTCAGATGAATAGATTGCAAAAATTTTCTCCCGTTCTGTAGGTTGCCTGTTCACTCTCATGGTACTTTCTTTTGCTGTGCAGAAGCTCTTTAGTTTAATTAGATCCCATTTGTCAATTTTAGCTTTTGTTGCCATTGCTTTTGGTGTTTTAGACATGAAGTCCTTGCCCATGCCTATGTCCTGAATGGTATTGCCTAGGTTTTCTTCTAGGGTTTTTATGGTTTTAGGTCTAACATTTAAGTCTTTAATCCATCTAGAATTAATTTTTGTATAAGGTGTAAGGAAGGGATCCAGTTTCAGCTTTCTACATATGGCTAGCCAGTTTTCCCAGCACCATTTATTAAATAGGGAATCCTTTCCCCATTTCTTGTTTTTGTCAGGTTTGTCAAAGATCAGATGGTTGTAGATGTGTGGTATTATTTCTGAGGGCTCTGTTCTGTTCCATTGGTCTATATCTCTGTTTTGGTACCAGTACCATGCTGTTTTGGTTACTGTAGCCTTGTAGTATAGTTTGTAGTCAGATAGCATGGTGCCTCCAGCTTTGTTCTTTTGGCTTAGGATTGACTTGGCAATGAGGGCTCTTTTTTAGTTCCATATGAACTTTAAAGTAGTTTTTTCCAATTCTGTGAAGAAAATCATTGGTAGCTTGATGGGGATGGCACTGAATCTATAAATTACCTTGGGCGGTATGGCCATTTTCACAATGATTCTTCCTATCCATGAGCATGGAATGTTCTTCCATTTGTTTGTGTCCTCTTTTATTTCGTTGAGCAGTGGTTTGTAGTTCTCCTTGAAGAGGTCCTTCACATCCCTTTTAAGTGGGATTCCTAGGTATTTTATCTCTTTGAAGCAATTGTGAATGGGAGTTCACTCATGATTTGGCTCTCTGTCTGTTATTGGTGTATAAGAATGCTTGTGATTTTTGCACATTGATTTTGTATCCTGAGACTTTGCTGAAGTTGCTTATCGGCTTAAGGAGATTTTGGGCTTCTTTTGCTGTTTTTAGAATTCTCTGTTTTTGACTTTTGACAGTTTGACTATCATTTGTCTCTGGGAAGACCTCTTTAGATTGAATCTATTTGGGACTCCTTGAGTTTCCAGCTTCCAAATGTCTATGTCTCTAGCAAGACCTGGGAAGTTTTCAGCTATTATTTCATTAAATAGGCTGTCTATACCTTTGCCCATTTCTTCTCCTGGAACTCCCCAAATTTGAATTTTTGTTCTTTTGTGTCCCATATGTCACATGGCTTGCTTTATTGTTTTTTATGTCTTATTTCAAAAAACATGTCTTCAGTTCAGAAATTCTTTCTTCTGCTTTATCTTGTCTTATTATGTTGTCTTCAATAAGATGAGGTTATGTACGTTGTAGTCGGACTTCACTGGGGATAGGGAAACCAGGTGAGCCAGTCAGTCCTCTAGCACCAGTGGCAGCAGCAGAAGGGTAGGTGGGCCAGTCCTCAGTCGCCTGGGTGGTGTACTTCATGTGGCAGGCTCAAGTGCTGGCAGTGGTTGTGGCAGGTCAGGCAGGCAGGTCCTCAGGGCCCTGGGTAGCACTTGTGGTATTGGCTGTGGCAGTAATGTCAACAGGCTGGCCCTCAGGCCCCTGGGTGGTATGCATGAGTGCCAGCGGAGGTGCCAATGGGCTAGTCAGCCCAGTCTCCAGGCTCCTAGGTGGCATGCATGGGTGGGTGTTGGCAATGGCAGTGATGGGTGGGTTGGGCCTGTCCTTAGGTCCCCAGAGGTGCATGCAGGCGCTGGCAGCATGAGTGGACTTGGCAGGTCTGTCCTCACACCCTTGGATAGTGTGTGAGGGAGGATTGTTCCTTAGGCCTCTTCACAGCATGTACAGGTATGAGGTGGCCCTGCTGCTGGAAGGGCAGGATTGCAGTTGGTGGCAGCAGTCTCAGGAAGTCAGCTGCCAAGCTGCAGGGAATGTACACTTTGGCCCTCTTTGTCCTTGGGGCAGCCTCCCTGATGTGCTTCACCACCTATTCTCTAGGGTGTAGGTTACCTTGTGGGCTAGAGTGCTGAGGAACTGGCCATAGCACTGGGTCCAGCTGGCATTGCAATGCTGCAGCCCTCTAGGTGGTGGTGGGAGGATGTCAGTGGGGCTCCAGGAATGTGGAGATGCAGGGGCTGTTGAGTCCCAGGGAGGATGTAGTCTGGTGGGGACTGAGCTCTCAAAATGGCACCATGCTGCAGTTGCTTGGGTGTTGGCGGTCAGTGGGATCCAGTGTGAATTCCCTTTCTTGAACAATGCAGTTTTGTGAACTCCAAGCAGCAACCTATACTAGGCTCAGGGCCTGTTAGGGCCAAGGGGCTCTCTGGTGGCTAGGACTGCAGGCATCCCTGGTGGGAATGTGGACTATTGGGAATCTCCCCCTTACCTTTTCCTAGTAATGGCAAGTTCCTTCCAGCTCTGAGCCAATTCCAGCTGGGCTGGGTGCTTCTTTGTTTCTCTCTCCTTCTTTACCTCAGAGGTGCCCTGTCACTTTCCTGGTGAATTCTAGTGTTCTCTCTGTCTACTTGATGTGTGGTTATCTATTTGCTGCTTTGGTCCCACTTAGTGGAGGAGGTGAGTGCCAGGCACCTCATCAGCCATGTTGGTTACATCTTGCCTAAAAGAACTTGACACAGATCTTAAAAGGAACTTATGGGCTAATACCACTGATTGAAAAAAAAAAAAGATGCAAACCCCTCAAATATTAGCAAATCAAATCCAGGAATACACATTTAAAAACACTTCACAATCAGCCGGGCACATTGGCTCATGCCTGTAATCCCACCACTTTGGGAGGCCAAGGCTGGCAGATCATTTGAGATCAGCAGTTCAAGACCAGCTGGGCCAACATACTGAAACCATGTCTCTACTAAAAATACAAAAATACAAAAATAAATAAATAAATAAATAAATAAAAAATAAGCCAGGCTTGGTGGCAGTTACCTGTAATCCCAGCTATTTGGGAGGCTGAGGCAGGAGAATCACTTGAACCCAGGAGATGGAAGTTGCAGTGAGCTGAGATTACGCCACTGCACTCTAGCCTAGGGGACAAAGCAAGACTCCTTCTTGAAGAAACAAACAACAACAAAAAATTACAATCAATTTGGCTCATTGCTGGAATGCAAACTTCATTTAATATTGAAACATGACTCACCAAATGAGAAAAACCTTATGATCATTGGAATAAAATGCAGAAAAATCATCTGATAAATTTCCACATCCATTAATAATTTTTTAAAAAGTCCCTTAGCAAATTAGAAAGCTAAGGTAGCTTCTTTAGTCTGATAAAAGAGATCCACCCAGGTATTAAGCCCAGTACTCAATAGCTATCTTTTCTGCTTCTGGGCTTAATACCTGGGTGATGAAATAATCTGTACAACAAAACTGTGACACAAGTTTACCTATGTTACAAGCCTTCGCATGTACCCCCAAACCTAAAAGTAAAAAAAAAAAATTTAAAAAGAGAAAAATAGGAACACAAAAATGCAGTATTAAAACATAACTGCATAAAATTAACTGTAGTACATGACATACTACTTTAATAATTTCGTAGCCACCTCTCATTGCTATTGTGAGTTCAAGTGTTGCCAATATCTGCTTAAAGTGCTGTGTGATGCTAATCATCTCCGTGTGGGTAGTTCGTGTCTCTACTAAATTATGTATCATGGTGAAAAAAAAAAATCCACAAAAAAAAAAATCAACAGTATTTTTAGGTGATACATACAAAATCAAAATAATTTATACAGGCCGGGCTCAGTGGCTCATGCCTGTAATCCCAACACTTTGGGAGGCCAAGGCGGACAGACTGCTTGAGTCCAGAAGTTTGAGGCCAACCTGGGCAACATGGTAAACCTCCGTCTCTTAAAACAAACAAACAAACAAACAAAAATTAGCTGCGTGTGGTGGTGCATGCCTGTGGCCCCAGCTATTCAGGAGGCTGAGGTCGGAGGACCACCTAAGCCCAGGAGACAGAGGTTGCAGTGAGCCGAGAGTACGCCACTGCACTCCAGCCTGGGTGACATAGTGAGACCCTGTCTCAAGAAAAAAAAAAAAAATTCATACAAATAAATTGTTAGGATTAATTAGAAAGTTTATAAGTCTGCTAAATACAAACATCAAATGTATTTGTGGACCTTTGCTCTGGAACTTTATGAAAATACAGGTTTGGCTGGGTGCGGTGGCTCATGCCTATAATCCCAGCACTTTGGGAGGCTGAGGTAGGTGGATCACCTGAGGTCAGGAGTTCGAGACCAGCCTGACCAATATGGTGAAACCCTGTCTTTATTAAAAATACAAAAATTAGCTGGACATGGTGGTGCATACCTGTAGTCCCAGCTAAACTCGGGAGGTTGAGACATAATTGCTTGAACCTGGGAGGTGGAGGTTGAAGTGAATCGAGATCACACCACTGCACTCCAGCCTGGGCAACAAAGCGAGACTCCATCTCAAAAAATAAATAAATAAATAAATTAAATTAAATACAGGTTTGGGGGCTCCACCCCCATTTCTAAATCAGTAGCTCCAGGGCAGGGCTCAAGGATGTGCATTTCTTTTTTTTTTCTTTTTTTGAGATGGAGTCTCACTCTGTTACCCAGGCTGGAGTGCAGTGGTGTGATCTCGGCTACTGCAACCTCCGCCTCCTGGGTTCAAGTGATTCTCCTACCTCAGCCTTTCGAGTAGCTGGGATTACAGGAGCCAGCCACCATGCCCAGCTAATTTTTGTGTTTTTAGTAGATACAGGTTTCACCATGTTGGCCAGGCTAATCTTGAACTCCTGACCTCAGGTGATTCCCCGGCCTCGCCCTCCCAAAATGCTGGGATTACAGGTGTGAGCTGCCAGGCCCCACCAAGAATCTGCATTTCTATGGGTACAAAAAAAATAGTAAGAATGAATAAGATCTAGTATTTGATAGCACAACAGAGTAACTATAGTCGATAATTTAATTATAGATCTTAAAATAACTAAAAGAGTATAACTGGATTGTTTCTAATACAAAGGATAAATGCTTGAGGTAATGGATACCCCAATTACCCTGATGCGATAATTACATGTTATATGCCTGTATCAAAATATTCCATGTACCCCATATATATATCTACTATGTACTCACAAAAATTAAAAATTAAGAATTTGCATTTTTAACCAGTTCTCTCTGGTGATGCTGATGCTCCTCATCAGGGGACCACACTTGGAGAATGATTGCTATAGATTAACAACAATGAAACTTACAATAAAGTCACTTACCCAGGAATCTAACAAACGATGCATAATATGTAAACACAGAATACTATAAATCATTGCGGATATAAATGAAAGATAATCTAAATAAATGGGTACTCCACTTACATATTTTGGAAAACTCAATATTCTGGAGATGTCAATTTGTCTCAACCTTGTCTATAGCTTAATGCAATTTGATTCAAAATTTCCATAGATTTCTATTTGTGGAACCCAATAAATCTGAAATGTATACTGAGGCATTGTGAGTAAAGAGCACAGATAATTAAAATAGGCTTCTTACTTTCTGGGTTTGAATACTGGCTCCATCAACTACTCTGTGACTATGGTCACGTTACTTAACCCTTCAAAGAAAACAGGAAAGATACAATTTGGTGCCCATATGGGAAAAACAGTTGACTTGAACTTCACTGATTTGGCATGTATTTATCAAGGCCCTCCTTTTGGCTGAGGAGACCCCTCTGGAAAGAATGGTATCCATTTCTTCCTGGCAGTGTTCACCATTCTCCAAACCACTGACCTGCGGCCTGGTTCATGAAATGGTGGGTGGCTACTAGACAAAGATCTCTGAACAAACCTGTCCTTCCATAGTTCTATTCCTGGAAGTCTCAGTGAGTCTACACCAGCCCTGGAAATGAGGAATTCAGGGGCCAACTCCCATCCTCAGCTGAGTTATTTCCAAGGAACTGGACTGCTCCAGCATCTGCCCCATGAACAAGAGCTCCAAAGCAGCAGAGTCTGGCCTTGGCTCAGTGCCAAGTAACTACCCAGACTTCAGGACACCTCCCATATGCATGGCTCCTTACCTCAGGCTCCCACCAAAGTCCAGGGGGCCTCCTATACCATGCCTGATGAGGCTGGGAAACAAGGGGAGAAGTCAGGGAAGAGGCCATAATAAGCCTTAGCCTATTCCTGAGGTTGGTTTGTCTACTGACTTGGCCATTTCTTGGAGTTCCAGTGCCAAGTTCCAAAGGCCCAGTCTACCCATAAAGAAGAGGCTCACCCATTCCAAGAGCAGCCGAAACCAGCTCACTCATTTATTTGACTGAGAACATTAAGAAGGACAACAAAATTAAACATTCTTTAATAAAATTCCTATAGAAAGCTCAGTCATAGGGCAAATACTCAGTTCTCTTTCCCATATCACCGAGGATTGAGAGCTCCCAATATTCTTTGGAGAATAAGCAGTAGTTTTGCTGGATGTTGCCAGGACTCAGAGAGATCACCCATTTACACATTCAAACCAGTAGTTCCTATTGCACATATTAACATTACTTGCCCCTAGCACCCTAAATATATGGTACCTCAACAAATAACTTAAAGATTTCCGTGTGGCGTGAAACCATTTCAATTTGAACTAATATCCTTGAAAAAAATCACATTATTACAAGTTTTAATAAATACAGTAAGAAGAGCTGGCATTTTTCTAAAATACTGAATTTCAGATCTGGAGTTTATTCCATAAATAGGTTTCTTTTCATTTGCTTGCTTTCTTGGATACATTTGCTCAAGTATTATTCTCTATGAAGTGAACTCTTTCATAGATACCATATAAAAACTGTATTAATATGTGCCTCATTATAGAAGCAGCTGGAAGAACTGGATCACACAGTTACCTAACTGAAAAGTAACTTAGGAAAAAGCTCTGCTTTTTGTAAAACTTTAAATCACAGGCTGAAGAATACCAAAGAAACATTTATATAGAACTCCCACTAGAAATTTTATAAATATATATGTAGCATATTTATATATATTATATTTGCCTCACCAGTAGATTTTCAGCAAGTCTGGCTGGAATGATGCTATCATGGAAATAAATATTAACAAAAGAATTAATGAGTATCCACAGGTTTACAAGATTTCTTCTGGAAAATAATCATAAATTCAAATTATATTATAATTTGCAGTTTACACAATTTTAAAAGGGAAGAAAGATGCCTTTCTTTTTAGCTTCATTTGGACAGTAAGAACAGCCACCAACCCCCAGGTGTGGAAAAGTTGTTGGCTGAGTGACAATACTTGGTCACAACATTGAAAAGAAGTATTTACACCATTCTGGGAAGTACCAAATATTAGAAAAAACAAACAAAAACGGAAACAATCCCTAGTAGCATTCCTTGGCGTGCAAAGTCAGCAGGAAATGATTATCCATTGACAGTTTTCATGATAAGTCTTGGAAGCATTCAAAAAGCAGAGGGAATCATCGGGGATTGTTCAGATTAGGTTCTGTGGGATGCCTTGTTCTTAATTTAACTCTGAGTTCCAGGATTTCATTCCCTTTATAACATCTCTAACAGGGTCATGTTCAATTTAGTGCAAGTGCAAAATGAAAATGAAATGAAACCAACAAATACATTAGGAGCGAAGGCTGATCGTTAAGATCTGTAGTCTTTCCGAACTGTGTGGGCCATCCAGTTCACTTTAGTAGTCCAGCTTTCCCTGAGCGCCTCATCAAATTTTTGCTTAAACTGTTTGAGTGCTTCTTCTTCACTCTTCCCTAATGCAAGAGAGTCCTAAAATGGAAGGGGGAAAATATGATTTTATATAACTTTAGTAGAGATGTGCAAATATCAAAGTCTGCAGGAGGCTGGATTGGTTGTGCCTCCCCAGCCACCATCAGGCAGCATGCTTCATGTTCTTATTTAAATATCATCTGCAGGAGGCAGAACCCCAAGATAGGGAGATAATATGACTTCTTCCAAAAGGTTTTTGAAGATGAAAATAATTTATAATTACTGCAGGATGCACAGCTGCTTGCCACTACCACCCAAATCCAGTAAGATGACTCAAGACCTACTAAGATCCTGGCAAGAAAAAGGCAGACTGTGGAAAATCAAGGTGGCAACCCGCTCCTGATCTGCGGTCTTTCAGTAATGTGAGTAAGAAGGCTACAGCCCAATACCAGTCTTCTTTACGCCCCTTCTACTGATGGGAAAATCTTCTGGGTTACAAGCTACTCTACAAAATTCCTCCTTTATGTACTTCCCAGATTCTTTCCCTCCTGGCTAAGAACCATCTTAGAGGAAATGACTTTGTTCTACTTCCTTCAGCCACTTGAATAAAACAGGCAGCTAAAACTGAGCTCAATGCCCACAAAGTCCAAGAGAGAAGGAAAAGTGGTTTTATACCTTAAGATACTGTATATCTTTGACTGATGTGAGTTCAGGAAGCCCTGCAGTCAACATCAGCGCAAAGAGAGTGATGAAGAGATTCCCATGCCGTCGTAAAATCAGATATGCATCCTCACAACACTGGCGGAACCTTTGGGTGATGCAGCAAACCACATGAGCACAGTGTTAGAGGGGAGAGAGCACATTTCATACAGGAAATTAAGAAAACACAGCTAGACTTTCTATTAGAATAAGAAAATTCCTACTGAACTAAAGGTTCATTTCTGATTTTTACTTCTGCGAAAATTGTCCCAGGACTAAAATCTACATAAAACAATCAATCTCTCTAACATCACAGATATATTTTTCAAAAACAAAACTAAATAGAAATTCTATGACGAAAGGCTATTACATTTTTAATAATAATCTAGACTTTTTAATTCTATGAGACACAAGAACTGATTATTAAATCAGTTATAATTATAATCCACAAGGATTTCTGAACATACTTCTGGGTTCTATATTTGTGGTCTGATTCCAGAAACTAATTTTTTAAAAGTCCCCTCAATCAGTGTCAGTGCTTTTGCTCCTTCCTGTCATCCTGCCTTCCCTCTCTCTCCTCTTCAAGATGGTCCCTCAAGAAGATCATCCAATGTTTTTTTTTTGAGATGGAACCTTGCTCTGTCTCCCAGGCTGGAGTGCAGTGGCGTGATCTTGGCTCACTGCAACTTCTGCCTCCCAGGTTCAAGCAATTCTGCCTCAGCCTCCTGAGTAGCTGAGATTACAGGCGTGTGCCACCACACCTGGCTACTTTTTGTATTTTTAGTAGAGACGGGGTTTCACCATGTTGGTCAGGCTGGTCTCAAACTCCGACCTCCAGTGATCTGTGTGCCTTGGCCTCCCAAAGTGCTGAGATTACAGGCATGACCTACCGCGCCAGGCTGAGGACCATCCAATCGTATCCCCTTATTTTGCCAAAGAGAAAACTAGACCCACTGAGGTATATTCTGCAGAAACCCAAACAGAACTATAAAGGATAGTGACAATGATTTGTTAAGTATGTGTTGGTTACATGATATGTCTCTAACCATCATAGTAGCCCTTAATTTCATATTTTTGTCCCCATTTTAAGATGATACAAAGGCAAAAAGACAAGTATTATGCTTGGGAACATGTAGGTAGCCAGTAATAGATCAGAGATTAAAAAATTTGCCCTGAATTCTAGTTCCCTTACTGTACTCCATACACAATGACAGCAGATGTCTTTTCAGCATCTTCCTATCAACTGTCTTAATAGTTTCAGAGAATGTTCTGAAACAGGTAAAAGGTAGTATATTATTGGAATAAAATATAATAATTATTTTAAATTTCTAGCATTCTGTTTCTCCTATCTGGGAATTTCTGAACCAGCACAATAATCTGACAGGCAAATTCCCCCAAAAGCTTCCTATAATCAGACTGAATATCTCCCAGATCCAAATATATCTCAGCTAAGAAATGCTGGTCCACCTGGTCAGATAAGAAAATGTTAGAAGTGTTCAGCCTTGGCACAAGGGCAGTACTCACCGGCCAAACTTTTCTGTATTTCCTGTTTTTCCTTGTTGAATGACATGGATGAAATCATAGGTAAGAATAAAAGGCACTCGCTCCCTTTTAATGCCAAACTTAGATTTGAAATTTCCAAGAATATGTCCAAAGTCAATGTGGAAGAGCTGGAAAACAAATGGGATTTAATTTCCTTCATTTTTCTGGTGGGTTCCAAATATAAAGGCAAAACCTCCATAGTCCTAGACCCCCAGGAACTATACCCATCCACATCTGAGCCCTTCTCCCTCTGTTTATAGCCCACTGAGCCAGGTGAGAAGAGACCATATCTAACACTCTTAAGACTTTTACAATCAATAATAAATAACCCTGATATTAAACTGTAGATATCTAGTGGAAAAGGAGACGCTTTAGAAAGAAAAATACATCCAAAGAATTAAAATGTCTGATTTTTAAAAAGTCAAATAGTTCTATAAAACATAACAAGAAAAGAGTACAGGTTGGTTGTGGTGGCTCATGTCTGCAATCCCAGCACTTTGGGAAGCTGAGGCAGGAGGATCACTTGAAACCAGGAGTTCAAGGCCAGCCTAGGCAACATAGCGAGACCCCATCTCTACAAATGAAGGAAAAAATTAGTCAGGCATAGTGGCACACACCTGTGGTCCCAGCTACTCAGGGGGGTGAGGTGGGGGAATTGCTTGAGCCTAGGAGGTCGAGGCTGCAATGGGCCATGATGATGCCACTACGCTCTTGCCTGGGTGACAGAGTAAGACCCTGTCTCAACAACAACAACAACAACAAAAAAGTACATCCTTGCCCTACTAGCTCCCCACATTGAGTGCTACTCTTTAGAGGTAACTTCTTACTCTTCTCACTAGGTGTTTTTCCTGGTGTCTGCCTCCATTTTTCTAAATAATATGTTTATATTTATTTTTGCTCCCTAATTGTATATTACTATTCTTATTATGGAAGATAAAGATTTAGTACTTTTATGCTAACATAATGCTACACACTGTGGCACATTATGTCATAATTTCTGGTTACATCAATATTCAGTGTTTTTATTTTTCACATGTTCACCTTTTTTCCTTTAGAAAACTGTACGCATGTATTCATTCATTCATTTAGCTTAGTGTTCTATGACCTTAGCATTAATTCTTCCCAAACTCTCCTTAAAAATCTACAAATCAAACAACAACAAATCTACAAATCATTTTCAAAACTGTTTTCCAGACAGTCAGGTAATCTACTGGTTTCTAGCTGGGCTGGTTGTTCTCCGGTGTTGCTGCAGAGCCATCATCCTGGGCCTTCCCTTTCCTCTTCTCCCATTTGGAGCCCGTTTTGTGTCCCACATCACATTCTCTTTTGGTTGAGACCAGGGTTTCTCAATACTGGCACACACTGACATAGGCCATATAATTCTTTGATATGGGGTTCTGTCCTGTATGGGTGTTTAGCAGCATCCCTGGCCTCTATCCACTGGACTACCCCACCCCCCAGTTATGACAACTAAAACTGTTTTCATATATTAACAAATGTCCCCTGAGTGAAAAATCACCCCACTTGATAATTATTGGTTTAGGCACTTGTTTTGGTAGATGTCCTTATTCTGGCAGCCTCTGAGAAAAGATGCAGAGGAGTGACAAGTTTTGTGACCCTGCAAGTTGGAAAAATGTCTTCATTCTACCCTTTATACTTGACTGGGCGTGGTGGCGCATGCCTGTGGTCCCCCAGCTGCCTGGGGAGGCTGAGGCAGGAGAATCACTTGAACCCAGGAGGCGGAGGCTGCAGTGAGCCGGGATCACGCCACTGCACTCCAGCCTGGGCGACAGAGCAAGTCTCCATCTCAGAAAAAAAAAAAAAAGTTTGGTTATCGAATTTTAGGTTAGAAATCATTTTCCCTCAAAATTATGAAGGCTAACGTGCACTGTCTTATAATTGCCAATGTAGCTATTGAGGAGCCAAGTCATTTTGACTTCTAAACTCTGGTATGTGGCCTGCTGTGTCTCTGCGAAAGTTTTAAGACTTTCTCTTTACGTCTGATGCACTGAAATTTCATAGTGCAGGTACTTAGTAAGGGTGTTTTTCTTCCATTCTCAGAAAATTTTTGTGCTATTTTGACTGGATATTCATGAACATTGGCTCTGGGAAATGTCTTAGTATATTATTTGCTTAGTAAGTGCCCTTCTTTCCTCTTCTTTTTTTTTTTTTTTTTTTTTTTTTTTGAGACGGAGTCTTGCTCTGTCGCCCAGGCTAGAGTGCAGTGGCGTGATTTCAGCTTACTGCAAGCTCCACCTCCCAGGTTCACGCCATTCTCCTTCTTTCTGGAATATCCATTAGGCTGAGAGTATACCTCCCTGGACTGAGTCTCTATTGTTTCTGGATCTTCTCTCTATTTATCATATTTTTTGGAGATATTAAGGCATGGTGGATTAAAAAAAAAGAATATGAGCCAAACTGCCAGGGTTAAAATCCTGATATGTCTACTCTCTGTTGCCTTAATATCCTCACTTGTAAAATGGGGCTATTGCCGCCACTCTATAAGGTTGTCATCAGGCCTGAAGGCATTAGATTATATATAAAGCACTTACAACTATGCCTGCCACAAAATATTTACACTATTTCTATTTTAACTTTTTGTTTGTTCCTATTTCTAATTTTCAAGACCTCTATGTGCTGATTGTAAAAAACAGAATCCTATTATTACTTTAAAGATACAATATATTTTTTTGCTTTGATTTTTAAAATCACCCTCTGTTTACTGCAGTTACCCTGTTTTCCCAGAGTTCTTTTCTTTTCTTCCCTATTTTGCTTATTTGGTTTCTATCTTTCATGGTAGAGGTTTCCCTTAAATGTCTGCTAATCCAGTAGAGAGTAGAATGGTGGCTGCAGGTGCTGGGGAGATACTGGTCAAATAATACAAAATTTCACTTAGGAGGAATAAGTTCAACAGATCTGTCTTACAACATGGCAACTATAGTTAACAACAATATATTGTATTCCTGAAAACTGCTGAAAGACTAGGTTTTAAATGTTATCATCACAAAAAAAGATAAGTATGTGAGGTAACACACAGGTCAGCTCAATTTATCAAGTCCACAATGAAGACATACTTCAAAACAATATGTCGTACATGATAAACATATTCAATTTTTGTCATTTTTTAAAAGTATATTAATCCTTAGCTGACCATTCATATTTAACAATGAATCACTAAAAAGCTGAATGAAAATTCTATGTACATGGTAGGCTTGCTTGTTGATTGGTGGACTTCCTTGTATAGAAACTAGGGAGAAATCTCAACTGTCAGATCTGCAGGACTTTTCAATGGAACCAATCAGATTTCTAGAATAGAATCACCTAGTCTTTTGATGAGGGTCAACTATACATCTGGCTGCCACTGTTCTTAGAATAAAGCAAGTGGAAGTGGCTGCAGATTGTACCATTTACTACGCCGACTTTCACTCCATCTCCATTTTTAATATGGGACCCTTTCTTGTAGTCTCTGTAGAAATAAGTGTGCTTGAGTCAGAACCAGTTTCTTCAGAGAATAAATCTATCTCCTTCTTGGCATAGGGAAGGGGACTTGAGTGCCTAACTGTTCCATATATAAGCTGCCAACTAGTTCTGTTTCAGCCTCTTTCTGTATCCCTCCTTGAACAGTATACATGGTGCCTCTGATTCCAGAGCTTTTATGGGACTTGCGTACCCCTTTACAAGTACTGACTTTCTATTTTCTCAGTTCTGCTAAGTCACTGCCACTTCTCTATCTCACTTTCTATCACCCCGAAGTCTGGTAATAGGTTTCACCCACTGTGGCCTATTTTCCTATCATCTTTGACTTCTTGAGTTTATATATTTCTTAATTCCTTATTATTGTTTTAGAGGTGTAAAAGAAGAAAATGGAGATAAATCTAAGTGTTTAATGTGATTGGACGGAAGTCCAAGGGACTCCTTTTAAGTATGGACACGAGATTCCTCAATCGTACATGGTGCATTCATGTATTATAGTGCATTACAAATTCATTCCACATCAACTCTCAAAGCCCAAGCCAGAACTAATCCAGATTTCCAAGGAGATACAAAACTGTGGGTCCCTCATAGAACCAAAGTTCACACAGTGACCCAGAGAGATTTTCATTCTAGTATGCCTCTAATGTGGGAATTCCTAGGGGGGCTAAACTGAAAAATTATCTAAGATATCTCATCTGTTTTTGCTTAACATAAAAAGTGTTTACAAATATGTCACTCTGAAAAATGAAATTTTCATTTGAAAACTTAAGTACTTTATAAACAACATGGTCTAGATTCCCTAGGTACCCCAGAATGCTATTACTCACACGACTGTTCTCCCTTCTCCCATATATAATTAGGTATGATGTTCTAAAAGAGAAAATAACTCAAGTGGGGTTCATCCCAACTTTTTTTTTTTAGCATTGGTAATCTTTTTTTTTTTTTTTATTTTAAGTTTTAGGGTACATGTGCACAATGTGCCGGTTAGTTACATATGTATACATGTGCCATGCTGGTGTGCTGTACCCATTAACTCGTCCTTTAGCATTAGGTATATCTCCTAATGCTATCCCTCCCCGCTCCCCCCACCCCGCAACAGTCCCCAGAGTGTGATGTTCCCCTTCCTGTGTCCATGTGTTCTCATTGTTCAATTCCCATCTATGAGTGAGAACATGCGGTGTTTGGTTTTTTGTCCTTGTGATAGTTTACTGAGAATGATGATTTCCAATTTCATCCATGTCCCTACAAAGGACATGAACTCATCCTTTTTTATGGCTGCATAGTATTCCATGGTATATATGTGCCACATTTTCTTAATCCAGTCTATCATTGTTGGACATTTGGGTTGGTTCCAAGTCTTTGCTATTGTGAATAGTGCCGCAATAAACATACGTGTGCATGTGTCTTTATAGCAGCATGATTTATAGTCCTTTGGGTATATACCCAGTAATGGGATGGCTGGGTCAAATGGTATTTCTAGTTCTAGATCCCTGAGGAATCGCCACACTGACTTCCACAATGGTTGAACTAGTTTACAGTCCCACCAACAATGTAAAAGTGTTCCTATTTCTCCACATCCTCTCCAGCACCTGTTGTTTCCTGACTTTTTAATGATTGCCATTCTAACTGGTGTGAGATGGTATCCCACTGTGGTTTTGATTTGCATTTCTCTGATGGCCAGTGATGATGAGCATTTTTTCATGTGTCTGTTGGCTGCATAAATGTCTTCTTTTGGATTAAAGACTTAAACGTTAGACCTAAAACCATAAAAACCCTAGAAGAAAACTTAGGCATTACCATTCAGGACATAGGCATGGGCAAGGACTTCATGTCTAAAACACTAAAAGCAATGGCAACAAAAGCCAAAATTGACAAATGGGATCTAATTAAACTAAAGAGCTTCTGCACAGCAAAAGAAACTACCATCAGAGTGAACAGGCAACCTACAAAATGGGAGAAAATTTTCGCAACCTACTCATCTGACAAATGGCTAATGTCCAGAATCTACAATGAACTCAAACAAATTTACAAGAAAAAAACAAACAACCCCATCAAAAAGTGGGCAAAGGATATGAATAGCATTGGTAATCTTTAAATTTAATACATCCAGTACATTATCCGCTCCTTCTGTTAGGTACAAATGTATCCCAAATACTATTTCTTATATTGAAGAACAGGCCACTTTAACTACAAAAATTTTTTCAATAATTTTTTTTTGAGATGGAGTTTCACTCTTGTTGCCCAGGCTGGAGCACAGTGAGGCGATCTCGGCTCACTGCAACCTCCGCCTCCCAGGTTCAAGTGATTCTCCTGCCTCAGTCTCCCAAGTAGCTGGGATTACAGGCGCCTGCCACCATGCCTGGCTAATTTTTATATTTTTAGTAGAGACGGGGTTTCGCCATGTTGACCAGGCTGGTCTCAAACTCCTGACCTCAGGTAATCCGGCCGGCTCGGGATCCCAAAGTGCTGGGATTACAGGCGTGAGCCACCACACACAGCCTTTAGTAATTTTTTAAACAAATAAATGCTTACCATCAAGCAAGCAAACAAATGAATACATGTAGTAGACTATATATGAAACGAGAGGTAGTGAGAAATTGAAGTAAAGACAAAGATATGACACTAAGAATCACAAAAGAATCTGGCTGAGTTGCACAAGAGATTATGCTATACATAAGAAATAGCATTACTAAGGCCCTTGGCAGATCCTGAGGAGCAGCTCACCTGGCCAGTTTTTTTGACCATGATGTTGTCACTATGTCTGTCACCAATCCCAAGGACATAAGAAGCTACACAGTAGCCAGCACAGGACAGTGTAAATTCCTCAATGGCTCGGTCCAGGTCATCCCTGAACAAGAGAAAAGAACAGAAGCAAAAAAGGTTTTCAGCCTCCAAGCGTGTAGAGTGAGACCCAAACCATACCTCTGTTTCCTTTTTAATTGTGAGGAGAACACAGAGCTGCCAAAACCGTATGAGAGAACATGTGGATCAGCCAAGGGGAGTGTGGGTGGTCTTCACAGGGGCTGGGCTGAGAGAGCTGCCTTCAAAGACATTAAATAACTGGGCCTTAGATATTCAAACGTCCTGGGAGCTGTGTTTCGGTGGGGCTGTGAGTAGACTAATGTTCACAGTACTTAGAAGAGACCATGGCTTTGCTAGATCATGCTAGGGGTTGGGCACATTTTAGTTAGTTTTGACCAAAGACTGACTACAATTTCATGTTTAAGAGTTAAGCACTGCAGTTTCAAACATTTAAGTCACTGATTTCAATTAGAAGTAAGTAATAGAGATTCCCTGGAGACAAGGCCTTAAGATCAAAATTTGGAAACTGATTTGCATATTACAAGTTCTCGATAAAATGTGTCTGACTCTGAAGTCTTTAGCCAAAAATACTTGCAGACCATTTCCCCCTCACACTGTGAAGTTCTTTTATTTCCTATATATTAGTGCTTTTCTAACACCATAGCCATAATTCCAAACATTGCATTTTTTAGTTTGGAGAAATCACAATCTACCAACTCATTAAAAACTCACTTAAGTTCATATATTCACATAATTAGAGAAGCTGATGCACTTGAACAAAGGCTTCAGTATGTTATCTTTAAATACTTAAATTCATAGATTGTAACTTTACTGCGGGGCTCCAAAATTTGATTTAGATAAAGTAGAATTCAACATTCACCATTTACAAGACTTTACGAAGGGCTATGTGTCATTTTGTTCTAACAAGAAATGAAGCAATAGATAAAAAACACTAATATTTCCTCTAACACACTGCTGACTTCTATTGGGAGCATACAGTATTTGTTTGGCTGTTTGTACAGAAAAATGATAATTAAACAGAATAAACTAACCCAGAGTTGTATTCTTTAAGCCAGTTCAGAAGGGCATCTTTGTTGAAGGCTGCTGCAGCAGCCACATTGCTACTGTTCAGCTGAATGTCAGCAATTGTTTCAGAGGTGCTCACAACTTCAATGAGGCCAGAGCGATCTCCTGTTGCTAAACAGCCATAAGGCAACATCCTGGAAGGAAAAAAATGGGCATAGAGTCATATTTTCCTTAAAATGAAACATTAATTTGGTAAGATTTTCCCTTTACTTTTTAAAAAAAGTTTTATTATTATTGATATACTTGCCATTACTATATTATTGTCATATGGAAAAACACAAGTTCCACCAAAGGAGTAAATCTCTTGGCCAACAGAAGGAGTAATTTACAAGGATTCCAATGTGCCAATTACATATAAAATTTTTTGTCTAATTATTCTGGTGAAACATTCTATTTGCTTGTGTAGGTGGACAGAAGTACATTGGATCAAAGTCTTTCACTCTTACTCTACATTTTGGGGAAATAAACTACTCTTTATGGAATACCCAGTAAGTGCCATGTGCCAGACTAGCCACTATACATATTATCTTGGTTAAGGGAAACTCCGTCCTTCTGGTGGCACCATCTCAGTTCATTACAGCCTCTACTTGCCAGCCTCCAGCCATCCTCTCACCTCAGCCTCCTGAGTAGCTGGGACTACAGGCATGTGCCACCACGCCGGGCTAATTTTTAAAAACTTTTTTTGACACAGGGTTTGGCCATGTTACCCAGGCTGCTCTTGAACTCCTGGGTTCAAGTGATCCTCTCACCCCAGCCTCCCAAAGTGCTGGGATTACAGGTGTGAGCCACCACATCAGAGCAGCAAAAGCAATACGACATCAATGGGTTTTCATGCTGACTTCTCATTTCTTGAGTTGAGATTTTACCTCCCCAATTAGATTGCAAACTCCTTGGAGACAGCAACTTTAACTGAAAAGAGGTGACTGGGTATTTACAAAGGACTAGTCATCTGTCAGAAAGGTAAGAATTGATATTCTAACTAGACCAATACATTCTGAAAAATAGATTATCAATTAAATGTTTTGCTCAATTAATAGGTGGCAGTTTGCTTTGATTTGCACTTATTTGATGCCTAGTAAAGATAATTATTCTCAGATCTCTTTTGGCCATTTTTTTTAAGAGTCAGTGTGTCTCTTTATTGCCCAGGCTGAGTGCAGTGACACGATCATAGCTCACCATAGCGTCAAATCCCTGGGCTCAAGGCAATCCTCCCTCCCTTGGCTCTAGAATAGCTGGGACTACAGGTGAGTGCCACTACGCCTGGCTAGTTTTTTTATTTTTTTGTTTTTTGTAGAGATGAGGTCTTGCTTTGTTGCTAAGCTTGTAACTCCTGGCTTCAAGTGATCCTACTGCCTTGGCCTCCTAAAGTGTTGGGATTACAGGCATGAACCATTGCACCTGGATCTTTTAAGCATTCTAAGATTTCTTTTGTGACTTAGCTATTTACATTCTTTGCCTATTTATTAGGGCTTTAGACATTTTCTTCAGTAACTTATATGAGCTCTTTGTATATTAATATTACCTTTTTCTCATTTTGGTTGCAAATATTTTCTCTAATTTCTATTATAATAAGAACACCAAAATGGAATGAGATATCTTGAAAGGTTCAAATAAAGATCAGGTAGCTACAGAAAATACAATGGATGGAATTCATGCACTCAGTAAATACTCGGGTACAGCTAACCAAGCATTGTGTTAGATCCTGGTGATACAGAAATAAGCAACAAACAAACAAGAAAACCAGAGCAGCAGTCCCTACACTCACTGAGCAAATGTACAATGTGCATGTGTGATCTCTGTATAAGGAAGAAGTGCCAGGAGAACATGGCAGGAGTCAAAAAAGACTTCCTGGCCGGGTGCGGTGGCTCACACCTGTAATCCCAGCACTTTGGGAGACCAACGTGGGTGGATCACAAGGTCAGGAGATCACGACCAGGTCAGCAGATCTGGCCAACATGGTGAAACCCTGTCTCTACTAAAAATACAAAAATTAGCTGGACGTGGTGGTGTGCTCCTATAGTCCCAGCTACTTGGGGGGCTGAGGCAGGAGAATCGCTTGAACCCAGGAGGCGGAGGTTGCAGTAAGCCGAGATTGCGCCACTGCACTCCAGCCTGGCGACAGAGCGAGACTCTGTCTCAAAAAAAAAAAAAAAAAAAAAAAGACTTCCATGTGGAGGAATGACAGCAGGGCTGGAGGAGAGCACAAGGGGGAGCACAACAGAAAGATGAGGAAGACACAGTAAGTGGTGAAAAGACCATGCAGGTTCCTGTTGGCCATGTAAGGACTTCTGTCATACTCCTAAAAGCACTGAGAAAGCTTCCGAAGGACTTTATGAGCGACAAAGAGAGGCTGTGTGTGTGTTGTGGGGAGGAGGGAGTATATGAGTGTGTTAGCATGTATCACAATCAGATAGTTTCTAAAATTAAACAGTTTCTAAAAGTCCTTCAAAAAAATTGAATTATTTTATGCTTTTTTATTTATTTTTATTTTATTTATTTATTTATTTTTTGAGACAGAGTCTCGCTCTGTCGCCCAGGCTGGAGTGCAGTGGCGCAATCTCGGCTCACTGCAAGCTCCACCTCCCGGGTTCACGTCATTATCCTGCCTCAGCCTCCCGAGTAGCTGGGACTACAGGCGCCTGCCACCATGTCTGGCTAATTTTTTTTTTTGTATTTTTAGTAGAGACGGGGTATGCTTTTTTAAAAGCACTTTTCATCCGGGCACGGTGGCTCATGCCTGTAATCCCAGCACTTTGGGTGGCCGAGGCAGGTGGATCACCTGAGATCAGGGGTTCGAGACCAGCCTGGCCAACAAGCTGAAACCCTGTGTCTACTAAAAATACAAAAAATTAGCCAGGCATGGTGGCAGGCACCTGTAATCCCAGCTACTCAGGAGGCTGAGGCAGGAGAATTGCTTGAACCCAGGAGGCGGAGGTTACAGCGAGCTGAGATTGCACCATTGCACTCCAGCCTGGGCAATAAGAGCAAAACTCCATCTCAGAAAAAAATAATAATAAAAGCACTTTTCTAGTTCTAGCAAAATGAGGTTGGGGGCAGAACTGTCAAAATACAAAATAAGAGAATGAAGCATTCTCCTAATGCAGCATTAATGTTTTTAATGAGACCCCTTATTCTTATCATGACATAACACATGTAAAGCAAACACTGCCAGGTTAAAGTGCACTTTCTCACTTTCCTGCATCTCCTCTCACTCCAGTTGCAGCCAAGGTAGGCAGAAGTCCAATAACTTCCTTTTCAAAAGCAGGCAACGATGAAAGCTTTCAGTGCCTTGAGGGTAGAATGTTCACAATGAGAAGGAAAAAACATCCTTCTCAGAGAGTTTGACAGAAGTCAAGCTGGGGACAAACTCTTGGAGCCCTAATCATCTCACCTAGGTACCCTCTGCACTCAACTTCTACACTTCTTACAAAGGCCAAGACTACAATTTCAGTAATGTTTACCCTCCTTTCTCAGACTCTCTGACTGAAGTAGCAATCTGTTACCTTTCACACTAAATCAAACATTTAAAAATGAAATAAATTCTACAACACGGGGATGGCAGCTCCATATCCTTACTCTAAACAGGTATATAGCAAGTTATCTGGCTTTAAAAATTTGTTTTACAACTTGTATATATTCATGGGGTAGAAGTACAATTTTGCTACATTGATATATTGCACTGTGGTGAAGTCAGGGCCTTCAGTGCATCCATCACTGTAGCAACACACATTGTACTCACCAAGCAACCTGCCATCAACCACCCATGCCATCCCTCTAAGTCCCCACTACCCATCAACCCACACCCTGCTTCTATGTGTATATATTATTTAGCTTCTACTTATGAGTGATATTATGTGGTATTTATCTTTCTTATCTCTGATTCTGACTCTGACACAATGACCAAAGTCTGAGTAGTACCTTAGCCATGGCTTCCAAAGGAGAAAAGTTTAAATCTTTTACCTAATGCTTGCATTATTTCCACCTTCTTCCTCCAACCCTCTGAGATGCTGACACCACTATCATTAAATAACTTTTGTATAGGTCTCTTAAAAGGGAAGTAGGCCAGGTGCGGTGGCTCACGCCTGTAATCCTAGCACTTTGGGAGGCCAAGGTGGGCGGACTGCTTGAGTCAAGGAGTTTAAGACCAGCCTGGGCAACATGGTGAAACTTTGTCTCTACAAAAAGTAAAAAAATTAGCCAGGTGTGATGACAGGTGCCTGTGGCAGCTACTCAGGAGGCTGAGATGGAAGATCACCTGAGCCCAAGGAGTTGAGGTTGCGGTGAACCATGATTGTGCTACTGCACTCCAGCTGGGGTGATACAGTGAGACCCTGTTTCAAAAAAAAAAAAAAAAAAAGGGGGGGGGGATGTAAAATGTAAACTCCATTAGTGTAATTCAGATATGAAGTCTTAATGGAGGCAACTGTCAAAAAATTGATTTCACATGTATTTGTTGGGGTAGAGTGGGGGTGTGCAGAGGACTGGCAAATCTACCCACGGCCAGATAGGTTTATATGTAGCCAGCCTATAAGATTTGCTTATTACTTCTTCACCAAAGGAGGTCAGGGAGTCCTAACACATCAATGTCTTATAAATGATCTAAGCTGACATGAAAGGTATCAAAAGAGTATTTTGGAACGTCATAGAAAAATGAAAATGAGCATTATGTATTTTCATTCATGCAAACATGGCACTGTTACAAGTACTAAAACAGTAATGTACAGAAGGTACCTCAAGATTTGGGATTGACCTTAAAAGAGTGTGTGCTACATGACCCACTTTAACCTAAACAGCTGGCCGAAAGAAAAAACAAACAAAATAGAAACATTGGAGCACATATATTTATAGAAACAGTAAAAAAGGTTTGGTGAGAAAAAGGTACCAGTTTGGAAATGAACTTAAAAAAAAATTAAAGTCCTTCATTTTTTAAAAACATGGGGTCAAAGTACAAAAAGTCAGCAAAGATCTCACTGGACAGACAAGTTCCTTTTTCTTCGCACAATGCTTCCCATCAGCTAGACACTAGGTTTATTTCCAGCACTCCCACATGTGGGTGCCTCCCATTGTCTGAGGTCACAATGAACTTCATTTGATGCTAAATGTGCTTTACATTTAGATAAATAAAATCAAAACTAAGAGAGAATAACTTGGTTGGGGTTTTCAATTAGGCTGATGGAACTAAGAATGCCAGGAAACAGTCTTTAGCTTAGCTTTTCATAACTAAATGAAGCTCATGATATGGCCTGAATCTACTAATTAGCAAAGGAGACCACTGTGTAGCTTCTGTGCTAACCTTGGAAAGAACAAATGAGTTACTAAACTTCAGCTTAAAGTTTCCCTCCTTTTTTGTGGGATCAGTCAAGTAAAAACATATTCCTGGGGGCTTACTTTATATAGGAGGAGTTGGTAAACTCTTCCCAGAATGAGCCAGATAATAAATATTTTAGGCACTACAGACTAAACACTCAACTCTGCAGTTGCAGCACAAAAGCAGCCATACATAATATGTAACCAAGTGGCTGTGTGCCAATAAAATTTCATTTACAAAAACAGGTAGCCCAGGTCCAACTGGGTTTATGGTCCTCAAGCAGACAGTTTATTCTAATGACCTATTCCTCTTATCTATGCAGTATACCTTATGAGTGTTTGAAAAACTAGCTACCTATTCAAAGCTACTAATTCTATTTTTACACAGCTGCATTAGAAATTCCTCCTAATTTAAAAGAAAAAAATCTGTCACCTGTAGTAGCCACAGTGTCCTTTTTAGATGAATTATGATCTCTTTTCTTTATTCTAATCACAGCTACAATCCCAAATTGCTCTTTCTACCTTTACACTACTGGAAAGTGTAACTTGGAAAAACCTAAAAATAAAAAATTATTTCTTTTTTTAAAAAAAAGGAAATTTAGGTATTTTAGGCACCATTATACTCTGATAAACAAAGAGTAGTACTAGACATGTCTTACCACATTATTTTCTCACTTAGCCAGACTGGTAAAATAATAAACAGGCATTAATTTAGAGTCTGACAGTCCTGGATTTGAATTTAGCTCTGCCATTTAATATTTCTGTAACCTTTGTTTAAAACCTCTAGCATTTTAATTTTTAATGTGTTAAAAAGAAATAACATAGCCCCATAGATATGTAAGCCTATACGATATTACTTACGAGAAGAACTTAATACAATGCCTGGTTCAGTCAATAAACAGCAAGGGTTGCAAGTTTTAAAAATATATATACACATATGTTTCATAATAACAGACTATAACTGAAACTTAAGAAATTAATCAGGAGATATTATAATCTTGCAGGAACAAAGTCGATCACACGTCTAACCGTTTCCAGCAACCTTGTAGACTAAGGTTGTTGCAGATACTAAATCACATTAAAAAAATGATGAAGTCCAAAGGTTTTATAAATAGGTGTGGTTAAAAAAGAAAGAAAAAAAGACCTCTAGGTTCCAAAAATAGAGATTTCTCACAGCAGTGGCTCAGGAAGTTAGACTTGGCTGACATTTCAATGCCCACCAAAAACAGTCACGGACTTAGGCCCATGAGGTAGGATCTGGACCCGACAAAGAACTGTTAGGAATAACACTCAAAATCCTAAGGAAACTGAACACTTGAACAAAGGATTCTTAGCAAAGCAATTTTACTTCTGCGTAGAGGGGTGCCTCCTTGGCCAGTTGCCATGAGAGCACACCTGAACAAAGGGGCACGACAGCCTTTATTCCTGACGCAAGTCCTGCCTCTGCATTCTTTCCCCATTGGCTGGGGTTGGGTTGTACAATCTAAACTAATCCTGGTTGGCTAAACATCTGAATTTTTTTAGATAGGGTGGGCACATGAAGAAAAAGTGGAGAGAAAGGGGAAGGGGTGTCTGTAATGAGCTAGAAAGTTAGTCCTCTTTCTAAATAAGGAAAGGAATGTGAGCTGGTACTGATAACGCTTGGTACTGTGGTGTGCCTGGGGATCTAACAAAGGCAAAAAGGAAAAAAAAGGAGAAAAAGGAGAAAAAAAGTGGGGGGGTTCTATAAATTAACGAACAAAAGATTGATCAGATTATTTGAAGAGGAACCTCATCATATCCCACACTACACAAAACTGAGGTCTGGGAGGACTGGAACTCGAAATATCTTTTCATTGATCAGATGATGTGGCATGAAAGTTTCCCATCTACCCCAGAAACTGGGTAGGCAAGAAAAAAAAAAAGTTTCATGTAAGTGCAAAACTTCAAGCCTTCCCACACTCTCTTATGAGATCTAAATATAAACTATCTATGAGGTGTGATGGTCTGAAGGCAGGGAGTTAACATAAAAACTGGCTGATTGTGTGTACAGGCCTTTGGCAACAGCTCAAACAAAATACAAACTCATTTTTAGAGATCCATTCACAACCCAGGGAGCAAAGGACCTTTACAGAAAACATAATTATCCATCAATAATGAATTCAAAACTGAGTATTATTAACTATATAAGGAAATGAATAAAGTCACGCAGATAAATGAAAAAGTAATATCCCAAGAACTAAAAAAGAACAATCTGAAAGAGACTTTAGGCTGGGCGTGGTGGCTCACGCCTGTAATCCCAGCACTTTGACCTGGGAGATGGAGCCAGGCGGATCACCTGAGGTCAACAGTTCAAGACCAGCCTGGCCAACATGGTGAAACCCTGCCTCTACTAAAAATACAAAAATTAGCCGGGCGTGGTGGTGGGTTCCTGTAATCCCAGCTACTGGGGAGGCTGAGGCAGGAGAATCGCTTGAACCTGGGAGGTGGAGATTGCAGTTAGCCAAGATCGTGCCACTGCACTCCAGCCTGGGTGACAGAGTGAGACTCCGTTGAAAAAAAAAAAAAAAAAAAAGAGAGAGAGAGAAAGAGATGAAAAAGAATAGAAAGTCTAAGCAGAAAAAAAATACAATACAGGAGAGTAAACATTGTTGCAGAGATAATGAACTGGAAAAGAATAGGAAATTACTAAGAAAGTCACATAAAGATATGAAAAGACTCAGCCTGGTCTCAACGCCAGAGCACACAGAGACTTGAGTAAAACTGTTATAATGATAAGATATGAAAAGATAGAAAATATGGAAGGTTAAGAGACATAAAGGAGAGAACAGGAAAGTTTAATATAAATCTACTAGAGCTGCAGAAAAAGACAATGAGAGTGGGAGAACTGCAATACTGAAGGAAATGTTCAAAGTTTTCAGAAACTAAAAGATGTGACTTCTTTGAAAAGGCACAATGAAAATGGTGATAAAAAAAAGAAATAAAAGAAATACACACGCACAGATTGTACTGCAGACAAAGGCAAAGAGAAACTTTTTGATGCACTAAGGTGTAAAAAAGACATTACTTACAAAGAACCGATAACCAGACCGAGAACAGACTTTTTAAAAACCGAGACTAGAAGACAAATGAATAATATCCTCAAGGCTTCTGAGGAAAGCAGTCAATTTGGATTTCAAACTTCTATAGCCAAATGATATCAAACTCTGAATATCTACTTCTCCATAAAAGCAACAAGAATACTGACAAAAATTGTTGAAATCAACTATTTTAGAGTTCTGAAAATAAAACAAAGGCTTGCAGCAATCCAATAAGTGTTTATTTAAAACACACACACACGTACACACACACATACACACACACACACCCCAACGTGAATCTGTTTTGTTTTACCATGGCCTAGTCCCAACCCCCTTCCCAGTTATGTGGTAGCCTTGACAACAAATAGCCCACAATCATGGTGAATGCATGTCTGACAGCCACTAGAGGAAAGAAAAATGAAGTTGGAGCTCCTTCAAAGCCTGATTCCCACAGAACTGTCATTCTTTGGCCTCTCTGGTAGTTTCCAGGAAGATCCCACTTACAATACTATGTTTATTTGACCTGACTCAGACCTCACCTAGCATGAACTGCCTTTTTCCTGGGGAGTTTCTCAAAAATACTCAGAGGCATCTGTTTAACATTGTAGCTGTCTTGGGGGTAAATAACAGTTGGGGGAACCAACAAGCTAACTGAAAGCTTAAAAGGAAAAGGTAGGTAATTACATGTCCATATGGTGCACTGAAAAGCTCCAAAATTACTGGTAGGAATCTAGAAGGCCGTGTGCATGGATACTATTGTGGATTCCCAGGTCTGTGTACATGCAAAGGAAAGAGCTTACAAAGCCCTGGCTCTCAACTATGGCTAACTTTGAGGCTTTGTGAAAGCAGAAAGTTAGGGCTAAGGCACAGTTCTGAACCACCAGGCTGACTGTTGAAGGCATGACCCAACATGTGCATAAAGTGCCTCAGCAGACTGGAAGAGGGGTGGATTCCAGGCATTTAAGAAAATCAGGTCAACCATTAGCTGACCAATAAACTAAGTAAAGACATCAGTGACCACACATGACAAAAAATATAAACTTTACATAATTAGTTCAAAAAAGTCACTAAAATAAACAAACAGCCACAACGACAAATCCTGAAGGGAGAAGGAATCTGAGTTTCAGAGTTGTAAAATTATTTAAAGTGAACAGTTTTTGGCAAAAAGTATGTGACATACAAAGAAACAAAAAAGCATGGCACACATACAGGAAAAATGCATTCAATGAAACCGTCCTTCAGGAAAATCAAATTTTCAACTTATTACACAAAGATTTAAAAATCCCTATTTTAAACATGTTCAAAGAACTAAAGGAAACCATGTTTAAAGAACTATAAGGTTGGGGGCGGTGGCTCACACCTGTAATCCCAGCACTTTGGGAGGCCAAGGCAGGTGGATCACCTGAGGTCAGGAGTTCAAGACCAGCCTGGCCAACGTGATGAAACCCTGTCTCCACTAAAAGTACAAAAATTAGCCAGGAGTTGTAGTGGCCGCTTGTCATTATCCCAGCTACTTGGGAGGCTGAGGTGGAGAATCGTTTGAACCTGGGAGGTGGAGGTGTCAGTGAGCCGAGACCGCGCCACTGCACTCCAGCCTGGGCGACAGCACAAGACCCTATCTCAAAACAAAACAAAACAAAACAACTGTGAGAATGATGTATCAACAAAGGAAGACTATCAATAGATAGATATTATTTAAATGAATCAAACAGAAATTCCAGAGTTGAAAAGGGCAATAACTGAAATTTTAAAATTCACCAGGTAGACACAACAGCAGATATGAGCATAATAAAAAATTGGCAAACTTGTGGATAGGTCAATTATCCAATCAGAGAAACAAAAGAAAAAATAATGAAGAAAAAAGAACAGAGCCTTAGAGACCTGTAGAACACCACCAAGCAAAGCAATAAATGCATAATGGCGTTTAAGAAGGAGATGAGAGAGAGAGGCAGAAAAAATATATGAAAAAATTATGGCTGGAAACTCCCCAAATTTTATGAAAAACAATAATATATATGTCCAGGATGCTCAATTAATTCAAAGTAGAATAAACTCTAATAGAAGTAGGCATATTATAATCGAACTGTCAAGAACCAAAAATAAAGAGAATCTTGAAAGGAACAAGAGAGATGTGACTCATCACTTACAAGGATCTTAAATAAGATTAACAGCTGATTTCTCATGAGAAACCAGGGAAGCCAGAAGAAAGTGGGATGACATATTAGACATGCTGAAAGAAAACCTATCAAGTAGCAAAATTCTTATTCAGAAACAAAGGAAAAATTAACACAATCCCAGATAAATGAAAAGAGAGAAAGAACAAAGGTTGGAGGATTCATTCTTCCTGGTTTCAAAACTTATTATTAATTTACAGTAATCAAAACTATACATAGGGACAGACATATAGAATTGAACTTAGAGTTCAGGAAAAAACCTTCACATGTACAATCAATTGATTTTTGACATAGATGCCAAGATAATTCAATGAAGAAAGAATAATCTTTTCAACAAATGGTGCTGAGACAACTATACATCTAAATGGAAAAGAATAAAGTTGGATTCCTACCACACACACTATTTAAAAATTAAAGTGAACAAACAACCAGAAAAACATATTTGCAAATAATTTATCTAAGAAGGGTCTAGTATATAAAATATATAAAGAATTCTTATAACTTAACAATAAAAAGACAAATAACCCAATTTACAAATGAGCAGAGGATCTAAATGGACATTTCACCAAAAAAGGTATAGAAATAACCAACAAGCACATGAAAAGCTGCTCAACAACATTAGTCATTGGGAAAATGCAAATTAAATCCACAATGAGATAACACCTCAAACCTACTAGGGTGGCTATAATAAAAAAAGATGGACAATAACAAGTGTTGGTGAGAATGAAGAGAAATTGGAACCTTTGTACATTGCTGGTTGGAATGTAAAATGATGCAGCTGTGTGGGAAACAGTTTGATAGTTTCTCAAAAAGTTGAACATAAAGTTAACATCAGTTCCAGTAATTTTAATCCTAGGTATTTACCAAAAGAATTTAAAACACAGATTGACTCAAAAGTTGTACACAAATGTTTATAGCATTAACTGTGTACATTTATCTATGTATAGTTTTATAGCAGTTATTGTAATAGCAAAATAGTGAAACCAACCAAAATATTCATTAACTGATGTATGGATAAATAAAATGTGGCACATCCTTGCAAAAGAATATTGTTTGACAATGAAATGAAATACTGGTTACTGTTAAAACATGAATACACTTTGAAGCCATTACGCTTAGAGAAAGAAGCCAGTGACAAAGGCCCCATATTGTGTTTCCATTTATATAAAATGTCCAAAAAAGGTACATCTATAGACCATTAATTAGTGGTTGCCTAGAATTGGAGTGGTTTCAGGGAGGGGGTTGGGGGTAACAGCTAAGGAGTGCAGGGTTTTTGAAGGGTTGATAAAAATGTTGTAAAATTAATTGTAGTGATGGTTGCACAACTCAGAAAATGCATATAACCACTGAAATGTACACTCTAAACCAGTGAATTGTGATATGACAATTATACTGTATCCCAATAATAGTAAACAAAAACTCCATACCCAGCTAAACTATTATGCAAGATTTTTTTTTTTTTTTTGAGATGGAGCTTCGCTCTTGTTGCCCAGGCTGGAGTATGCAATGGTGCCATCTCCGCTCACTGCAACCTCCCCTTCCTGGGTTCAAGAGATTCTCCTGCCTCAGCCTCCCCAGTAGCTGGGATTACAGGGATGTGCCACCATGCCTCACTAATTTTGTATTTTTAGTAGAGACGGGGTATCACCATGTTTGTCAGGCTGGTCTTGAACTACTGATCTCAGGTGATCCACCCACCTTGGCCTCTCAAAGTGCTGGGTTACAGGCGTGAGCCACCGTGCCCAGCCTTACTCAAGATTGAGGGTAATATAAATTCATTTTCAGACAAAACCCGGAGTGAGGGAGTATGGTACAAAAAGCAATGGTGAATGAAGAAATATTTAAAATTGTATACAAGAAATTCTAGTAAAAATTCACTGTAACGAATAATATAAGGAGTTGTTAAATATTAGTTAAAATATAAGTGGTAGAATTTATCCTAAAGTACCTATAATGATCAAGAAGAGGGCTAAGTTATGGATTAATTTTGGAATTTGTTAAATCTGGCTGGGCGCGGTGACTCATGCCTGTAATCCCAATACTTTGGGAGGCCAAGGCGGGCGGATCACCTGAAGTCGGGAGTTCAAGACCAGCCTGACCAACATGGAGAAACCCCGTCTTACTAAAACTACAAAATTAGCCAGGCATGGTGGCACATTCCTATAATCCCAGCTACTCGGGAGGCTGAGGCAGGAGAATCACTTGAACCTGGGAGGCGGAGGTTGCAGTGAGCTGAGATCGTGCCATTGCACTCTGGCCTGGGCAACAAGAGGGAAACTCCCGTTTCAAACAAAAAAAACTTGTTAAATCAAATATGCAGTTTAAAAACTTAAGAATATTCCCTAAAATAAATAATATAGTATATAAAGATTCTATATAAGAGCTGGGTATGGTGGCATATGTCTGTAATCCCAGATACTTGTAAGACTGAGGTGGGAGGATCGCTTGAGGCCAGGAGTTTGAGACCAGAGAGAGCAACATAGTGAGACTCTGTCTCTCAAAAAAAATTTTAAATCCCAAAGTGCTTGGGATTACAGGCATGGTGGCATGTGCCTGTAGTCCTAGCTACTCAAGAAGCTGAGGTGAGAGGATTGCTGGTACCCAGGAGTTTGTGACTGTAGTGAGCTATGATTCTGCTACCCAGGAGTTTGTGGCTGCAGTGAGCTAGGATTGTGTTACCAAGGAGTTTGTGGCAGCAGTGAGCTATGATCATGCCAGTGCACTCAAGCGTGGGTAACAGTGAGACTCTATCTCTAAAAAAAATTTTTTTAATAAGTAAGAATTTAAAAAGTATTTTATAGAAAGGGAAAATGAAAATTTAAAACCCCTATCAATCCAATAAAAGGAAATAAATGAGAAAAAGGACAAAAACAAGGATGTAAATATAAAACATACAATAAGATAGTAGAAATAAATAAGTATATAGTAATCACAATAAACAATTAAAATTTCCTAATAAAATACATTCATATTGGAGTAAATCCATCCTCACAAAAAAATTCAACTATATGCTATTTACAGGAGACAAATATAATATAAAATGAAATAAAAGTTAAAAATAAAAGATACAAAGGTAAATACTAACCAAAATAAGCTGGTATACAAATGTCAATTTTGGACAAAACAGACTAAAACAAAATTACTAGGGATTAAGAGGCATATTTCTTAATGATAAAGGAGGGCACAGAAGCTAAAAGAAATCAAACCTTGTATAGATTTACAAATATAAGATCAATGCTTGAGGCCAGTAGTTCGAGACCAGCCTGGCCAACATGGTGAAACCTCGTCTCTACTAAAAATACAAAAATTAACCAAGCCTGGTGACCCGTGCCTGTAATCCCAGCTACTCGGGAGGCTGAGGTATGAGAATTGCTTGAACCCAGGAGGCAGAGATTGCAGTGAGCTGAGATCCTGCCACTACACTCCAGCCTGGGTGACAGAGTAAGACTCTGACTCAAAAAACAAACAAACAAACAAAAAAAGAAAAAACAAATATAAGATCAAGATAAACAAAAACTGATAAGATTTCAGGCAGGCAATGACAAATGTCAATTATAATAGGAGCTTGTAACATACCTACGAAGTGACAAATCAAAACTGAAGTTTAATGAGAATATAGATCTGAACATATACTTGATACAATAACAACACAATAAAATTAGAAATCATAAAGAGAACAAAAAAGTATGCCTTTGGAAATTAAATTTTATTTATTTATTTATCTATTTATTTACTGAGCTAGGGTCTTGCTCTGTTGCCCAGGATAGTCTTGAACTCCCGGGTTCAAGCGATCCTCTCACCTTGGCCTTCCAAAATATTAGGATTACAAGCAAGAGCCACTGTATCCAGCTGTAATTTTAAATAGTTCAGGAGTCAATAAGATAAAAATAGAAATTATGAAATATTTAGAATTTATATACTGTTTGATATATTATGAAAGTACATAAATATTTCCATTTTAAAAGTTAAGAGTTCTTTTTTTTTCTTTTTTGAGATTAGGGTCTCACTTTGTCACACAAGCTGAAGTGCAGTAGCGTGATCTTGGCTCACTGCAGCCTTGACCTCCTGGGCTCAAGAAATCCTCCCTCCTCAGCTCCCAAGTAGCTGGGACTATAGGCACATGCCAACATGCCTGGCTAATTATTATTATTATTATTATTATTATTATTGTAGAGACAGGGTTTCACCATGTTGCCCAGGCTGGTCTCAAACTCCTGAGCGAAAGTGATCCACCTTGGCTTCCCAAAGTGCTGGGATTACAGGCGTAAGCCACTGCACCCAGCCAAGAGTTCATTTTAAAAAATGAGAACAGAATAAACACAAAAGTAAAAAAAAAAAAAAAAAAGTAATAACTGATAAAGTAGGAAACAAAAAAATCAACAAAATTAGAAGCCCAGCTGAAACCATACTAATAAGGAAGCAAATCTCTAATAATAACTGACAATAACTGCATATAAAAAGAAGAAAAGACAGGGGGCGGCGACTCACGCCTGTAATTCCAGCACTTTGGGAGCCCAAGGCAGGCAGATCACAAGGTCAGGAGTTTGAGACCAGCCTGACAAACATGGCGAAATCCCATCTCTACTAAAAATACAAAAATTAGCCGGGCGTGGTGGTGGGTGCCTGTAATCCCAGCTACTCGCGAGGCTGAGGCAGGAGAATCACTTGAACTCAGGAGGCGGAGGCTGCAGTGAGCCGAGATCGCACCACTGCACTCCAGCCTGGGTGACAGAGCGAGACTGTCTCAAAAAAAAAAAAGAGGAAGAAGAAAAATATTAGACACAGCATAGCACAGATTTTAAAATTACAAGAGGATGTTATAAAAAAATATGTGGTAATAAATTTGAAAACACTGATGAACTGGACTATATCTTTGTGTATAAATCTCTGTCTACAATTCCAATTTTAAAGTAAATTGTGGAAATACTGGATATAAAGAGTATAAATTAACTTCATACATTAAGGTTTATATTAATTTATAATAGTATATAAAAATACCTGTGTTTTTGTTGCTTCAATAGCACCCTAGACTGGATTATCATTTAAGAAAATCTTTGTTAGGATATCCAGTTGTTCTTTTTTTTTTTTAATTTTTTGAGACAAAGTTTCGCTCTTGTTGCCCTGACTGGAATGCAGTGGCATGATCTCGCTCACCGCAACTTCCGCCTCTCAGGTTCAAGCAATTCTCCTGCCTCAGCCTCCCGAGTAGCTGGGATTACAGGCTCCTGCCACCACAACCTACTAATTTTTTGTATTTTTAGTAGAGCTGGGTTTCACCATGTTGGCCAGGCTGGTCGTGAACTCGGGACCTCAGGCAATCCACCTGCCTCGGCCTCCCAAAGGGCTAGGATTACAGGAGTGAGCCACCATGCACGGCCCAATTGTTCTTATAATCTGTACTTCTTAATTGGAACTGACAATTTTCATGTTAGTTTTTTTTTTGTTTTTTTTTTTTGAGACAGAGTCTCACTTTGTCATCCAGCCTGGAGTGTAGTGGTGCAATCTCTGTTCCCTGCAACCTCCACTTCCCGGGTTTAAGCGATTCTCATGCCTCAGCCACCAGAGTAGCTGGGAGTACGGGCATGTGCTCCACGCCTGGCTAACTTTTGTATTTTTAGAAGAGACAGGGTTTCACCATGTGGGCCAGGCTGGTCTCAAACTCCTGACCTCAAGTGATCTGCCCGCTTTGGTCTCCCAAAGTGCTGGGATTACAGGTGTGTGCCAACATGCCTATTAGTTTGTTTTTATACTTTTTATAAAATGCCTTTTCACATCTTTTCCTTATGTTCACTTCTATGGGCTCTTTAAATATTTACCCCTTGTTCTGTTCATTGTGAATACGATTCCCAGTCTGAGGCTTGATTTTATGTTTCCTTTTTTCTGTCACGACACCACAAACCTCTTCCGCTCACTATCTACCCCTATTGATGGTGGCAAACTAAAAACCTGAGAATGCACCTAAACATTTTCCTCTCTTTTCCCTTGGTAGGTAGAGAAATCAATGTCCCTGGACTAAGTATAAAAAGGCACAGGACTTTCTCTGGCCTTGTCATTGCCATGACCCACAGTACATCTTTCAACACCATAGGTTGGAATGTAATTCTGGCTGTCTGTCCAAACCTTATTAAAGTTCAAACCTATTCCTTCTTTCTGGAATTTCAGTAACATGTGTAGTTTTAAACTGAAAAAGTTTAGGCAAGACAACATATTTGAAAGTACATTCTAAAGTGCTATATAAATATTATTATGAACAACAACTAAAAATAAGAACAAGAGGGAAGGAATTAACAAGAAATTCTAGATATTTTTGCTATGGGAAGACATTAGACTGAAAAAAAAAAAAAGACTAGATCTCACCGAAGATCCAAACCAGCTTCTTTCCAGAGTAAATCCATCAAGCGCAACATTTGGAGTGTCAACATATCCTGTCGTAAATCTAAGGGAAAACAAACTGCTTCATTACAAGTGCTTTTCCTTTTATGCCCTGTAACTCATTAATTCAAGACTAACTCAGAATTAACTAAAAACATTAACAAACTCTGTGCTAATATTTTCACTAATTTTATAACAAATATTACACTCTTTGGATAGCATGTCCCTGTGACATTATTTCAGACATTAAATTAAAAGATTTTTTAAATTGTTTGCCATGTGTAAGTTACATCCTATTGAATATAAGCATAGCTTCGGAGAACTTTTAAGATTTTCCTTCCTTGATTATATTCTACCTCCCGAGGCTGACAGCTGGCCCTACTACTCCCATAAGGCAGTGACTTTCTGCTTGCTATTCACAGGAGATTCACTGCGCAAAGCACAGTCACTTACTAGAGGTCCGAGAGGATAACACATGGGTTCAGGGGTACTAATTGTATGCTGTAATACTGTTTGTATTACACTGTATGTGTATTACATTAATTACATGGTTAATTTTTTCCTTCTTGCTTGCTTTTACCACTATACGGAGAGTTCTTAAGAATCACGTAAGTAACTGCATCACGAGGTCACAAAACTGTAATGGTTCAATTTATTATCATGTCTAAGGGTATTTTCAGGGAAGAGAGCACATGAAACTAGTGACATCCACATAATGACATTTGTATGGTCAAGTGACATTAAATGTTTAGCAAAACCCTATGAGTTCTTTTTAAGTTGTAAGCACATATTCTGATAAGCACATTTGCTTATGTTATCTCAATTCCTTTTAATAACCCTGACATACAGATGCTATAATTCTCAAGGATATGAAAAACCTGAAGCTCAATCAGTTTTCTGTGCCTTGTTTGTAGTCACATAACTAACAAGTCACCACTGCCTATTGGCTGGTATGATTACTTCAGAGGCATTTCCTTTACACATTTTGGGTCTGTTAGGTACTTTCATCAAAATACAAAACTATGGCAGCAAAATCAATATTGCTATCACTGAAACAAGATGTATGAATATATTACTGAAAATATCCTTGCCTGGGCACGGTGGCTCATGCTTGTAATCCCAGCACTTTGAAAGGCCGGGGTGGGTAAATCACTTGAGCTCAGGAGTTCAATACCACCCTGGTCAACATGGTGAAACCCCATCTTTACAAAAAATACAAAAAGTGAACCAGGTGTGGTGGTGTGTGCCTGTAGTTCCAGCTACTCTGGGGGCTGAGGTAGGATGATCACTTGGGCCTGGGAGGTGGAGGTTTCAGTGAGCCAAGATCGTGCCATTGCACTCCAGGCTGGGTGACAGTGAGACCCTGTCTCAAAAAAAAAAAAAAAAAAGTAAAAATAATATCTTGTATTTCATAAGCTTTTTAATCAAAGGAGTAGGCGCGTTTTGTATTTTGTAGGGGGAAATAAAAGAAGGTTCATTAGGACAGTATATTTAAGTGAATGGTATAAATCATTTTATAAGAGGGGGAAAAAAAAAGCATTTAGGACATGTTCAACTTGACTTTAGGACCATTAATAGCTACCTTCCTGGCTGCAAATTGTTACACACTTACACTACACATCACCTTTCAGATAAAGCAAAATGGCAACAAATGAAAAATTCTAAGAAATTTGATGTTAAAAATCTCAGTACTTACCATCACCATTTTTAAAAATCACTCCAACTGAATCCTCACCAAATACCTTGTTATTGTATACCAGCCACAAAGGCTTCATTTTGGAATCCATGTATTTGCACTTTTCAACACTGAAATCAAGTGGGGAAAATTAGTCAACTTCAGTGTAATGATACAGAAGATTATAATTTTACCACTATATACTAGGCTTGGGAAAACTCCTCACCTATTCCTGTCAGGTCTGCAGAAGAGTCAGACTTAGAAGAGTCCCACTTGGTAGAAAAGCAACCATGAGGACAGCCTTGGGTGGCATATACTAATGCCAGATAGGCTGGACTCAAAACCTAAGATTGGCCCTTCTCACCTTCTCCACTTAACATTCCTTCTCTCGTTTCCTTTTATTTGCTTAACTTTACATTATTACATTTAGTGAATAAAAAATTAGAACAAATCATTGGATTAAAATTAGAACTATTTTGAGACCATTCTTGATTTCTTAACAAGGGATTCATTTGAATACTGATAATATACTGAATACAGACTATTATTTTCCATTATTACTTTTGTAGGGAATGAGAAAGTGAGAAATAAGTTGCCAAATTCACTCAAGACAAGATCTTATTTTAAAATAGGAAAATCAATCAGTAAATAATTTACTACAGTTTGCAACATTTTGCTTATTAGGATTGTCAACTCTTAAAAATCAGTAATATAGAAAATAAATTTAATTACATATAATTGAAATATAAATTCATTTGTAATAACTTTCACTAAATCCACTGGTAAGTTTAGCTGATAAGCATACATCCTATTGAATATAAGCATAGCCTCGGAGAACTTTTAAGATTTTCCTTCCTTAATTATATTCTACTTCCTGAGGCTGACAGCTGGCCCTACTACTCCCATAAGGCAGTGACTTTCTGCTTGCTATTCATAGGAGATTCACTGCGCAAAGCACAGTCACTTACTAGAGTTCTGAGAGGATAACACATGGGTTCAGGGGTGACTGCAGGTCAGAGAGGGCTTCCCGGTAAGCACTCTGTTTTAAACAGGTATGCATGGCCTCCTTCCCTTTGGCTCTGTTTAACTTCACGGCATTCAGTTTGATTAAACTATTTAAAGTTTTTAACTTATTGAGTGCTTCAACCTGAAAAATAAGTTCCCCACACCAAAAATTCATTTGACTAAAAGTAATATAATATCATGTGATCATATCAATCAATAACACCTGCTCCCAACATATACACATAACCATAAACACACATAACCAGCTGAAGTAAAAATAGTGTCTGACTTACGAAAAGCATTTTACATACAATAAACTTATTTTTAACAGTTGTTATAGCATCATTTTCAAACTTTCTTTAAACCTTTTCTTAAACAAAATCTTACAAATTCGAGAAAAGCAGACTTAGATTATGGGTACTTAAGATAAATGTGGGCCAGGTGCGCACTATGGGTACTTAAGAAGATAAATGTGGCCCAGCACTTTGGGAGGCTGAGGCAGCTGGATCACTTGAGGTCAGGAGTTTGAGACTAGCCTGGGCAACATGGCGAAACCCTATCTCTACAAAAAGAAATACAAAAATTTGCTGGGCATGGTGGCACTTGCCTGTAATCCCAGCTACTTGGGAGGCTGAGGCATAAGAATCGCTTTAACCTTGGAGGTGGAGGTTGCAGTGAGCCAAGATTAAGCCACTGCAGCACTCCAGCCTGGGTAAGAGAGTGAGAAACTGTCTCAAAAAAAAAAAAAAAAAAAAAAAAAAAGAAAGAAAGAAAGAAGATAAATATGAAACTTAAACTACTCAAAATTCTGCAATTCATTGTATAGTAGAATTTGAGACATCACTAACCTAAACCAGTCCATTTGGCCAACTTCCTAGTATTAGAGAAAAACCTATGTAGAAGTAACTCTGAGGTTCTTGCTATTCAACCTTAATATCTACTTCTTGTCATCACTCTTGTATGATATCTCAATATATTCTATTTCCATTAACAGCATAGCTAGAACGAATTATTTTATAATAAAGTGTGAATATAGACATGCTATTTGTTATTCAAATCTAAATTACTTGTTTTTATAATAACTATGGCTATCAAAACTTATGCAAGTAAAAAAAAAAACTTATGCAAGTAGTACAAGGTGTATCAACAATGGCCAACTAAATCAAAACCATTATGTTTAAAATTCAACTTTAGGCTGGGTGTGATGGCTCACGTCTGTAATCCCAGCACTTTGGGAAACTGAGGCAAGTGGATGAGTTGAGGCCAGGAGTTCAAGACCAGCCTGGCCAACATGGAGAAACCCCCTATCTACTAAAAATACAAAAATTAGCCAGACACGGTGGTGTGCACCTGTAATCCCAGCTACTCAGGAGGCTGAGGCAGGAGAATCACTGGAACCTGGGAGCTGGAGGCTGCAGTGAGCCAAGATCGTACCACTACACTCTCCAGCCTGGGCAACACAGTGAGACTATGTCTCAAAAAATAAATAAATCAGGGTCAGGTGCAGTGGCTCATGCCTGTAATCCCAGTATTTTGGGAAGCTGAAGTGGGCGGATCACTTGAGGTCAGGAGTTCAAGACCAGCCTGGCCAATATGGTGAAACCTCCTCTCTACTAAAAATACAAAAATTAGCCAAGCGTGGTGGCGCACACCTGTAATCACAGCTACTAGGGAGGCTGAGGCAGGAGAATCACTTGAATCTGGAAGGCAGAGGTTGTAGTGAGCCAAGATCATGCCACTGTACTCCAGCCTGGGTGACAGAGTGAGACTCCATCACAAAAAATAAAATAAATAAATAAATAATAACAACAAATAAAATTCAACTTTATTATTTAATAACTGAGGGTCTTTTATGTCACAGTACATAAAATTCATAACAACTTCAGCCACGCATAAAGAAGGAGCAGCTTATTTTACAAGTATATCATTAAAACTGGAAAAAACAAATGTTAAAAATAGAATTAAAAAGTATACCGTAACAAGCATATAAAATATGTCTATCACAAATATAAACAATGTGGCTTGAAATTCCATGAACAAGAGATTTAATTTATAACATGTTTTCATTTTTAAATTCTGCTTCTATGCAAGGAAACCACTAAGACTATGTAGGGAGATGAATTCAAGCATGCAGTTTCCACAGAGGCTGAGACCTTGCTCACAGGAAACTAGGAAGGACCTATGCAGCTTGATGATAAAATTGAGATGGCTGAAACTTACCAAGTTAGCCATCTGTTAAAACCACAGATCACTCTACTTCTCAACAGTTTCAGGAGCTGTACAAACACTGGTGACAAGGCAACCAGATAAAAACTGGGCTAAGCAAACAGGAACTTTTTACAAGTATGTGAAATTTGAAACTTCTTCCATGTCTGTACAGTTGAAAGTTTTCATGCTCCATCTCTAATTGTGTTGATATCCACACTTCCTGGAACAGTGTCCTGAATACCCCATGGACATAAGTCTAATACTTTAAGTGTTTCAACACCTTGTCCTTTTGTAAGTTTATAGTAATAACAAGAACAGCTATGTACAGGGTAAAGTCTTCCTCTCACAATTCATCAATCAAAAAAAAAAAAAAACAGGAGTTAGAATAATTTGTTCATACATATATCATCCTTTTATTGTCTTTAACATCAAGCTGAGGCTCCCAGAAAATATGCAGTGTGGAAAATGGTTATATGATGACAATAAGCAAGTTATGACTAAGTATGGCCTAACAGGCTTTGGCAGAAAATTTGAATTTTACTCATAGTGCAATGAAAAATTATTGAAGGGATTTTAAAAGGGAAATGATGTAATACAATCTACTTCTTTTTTTGAGACAGGGTCTTGCTCTGTTGCCCAGGCTAGGGTGTAGTGGTACAATCAAATCATAGCTCACTGCAACCTCAAATTCCTGGGCTCAAGCAATCCTCCCACCTCGGCCTCTCAAGTAGCTGGGACTACAGTTGCAAGCCACCTTCTAATTTTTTCTAGAGATGGGTCTCACTATGTTGTGCAGGTTAGTCTCAAACTTCTGGGCTTAAGTGATCCTCCCACCTTAGCCTTTCAAAGTGCTGGGTTTTCAGGTGTGAGCCACTGCATCTGGCCACAGTCTACATTTTTAAAATGTCACTTTATCTTCTGTGTATAGAATGTTGGGGGAGATGTAGGAAGGGAAACACGGGGTACAATTTAGATAGTTAATGAAGAAGTCCAGTGAAAAAGAATAGTAGCTTGGACTAGGATGGTAGCCATGAACACAAGGGAAATAGGCAGAGATGTGAGATATATTTCAGGGTTCTATAAAATTCAGAGGATTAATAATATTGATTCCATGTTGTTGTTAAGAATAAATGACCCATAATAAGTGATGAATAAACATTAGCTATTATTACAATCATTAATGGGCTTTTCAAAAGTAAGGGATCAGAAAAAGTTTTTAACATCATGAAAAATCCTAAATATTAAAAACACCTAATGGAAGCCTATGAGAGTTCTTCTGGCAATGCAAATGAATTAGAAAAGAGTAGTTTAACTGGAAATTAGGAATCTGATATAAAAATAGGGTGGGGCAGCCAGGTACGGTGGCTCACACATGTAATCCCAGCACTTTGGGAGGCCGAGGCGGGCGGATCACGAGGTCAGGAGTTCAAGACCAGCTTGGCCAACACAGTGAAACCCTGTCTCTACTAAAAATACAAAATATTAGCTGGGCATGGTGGCGCATGCCTGTAGTCCCAGCTACTCGGGAGGCTGAGGCAGGAGAATCGCTTGAACCCGGGAGGCGGAGGTCGCAGTGAGCCAAGATAGTGCCATTGCACTCCAGCCTGGGCAACAGAGCGAGACTCTGTCACAAAAAAAAAAAAAAAAAAAAAGGGTGGGGCTGGGTGTGGTGGTTCACATCTGCATTTCTTAGCACTTTGGGATTAATATAGAATATATTAGGAATGCCGAGTAATTATTTTTCAGGTAGCATTCAGTTAATATTTTTGTGCTAAGTTCATTGAAACTTCATTTTTTGACTTAAATTTTGACAAAAGAATGTATTCATCAGGTTGTCTGTTACTGAGACTTCTATGAAATAATGTGGTGGGAGAAATGGCATTTGATAAAACTGATCAAACACCAAGTACCAAATTGAACATGAAGATTAAAACAAGCTGATATTCATGCTTTAAACGTTGTCTGTCAAAAAAAGAAAAAATGAATAAATAAAACAAGCTGATACCTGCTTAGAAAGCACTTTCATGTGCCCCACACTTCCCCGGCAGTATGCTTCAAGGATGACACCAAATTGTACTGAGACAGCAGGAATGTGCACTTCTGACCTGCAGAAAGTTAATGATATCTGAACAGTTTGTTTATCAAACACTTCAGATCACCGAATAAATACTGACTTCTTTATTCTACAAAAAATAAACTTATGATGGCAAGGTCATTGTGTGCATTATTATTTCCTTCCTCCCTTCCTTCCTTTTTTGAGAGTCTCACTCTGTTGCCCAGGCTGGTGTGCACTGGTGTGATCTCGGCTCACTGCAATCTCCACCCACCGGGTTCAAGCTTGCCTAAAATAAAAAAGTGTAGCTAGATGTCGCTAGGTGACTAGGTTCTAGCCAACAGGATGCAAGATGAAGTGATGTGCACAAAAAATGAGTCCTGGACTTAGAAGGAAATGCTGGTCCCTCCCCTTCCCTCCCCTCCCCATTTCTGGCTCGAATGTGGATGGGGTGGCCAGCCCCTTCATACTTGCGATTCTCCTGCCTCAGCCTCCCGAGTAGCTGGGATTATAGGCATGCGCCACCATGCCTGGCTAATTTTGCATTTTTAGTAGAGACAGGGTTTTGCCATGTGGCCAGGCTGGTCTAAACTCCTGGCCTCAAGTGATCCATCCACCTTGGCCTCCCAAAGTGCTGGGAACAGGCATGAGCCACCACGCCTGGCTACTTTGTGCATAATTATTAGTGACATGGGTCAACTTTCCAATTTGTTAAACTTCAAAGTTCAAAAGCTATGATATTCTATAATTAGTTAATACTTCAAAGTTCAAAAGCTATGATATTCTATAATTAGTTAATACTTCAAAGTTCAAAAGCTATGATATTCTATAGTTAGTTAATACTTCAAAGTTCAAAAGCTATGATATTCTATAATTAGTTAATTCTTTATTCCAAGAAGTCTAAAATGTGTACATCTTACCTGATTTGCTTTTGTACGGGTAAGGCAATCTTACCAATTTAAAGACAATAGGCTGAAACAGGTATCTATGAAATCTGACTGGTATTAAACAATTGACTAATGCCCTGATTAGCATCTATTCCAATTTTTTTCTTACTTAAAAAGTGATGTACATATTTGAAAAAGGAAGGAATACTTATTTTGTTATTCCCTGAGAGGTTTAAAAACTAAGACTGAATGAATGAGAAAAGACAAGTTAAAAATAAGAAAAGGTTCTAGAACAACACAAGAAAGTAAAAAAAAGAGTGGAAAAAAATATATGAATAAGAAAACCATATTCAGAAATAAAACTAAAATTAAGAGCACAACATTATAGAGCTTATTGCCTTTGAGAAGCTCAGCAAAGAAAAGAAAAAAGAAGAAAAGAAGAAAAAGAAAAGAAAAGGAAGGAAGGAGAAAGAGAGAAAGAAAGAAAAAAGGTAGTTTTTTTTTCTGACAAGCATTAGTTTCAGCACTATGAAGTCCAGATTGGGAGGGAAAAAAAATGTCTGAGTACAGAGTCAGAAATGAGAAATCTATTAATACAATTTCCTTAGAAAACAAAGGAATAACTTTAGTTCTCATTCCTGATTTTACTCTTATATGAACTTGGTGAAGTAAGGTTCGTGTATTTCTGGAAATTACCTACTTAATAAAGAAATTGAATAAAATTGCTGTCATTATAGTATACCTTTACCTTCACTCAATAACACTAGTAATGACAGTACCACCCACAACTTTCTAGATGAAATAAATAGGTCTGCATTGAGCCCAAATATATTAAGACAATAAGTACACTTTACTGGAAAATAGCAATACATTATTAATTTCAGTTAAAAATCAAGCAGGTAGAAAACACACACAAAAAAAAAAAAAAGAAAGGAAGGAAGAAATGAAGAAATCAAGCAGGCATGGAGGGACACATAAGGGTCTTGGATAACTGAATTACTTTGTCAAATCTCAAATCATAAAAATCAAGAGTGCTGGTATCAAGAAACAGGAGAAGGCACCAAAACCATATAAATGTTATAAACGGTTCAGAAAAAAACTAAAGCAGCTATTTTTCTATTAAATATATTATGCTTGTTTATAGTTACTAAAGCACCTGGTGGGCTCAAAGTAAAATATAAAAGACTTACCTAAGATGCCAAAATAGAAACTGCCCTATCCTCCGATTACCAAGTGCTCTTTCTAATAGGAATCTAGAGAGGGCACAATCAAGAAAAGGCTCATATTTTAACACTTGCACCAGTTGTAAAAGATATTGAGAAAGTTCTTCATCACTGAAAGAAACAAAAGACACAGTGAGTAACCAAACAACCTGTGCCAGAAAAAGATCCCTTGGTATCAAACTATCAAATGTGAACTTGTTGAAACACAATGGTTCTTTTGGGCCAGGCTTGTTACATGCTTTCCTTCACTGTACCACTGTTACAATATCACAAAAAAAGCTGAAGATTTCAGATGGGGAAAAGGGAGTCAAGAGGGTCAAAGAACAGATACTAGAGATATTTTAATCAAATGAATTAGATTGTGATATGGTCTGGCTTTTGTCCCTACTCAAATCTCACCTCAAATTATAATCCCTATAATTCCCACATGTCAAAGGAGCATCCTGGTGGGAGGTGACTGAATCAATGTGGCCCTCCATGCTAGTCTCATGACAGTGAGTGAGTTCTCATGAGATCTGATGGCTTCATAAGAGGTGGTTTCCCCTGCTCTTTCCCTTTTCCTGCCACCTTGTGAAGATGGTACTTGCTTCTCCTTCGCCTTCTACCATAATTTTAAGTTTTGTGAGGCCTCCCTAGCCATGTGGAACTGTGAGTCAATTAAACATCTTTCCTTTATAAATTACCCAGTCTCAGGTAATTCTTTATAATGGTGTGAAAATGGACTACTACAGATTGTTAAAATTCATGACTGTATTTTCAGTCAGCTAAGAGTTACCAAAAATATTAGGTACTTTAATACTGATTTCTGATCATGCTAAAAAATTTGTGCTTAGTAAAACAATCATTTTTAAAATAAAAATTCCATCAGTACTTTCACAATTTATTTTCCTTTGCTGTTATTAGGGTTAAGTTGTCCCAGATAACCAATGTACAATTAAAATCTTAACTTCAAATAGTTTGAAGGATGAGAAAGTGAATACATTTATAAGTGGGAATTGATCATTGAAATAATATAACAGATAACATTGTAATTAACTGAGCTCAATTAATTAAGGTTAGTGGTTCTCTATTTTGTGTCAATCTCCAAACCATTCTACCTGTAAACACACTCCTATCAGAGGCAACTCCAGCAGTATAAGGTATGAAGCCCAAGTGCCCCAAGTGCTCCACTTACTCTCCACAGTATTGGGTAATAAATGGTTAAGGAATTAGTAGTCTAAGGCAGATATCTGGGACTGAAACCCAGGGCACTATATACCAAAACCAAAAACTCATAACCAGAAATTTCACAATAGAAAAACCACCAGAATTAGCTACACGGAATACACGGATCACTGCCATCTCCTCAGAGGGATCAATGCGTTTAAGAAAAACACTTGGCTCAGCCCAAGGAGAACCAGGTGGCCCCTCCACAACAGGTCTCCAATGCAAACTTAAGCAGATGGTGAAGCAACTGGGAATTCATTTTTTAAAACTATCTATAACACAATTTTGATTAGGTTTATTGTAAAATTCATGCCCACTATATAACCTATAAATAGTGTAAAAAATAGAAAGTATAGGAATAGGAAGCTGTTTCCTCTTCTCTCACATTTCTAATTTCACTCCCCAGAAGTAAGCACTATTGGTGAGTCTGTGTAATTACTTTTGGCTATTACACAGCTTAAAACATACACGATTTTAAAAAGAAAAAAGGATCATAGTATCCACACTATTTTGTGGGCTTTTATGTTTCAAAAACCATAAAGTACATAAGCCTCACTTTTGAACCTAGAAAGAAAATGGATAAACTTCATTGTCTGAGACAGTCATTTCTTCAGTGAATCTCATAGATTCTCACAAATGCACCATCCAAGGGAGACTGTACAAACATGTTCACTGAAGCATTATTTATAATAGGGAAATGTGGAGAAACTTAAATATTCCTTAATAGGGAATGAATTAAATAAGATATATCCCTATGACAGAATATTACACAGTAGTGAAAGGAATAAATGACATTTAAACATAATGGGAGAGACTAACCTCAAAAACCTGATGTTGAATTTTTATTTATTTATGTATTTGTATTTTATTTTTTGAGACAGGGTCTCACTCTGTCACCCAGGCTGGAGTGTAGTGGCACCATCTCAGCTCCTGCAACCTCCGCCTCCAGGGCTCAAGTGATCCTCCTACCTCAGCCGCCCAAGTAGCTGGGACCACAGGTGCGCACCTCCACGCCCAGCTAATGTCTCTGTATTTTTGGTAGAGACGGGGCTTAACCATGTTGCCAAGGCTGGTCTCAAACTCCTGGGCTCATCGATCTGCCTGCGTTTGTCTCCCAAAGTGATGGGATTATAGGTGTGAGCCACCACAGCTGGCTGAATTATTATTATTTTTTTTTGGAGACGGAGTCTCGCTCTGTCAACCAGGCTGGAGTGCAGTGGTACGATCTCTGCCCACTGCAACCTCTGCCTCCTGGGTTCAAGTGATTCTTCTGCCTCAGCCTCCTGAGTAGCTGAGATTACAGGCACCGGCCACCACGCCTGGCTAATTTTTTGTATTTTTAGTAGAGATGGGGTTTCACCATGTTGGCCAGGCTGGTCTCAAACTCCTGACCTCAAGTGATCTGCCTGCCTCAGCCTCCCAAAGTGCAGGGATTACAGGCATAAGCCACCACACCCAGCCATCTGGCCAAATTTTTAAAAAGCATGATATAAACTAATGCATATGGCAAGACACATTTGTGTAATAATAATTCCATGTCTATATTTTCATAGATATATATGAAACAGAAAAATGTGATATAGAAGCATACACACCAAATTCATGATAATGTTTGCCTCTGAGAAGGAAGAGAAGTAATCAAGACTGGATAAGGAAACTATGAGGACTTCAACTTTAACTGTAATGTATTTGCTTAAAATATATATATATATATATATATATATATATTATATATATATATATATATATATATATTTTAAACCCATGACAAAAATTAACATTTCTTAATTCTGGAGGGTGGATAGACTGTGTGAAGAAAAGAGGTAACACAGCAGGCTTGGCTGCTATCCTCTAACAAGCCTGCTTATAGGATTGGCCCATGGCTAGCATCTGGGAATTAAGATTTCAGGATTCCCACCACCCTCCCTAATTGATAAGAGTGGCTCACTGCACCTAAACTATTTGTGCAAATAATGGTTTATGTTGTATATCCACTTTACTGCTGGGAGTATAGAAATCTGGTACATGCTAGGCAGAGGGTGCTTATGTGATAGCTGCCCGTAAAAACCGTGGCCACGAAGTCTCTAACAAGCTTCCCTTGCAGACTTGTATTATCACAACTCACTCCTGATAGAAATAAAAGTGTTTGGGGTGACTTCACTGGAAAAGAACTCTTACAAGCTTATGTATGCCTGTTTTCCTCATGACTTCACCCCATGAACCTTTTTCCCTCTTTAAATTTTGCTCTGTATCCTTTTGCTGCAATAAATTATATCTGTAAGTGACTATGTGCTGAGTTCTGAGTCCTCCCAGTGAGTCATCAAACCTGAGGGTGATCTTGAGGACCTTCTGACCTAGCATGCTTTTGGTTTTTTTTTTCTAGTATAAACATTGAGTTGGGGAGCTGGCAGGAGTACATGAGCAAATGCTTTGAACTGTGAATAATTCTGAGCCCTTTTCTTTCTTATGAGACATCAAGGAGACACCCTCATCCCAAACCCACCCAAGTTATTCCTTGCCCCAAAGAAAACCACCTGCAGAAGATACCTCATCTGTCGCAGGCAGCCTACAGCATATTCTCGAACGTACTGGTCTGGATAGTTGAAATCCAGAAGCTCTAGGGCCTCCCGGGGGGGCAGTTTAGGCCAAATCTGAAGCAGCGCCTGAAGCTGTTTAAAAAATGAAACTGGTTCAGAAATAATGGGGGACAAAAGTAATCTAATTTTCCTTGACACACAGGAGCACCAAGATAGGTCAAAAGAAGGCAAAGCTCACTTTTAATTATTGATGCCTCAAAAATCCATTCCTGTTAATAGAGACTAATAAAGATTGTCTTTGTTGTTGAAACATTCTATAGATTAAGTCTGAAAAGCTATGAAGTACTTACCCCCAAATAAATTTTATGGGTGAGAGAGAAAAAAATGTTGAATTTGTAGCCTTTCTAAAGCTCAATTCCATCTGATAAAATCTTATTCCTTAGTATTTAATTTCTCTCATTGGATTTTCCTGGGTATCACCTAAGTACCACTGACATCAACGTCATGGAAGGTATATGATATGTATGCAAGATCACTGCTGTAAAACTATGGCAAATAGATGGCAGTGGTTAGAGGATTTTCTTTCAATTGATTGCTCAAAGTCATACTGGGAGAGGTGGCCTGCAAGCTTGTTGGCTATCTTGTGGATGTTAAGTTTTATTCTCCGACCAATTAAGCTTTGAGAATTCAATAAAAACCGTTTATATTTTATTATTTAATTCTACAAGTTATTCAATCTATAATTATGGCAAGCCCTCCCCCAAAAGTCAACAATATCTAAATGAGTATCTACCAGCTAAGTTAAAAGGCATTTTCTCATATCAAGCAAAAGTAAATAAAAGTTAACTAATTTTTTAAAAATTAGCTTAATTTTTTCAGTTGTTTTACATTTGAAAAATATTTTTGCGAAAACAATACTTTTGAATGATTTTTTAAAATTTAATTACTCTATTATTAGCATATATTTATATAAATTGTTAACTTTTTTCTGAGACAGTTTCACTCTTGTTGCCCAGGATGGAGTACAATAGTGCAATCTTGGCTCACTACAACCTCTCCTTCCTGGATTCAAGCCTCCTCCCAGATTCTCCTGCCTCAGCCTCCCGAGTAGCTGGGATTACAGGTGCCTGCCACTATGCCCAGCTAATTTTTTGTATTTTTTTTTTTTTTTTTTTTTTTGAGATGGGGTTTCACCATGTTGGCCAGGCTGGTCTTGAACTCCTGACGTCAGGTGATCCACCCACCTTGGCCCCAAAGTTCTGGGATTACAGGCATGAGCCACTGCACTCAGCATAAATTGTTAACTTATATATGTAATTTGACACATTAGAATTCACCTACGTGAATAAATTACATAGTTACTTAGCAAATACAGTGGAATGCCTAGTAATTTTTAAATTTTAACCTTTTTTTTTTTTTTTGTAAGAGATAGGGTCTCATTCTGTTGTCCAGCCTGGAGTGCAGTGGCACTATCGTACCTCACTGCAGCCTTGAACTCCTGGGTACAAGCAATCCTCCCAACTCAGCCTCCTGAGTAGCTAGGACTACAGGAACACGCCACCATGCCCAGCTAATTTTATTTCATTTATTTATTCTTGTAGAGATAGGGTCTCGCTATGTTGCTGGTCTCAAATTCCTAGACTCAAGTGATCCTCCTGCCTCTGCTTCCCAAAGTGCTGGGATTACAGGCTTGAGCCACCATACCCAGCCTAAATTTTAACTTTAAACTTAAGTTTTACTTAGCTATTCTTAACCCTATATTGAATAAGGCTAGCTCTTTTTTTATGTATAAAGCACAGATACAAATACGTACATGAAAAGATGTACCATGTATCTACGGAATCAAAATCTCATGGGTTATTGGGGGGAAAAGGGTCTATAAAAGCTCCTAAAGGTATAGTGATGAAAACAGGTTGAGAAATACTGATATAAAGACATAAAGCACCAACCTCATCCCCAATTTTTCTCACTAATAGATCCCCCCTCCCTGCTTTGCCAAAGGCCCTAATGGACCAGCAGTCTTCTTTATGAGCAGAAGAGTTGGGAAGAGACCATTTCCTGGGTTTTGAAATAGCAGTAATAAAAAAAACTCCTCATATCTCCAGTTAATACTTGGAATACACTGCCCATAAATAACACTGAAAAGGAGAGATAAGATTATGTAATACTAGAGGTTCAACAATGTTGTGGTTAAAAACAACTCTACCATTGGAAAGTAATGACTTTGGTAAGATTATTTATAATTATTAAAAATTAAATCATGTAAGTGTAAAATTAAATAAATTGCCAAAACTCACCAAACCTCTCTATAAGACAGCTTTTAAGAGTACAGCAAGAAATTCTTTCCATTGTGATTCTAATGAAATAATATGATGCATTTCTTAGATATGTACTCAGCACTAGACACTATCCAAAAGAAACAGGCAAATGTGTCAACTAAAAAAATGCTTAGATCTTGTTTTCCATTACTGAAGGTTCATGGAAAACGAATCCTGAATTTAGATAATACATCAGTGGCTAGAAGACAATAACTATTCTACAGCAATTAAAATAAAATAGTTCCTTTTCAGTCTAATTTGGTCTAAGGTGGAAACAAGTTTAATCGAGGTACACACAATAATATAATTATATAACATGTCTCCAAAGATTTATTTATTTATTTATTTATTTATTTATTTGAGACAGGGTCTCCCTCTGTCACCCAGGCTAGAATACAATGGCACAATCTTGGCTCACTGCAACCTCAGCCTCCCGGGCTCGAATGATCCTCCTGTCCCAACCTCCCGAGTAGCTGGAACAGGCGTGCACCACCATGTCTGGTTAATTTTTGTATTTGTTGTAGAGACAAGGTTTTGCCATGTTGCCCAGGCTGGTCTTAAATTGCTGAGCTGGTCTCAACCTCCTGATCTGCCCACCTCAGCCTCCCAAAGTGCTGGGATTACAGACATGAGCCACAGACCCCAGCCATTTTATTTTTTTGAGACAAGGTCTCACTCTATTGCCCAGGGTAGAGTGCAATGGCATTTGGTTCACTGCAGCCTCAACCTCCCAGATTCCAACAATTCTCCCATTTCAGCCACTCAAGTAGCTAGGACTACAGGCACATGCCAGCATGTCCAGCTAATGTTTGTATTTTTTGTAGAGATGGGGTTTCACCATGTTGCCCAGGCTGGTCTGGAACTCCTGAGCTCAAGCGATCCACCTGCCTTGGCCTCCCAAAGTGCTGGGATTAGAGGTGTGTGCTACCATGCCTGGCTCCAAAGATCTTTAGACACTAAAAGTAAACACAAAAGAAATCCTTTCTACTCTTAAATTGAGAAGTGAAACAATAAATCCAAAGATTTTTAAAATGCATATAATTAAGATAAATCTGTATTTCTTCACTAAATTTTTAGTCACTATAGATTTACTAAGACTACATACTAGAGAGATTCATTGAACTGAAATAAGTAACATGAAAAAATTTGGTTATTTTAGTAGACCAAATTTATTTGTTCTGATTAAAAAACCCATTTCAAAGGTCTTTCTATTGAGCACTGGTGGGTTGTTTGAATTGAATAAATGCCAGTGCTTTTTGGCAGGGTCTTGAAAATTAAATCAGGGAACTAAAATTTGGTGGGTTTCTGAAGCAAAATGGTCTTTTTTCTATTCTGTCAAAACGCATACATTCAGCAATACTGGACAACTGAAATGAATGTTAAAATTGACCTGAATGATATATTATCTAAAATATTATTCTCTGTAATAGATGTAATTTTCAAACAATGGACATTCATTCTAGAACAGTCATTGCAAAGAGTCTAAAAGATTTAAAACTCTGGAGTTCACTGATGAAGCTGGTAGAAGGTACCCACGTCTTAGAAAGTGGTACTTTTGATAGATAATTGTCCCAAGATCAATGTTTCAATTGTATTTGGTGAAAGGTATGGCAATCCTACCCAAAATCTGAGATTTTTAAATTCTGGAAATGTTCTGGTCCATTACTTGGAGTATAAGAGTTTAAAACCTCAAAATTTCTCCTGCTTAAATTATCCTATCTATGAAAATATACCTATGAGAAAAGGATACTTTATGTGAATCCAACCAAGTACCATACACCCAAAAAAAGTTATAGAAACGATCTTTTGTTACCTGAGCAACATCCTCAAGTTTATTCCACTTGATTGACAGCAGTAATTTTGGCAGTGATTGTGGGAAAATCTCTCGGCAGTCTTGTCGCAAAGTCCAAATAAGATCCATTTCATTTTCACACAGTTGAGACAAGGGATCCCTGTCCAAGATTTCTTTCAATACAGGAAGAAACTTTTTTCCACCTCGACTCTAAAAAAGTAAAATGCTCATTATAGAATTTAATTGTGCAAACACCACAGCGAACTTTCAGTAAATTTATATATATTTATATATAATAAATGAACCTAAGTATGTGAGATACAAAAATATAATTCCATAAAAAAAAAAAAAAGGTAGATCCTTTAATAATTTCTAAGCTAAGGATGAAGAGATTCTTAAAACAGTTTCTAAAAATCTAAAAATGTAAACTGTGCAAACACTGGGTGGCAGTATTGCTTTTTGGATAAAAATCCAAGTCAGGCCAGGCAAGGTGGCTCACGCCTGTAATCCCAACACTTTGGGAGGCCAATGTGGGTGGGTGGACTGCCTGAGGTCAGGAGTTTGAGACTAGCCTGGGCAACGTGGTGAAAACCCGTCTTTACAAAAAATACAAAATACAAAAAAAAAAGGATAATGAGGTGGAGACTAAGAAGACAGTTATAAGACTAGAAGACTGATTACAAACAGGGGATTGAGCAAATAAGTAAATACACCAAAGTTAACAGAAATCCAGATTTCTCATCATTAGAAAAGGGAATTACAAATATGAAAAGACAAAGACTAGAAAATATACAGTGGGAATGGATCCATATTAGAGGTATTGATGAGAACTCATGGTCTTTAATAGATGGATAAATAAATATATCTCTGTGTATGTTTATTTTCCCAAACATATGGAGGTAAACAAATATATACTGTCTAGCTCTGTTTCACAAAAGGGCCTGGAAGCAACTGCACCCCTGCATTCTCCAAGGAGCACTTACTTACTTTATACCCAGGGGCAATGAGCATATCCAGGGCCTAGATCTTACACAGGCCAGGTATGGTGGCTCACGCCTGTAATCCCAGCACTTTGTGAGGCTAAGGCAGGAAGACTGCTTGAGCCCCGGAGTTCAAGAACAGCCTGGGCAACAAAGTGAGACCCCTAATTCTACTAAAAAAAATAGAAATTAAAAAAAAATTTTTAAATAGCTAGGTATAGTGGCATGTGCTTGCAGTTCTAGCTACTCAGGAGGCTGAGGTGGGAGGATCACTTGAGCTCAGGAGGTTGAGGCTGCAGTGAGCCATGATCGTGTCACTGCACTCCAGTCTGGGCAACAAAGCGAGACACTGTCAATCCATTCCATCCGTTTGTTTATCCGTCCGTCCATCCATCCATCCATCCATCCCTACATACTTTTCACAAATAAAAGGAATAAACTGAATATAAAAAATGAAACTCTCCGGAGAAATGCCTGATTCCAAGGCTGGGGTAGGGAAAGTACTAGATGAGTGTGGAATACGCTGTTGTATCGGAAAGAAAGAAATGCTCAAAGAATGATAGGGACAAAGCAAAAAGAGACAAGAGACAGCTTAAATGGGCTCCCATGAGCCAGATCTGGGATAAATTAAACATTAAGATAAATGACAGTAACTAATTACAAATCATCGAATAAATGGAAATCACAAATCCATCTCCTATAAGTTAAAAAAAAGAAGAAAGAAAAAAGAGATGAATGGGGGAGAAGAGGAGTTCAAGGCTGCAGTGAGCTATGACTGTACCATTGCACTCCAGCCCGGGCAACAGAGCAAGACCCTGACTCTAAAAAGATAGATAGATAGATAGATAGATAGATAGATAGATAGATAGATAGATAGATAGAGATAGAGTAGAAGAAAAGCCTCTAACCTATGTTATAAGCCAACTAATAAATCCAAAACGAAAAGCAAGATTTAAAATTGGCAACCCACTGCAGTAACACTGATTCAAGGAAGATGTATTAGTGAATGCAAAAAGAAGTGGGTGACAGCTTGATCTGAAATAGAATGTTTACTTAGTGTCAAAATACGCCCCCACAAAACCTTTATTTATTAACTTTATACTAGAAAAACCTAGCAGACACCGTACTAACCAAGGGATAACAGTTAACTTCCAGAGTAGTGGTAAAAGCCGATATTGCCTCCTGATAAAATGCAGTAAGAAAACTACACCTTTACTTCTTTGATATTCACACTAAAAATGCATAACTGGGATCCTAAACATGACAAAACATCAGGCAAATCCAAACTGAGGGATATTCTATAAAATAATTGGCCTATAGTCTTCAGAAATGTCAGTCATTAAAGATTAAAAAAAAAAAAACAAAAAACAAACAAACAAAAAAACACTGAAGAACTGTTTCGGACTGAAGGAAGCTAAATATACCTGACAATGAAATGCAGCAAGTAACCAGAGATTGGATCCAAGACTTATAAAGCACATGACTGAGAAAACTGGCTAAATTTGAATAAAATCTGTAGATTATATAGAACTGAATCAGTATTATTTTCCTGACCTTCATGAATCTACTCAGGTTATGTATAAAAATGCCATTTTTTAAAGGAAATACTGAAGAATTAAGGGGTAAAAGGACATGATGTGGCCGGGCGTGGTGGCTGACGCCTGTAATCCCAGCACTTTGGGAGGCCGAGACGGGCAGATCACGGGGTCAAGAGATCGAGACCATCCTGGCCAACATGGTGAAACCCCATCTCTACTAAAATACAAAAAATTAGCTGGGCATGGTGGCGCATGCCTGTAGTCCCAGCTACTTGGGAGGCTGAGGCAGGGGAATCGCTTGAACCCGGGGTGGCAGAGACTGCAGTGAGCTGAGATCATGCCACTGCACTCCAGCCTGACAACAGAGTGAGACTCTGTCTCAAAAAAAAAAAAAAAAAGAAAAAGAAAAATCTAATAGATACTAGTAATTAATGCTATGGAATGTTAGAAAGGTATTTTTTAAAAAGTAGACCTATTCATACTCACATGACAATATCCACAAAGTATATTAAATGAAAAAAGTAGAAACTATATATATATATAGTTTTATATATGTATATATAGATCTCATTTATTTTAAAGGGGGAGATATTTACATATAAAGTTAGGATTGATAGCTACAAATTAAACTGTTTACAATTAGCTCTGGAGAGGAAGGTAGGTGGGAGTCACAGAGAGAAACTTTCATTTTTGGTTTACAATTTTTTTTTTTTTTTTTAAAGATACAGGGTCTTACTCTGTCATAACAGCCTCAACTTCCCAGGCTCAAGCTATCCTCCCACCTCAGCCTCCCAAGTAGCTGGGACTACAGGTCCATGCCACCACGCCCAGTTAATACTTTTTTTTTTTTTTGTAGAGATGGGGTCTCTCTGTATGGCCCAGGCTGCTCTCAAATTCCTGGGTTCAAGCAATCCTCCTACCTTGGCCTCTCAAAGTGCTGCGATTATAGGGGTGAGCCATCACACCCATCCTTACCATTTATTAATTGTACTTTGTGCCTAATAAAAAACAAACAAATTGTAAAGGTATATCAGACCTGGGCAAGATTACTGCATGCTCAGTGTGTAGCAAACTCTCTGATTTAGGTCAGGTACAAGTTTATGGTGGAAATAGTAAAAACTAATTCATTTATCTGAGGTTCAAGGAGCAATATTGTCTTATAAAGGGTAATGAGACAGGCACTTGAACCAAGACCTGCCTGTGTAACTATATCTCCTAAGCTTAAACTGTAATTATCTGTTTCAGTAATTGCCTAATAAGCTGATAAATTAACACCTGTAAGAAATTTGTTTTGTATCATTAAAGGTAACTGCTCTTGCAGTTGTCTCTTTTTAAAGTTTTTCTTTTATTTTTTAAATTTATACACAAACACACATTTTTTTACACTAGTCTCTGAGATTGCTTCCACTTTTATTTTACTGTTTTACTTTTTCAATAAACTCTTACTTCTTAGAGATTCCAGGCCATTCTCAAGTCTACATCCTCAGCAAGAAAAAGCAGTCAAACACAAGGATCCTATCACACCAGCCTCATCAATTGATCATGCAAATTTTTTTCAGGCCATATATATAATTTAAGCTATTAAAATTTGCACAATGTTTACAAATTAAATTATTATCTGAAACTGTCTCCAGAAACCTGAATAACACAAAACTTTGGGAAAAAAGACAGAGAGAGGAAGAATTTGGCTATTATGGTCCCAAACTGGCCCAGAGCCTTTCGTAAACTGTAAAGACTAGGAGTCTGGCACTACTGCTCTCTTTCCTAAGGTCAAGCATTCAAATTCAAAAGACAAAATTTAAGCCAAAAACACTAATAAGAAAGCAGTAGCAGATGACTCACACTGAGAAACTAGGGAAAGATTCTGAGAGCTCTAATGGCAAAGGAGAAGACAGCCTAGGCCAGACATTTCACCAACTGGCCAAAATTAAATAGTGCTTTGATTCTGTGAGAATGGGAAAAACATACACATTGTCTCCAGTTTGCCTCCTAGTCTCTATAACACTGCCATGCTACAGGTAGAATGACTTTGCTAAATAGACTTAAAAGTTGTAAACTGATGACGAGAATACTGGATTACAGCTCAACAAAGTCAAACTAGAAAGAGCCAAAAAATTAAATAAAAAAGCACAGATGGTATACATATTTATATATATATATGTAGATATAGATATAGATATGTAGATATAGATATAGATATATAAATGTAGATATAGATATAGATATATAGATGTAGATATAGATATAAATATAGCAACCCAAGTCAACAAAGTAACCTATTTGTAGTATCTGCATAGAAACAAATGGGAATAGTATATGTGGCAGAGACTACTATTTGACCCTCAATATCCATTCTCCACTTCTTCCTTTAGTACTAGAATCTCTTACTCTTAGCCAAGCGCATGACTGATGGCGTGGCTAAAGACTGCACCTCTCAGATGCGTGTGTACTTAGGCATGGTCAGTAAGATCTGGCCAATGACATGTAAGCAGAAATGATACATACTAATGATATCCTGAATAAGAATGGGGTGTGACCACTACTATTGTTTTTCCTGTTCCTGCTGGCTGGAATATAGTAAAGTAGGAAGCTGAAGCAGTAATATTAAACCATGAAATAGAAAATACATGTTAAATATGGCAGAGCACTAAGATGGAAGAAATTTGGGTCACTTGCATGATGATGTGTGTGCCTATTACTAAATCTGCTTTGTTACCTGAGAGAAATACAGTCTCCTCATTAAACTAAATAATATTCACTATGACAGCATTGTTAATCTATGAGGTGCCACAGAATCCCTTATAGATTACCTGCTAAACCTGTACTTGTATCAGAAAAGGGCTTGCCCACTGAACCCAGATCACCCACAAATTGGGCTGCCATTTAACAAAACACTATCATGTGCATACTTACCCACACTCACAGACTGTTCTTGCATATGAGTTACGGTCTTCTGTGAGTTCATTACTATGAGGCAAAGATACCTAATAATGTGCACAACTCCATAAGAAAGGGCCATTTAAAACTCTTGATACTTACTGACACATTAGCACTATCACTGCTTGCAATCTCAGCTGCCTTTTCAATAATCTGTTTAAAAAAATTAAAGAAAATGAATTTTGGCTCTCATATTTGTAGAATTTTAAGTGTAAATGACTACATTTGTACTTAGACTACATAAGATCTGGCATTGCTATGCTTTGTAACAGAAACATGAATTTTAAAAGCAAAATGATGCTTCTCAAGTGCTTTAAACTCTTGACAACAGGGAAATGATGGTATTGCTATAAGGGATTATGACTCCTAGGAAGCACTAAAATTGTCTGGAGATAAAACAAGTACCAGCTAGCATATATATGTCAAAAATTTTCTTTTAAGTATAAGTAAATGTATTCTAGTTAAGAAGACACAAAAACATGTAAGAGTTACTAAATTGTAGAATAAACTTTTCTCATTATGTTTTTTCTTCAATTAACAGACACCAAAAGTAGAAGTAACGACAATATCTAACTTGTACAATTGAAGGAGATCAATAAGCATATACTTATTTACATACTTTTTGTTTGTTTTTGAGATGGGGTCTATGTTGCCCAAGCTCGCCTTGAACTCCTGGGCTCAGGCAATTATCCCACCTCAGCCTCAAGCAGATGGGACTAAAGGCTGCTGTCCCTGGCTTATATATATTCAAAGACTAAAATCTCTATCCCAAACTGATCTTCTTCAAGAAAGACTCTCCAAGAGATTAGAAAGGCAAAAAAAAAAAAAAAAAACAAAAAACAAAACAAACAAAAAAAAAAACTTATATTTGCAAATATAGGAGGCTATATTTGTAAAAGTACTTCAAAAAGCATTTCATTTGAGCCAAAAGAGCCTATAACTGTTGAACACACATCATAACTGAACATGATAATAGTCACAGCTAAAACTATTAAATATATCACGAGTAGCTATGGCTTATGGATAAATTTCTATCAAAGGAATAACTAAAGACACTACATAAACGTATTGGATGAGTCAAAATGTAGCTTTTTCTACTCAGTGTATACTAACGTATATGATTCTTGCCATATTTGAAATTTATATTATAAGCACAAAATTTAATTTGGTTGTAAATTATTGTTCAGAAAAACATGTTTAAAAAACTTGAAATAAAAAATTACTCCTTAGATGGATAAAATCCAATTATAATGAAAATGAAGAAAGAGTGAATTACATAAATTTAATTTGCTAATACTTTAAATGTACAGGTAGATTATCTTAAGTATTTATAAAGTATAATATCAATCTTCAAAGGTAGTTTGTACTCAAGCGGATTGAGGAAATTAAATAAACTTTCAGCTTATTTTCTGAACATTTTTTTTTCTCCAGAGACAGGGTCTCTCTCTGTTGCCCAGGCTGGAGCACAGTGGCATGACCATAGGTCACTGCAGTCTGAAATTCCTGGGCTAAAGTAGTCCTCCTACCTCAGTCTCCAGAGTAGCTAGGACTATAGGCACATGCCACCACACCCAGCTAACTTTTAAATTTTTGTACAGACAAGGGTCTCTCTATGTTGTCCAGGCTATCTTGAACTCCTAGCCTCAAGTTATCCTCCTGGTTCAGACTCCCAAGCTGATGGGATCACAGGCTTGAGCCATGGTGCCTGGCTCCTAAATTCTGAGAATTTGTTCAAAGATTTCCTTATAAAAATCAACACTACCAGGTGCAGTGGCTCTCACTTGTAATCCCAGTACCAGGGATGCTGAGGCAGGACAGTTGCTTGAGGCAAGTAATTTGAGGCTCAATAATTGTGCCACTGCACTCCAGCCTGGATGACAGAGAAATACTCCATTTTTTAAAATAAAAAACACCATGCCAAACCTAAAGATAAAATATATGACAGCTCAGCTCTCTTAGCATGTAAATTACCATAGCCCTATATTTAGCCCCCATTAGATAATCTCTTTATCCCCAAGACATGCAGTGTGTATATTAAAGAAATATATTTAGAAATGAAGTCCTTACTATAGATTCTATAAAATAACTACATTAGGAAGCGCCACTAACAGACATATTCAACAAAAATCAATTGTTCTTTGAGTATCAATTCTAATACAGCAGTGACTATACCTTTAATATTTGAAACAACATTTTATGTATTCAGTTACATATGAATATATTTATAGCCCTTTAAGGGCGTGAGATATTAAAAAATAGAACAATTATGATTTCTTCATTTTATAAATAAGAAAAGTGAACTCCAGAGATGCCTTTTCTCTCTCTCTTTTTTTTGAGACGGAGTTTTGCTTTTGTTGCCCAGGCTGGAGTGCAATGGCACGATCTTGGCTCACTGCAACCTCCGCCTCCCGGGTTCAAGCAATTCTCCTGCTCAGCCTCCCGAGTAGCTGGGATTACAGGCATGTGCCACCATGTCCAGCTAATTTTGTATTTTTAGTAGAGACAGGGCTTCTCCATGTTTGTCAGGCTGGTCTCGAACTCCCGACCTCAGGTGATCCACCCACCTCGGGCTCCCAAAGTGCTGGGATTACAGGCGTGAACCACTGCGCCCGGCCTGGAGGTACCTTTTCTTACTTAGTCAGTGATAAAACCAAAACTAACAGAGTTAAGAAGGCTCCCTGATCCATGGTCTTCCCACTCAACAAAGCTGTCACTGTATGGGAAGTTTTGAAAGAGACAGATAGAGCTTAAACTATACATAGAGGAACTGATCATTCAATCATTTCATGCATAGAGGTCCTTTAAATAATTAGCTTACCTTATCGAAGGGAGGGTAATAATAAGGTTGTTTTTTATTCTCTGGAAATTTAACATGCAAAGCTGTTGCATTTTCAGTATATGGATTTGTTTGAACAGTTCCCATTGGATTCAACATTTCTTCGAGTTCATCTAAAACATGCAAATAATTTTGGTTCTTAAAAAATGTCTTTAAAACTAGGCTTTAAAAAAGCTGTAATGGATCTCCTCCCATGAAAATCACCTTAGAAGTATGTCAACTACAGAAGTGTGACAGACAATTCTATCAGTAATCCTCTAATTTTCTGTTAATGCTTGGAACAAAATTTCAGTGTGAGTTTGCATACATGTTTTAAAAATGAGAAAGTTAACAAAACTGAATGACTACTTTACCTCTTAATTCAAATTTAGTTCTCAATCTTGAAAAGACTTTAATTGGAACTGCTCTCTCTCCATCAAAATTAGGTGGCCCATAGAAACTATAATCTCATCACTACATATGGACTTCTTAATCACATGTAATCTGGTTTTCATGGTTGTCACAATAACCAAATTGGTATTTTAAGTCATCAATGACATTCTTCTTATCAAATCTAACGATAATGCTCTTTATTATCCTGCAACTGCTGACAGAAAATACCTTCTCTGGTAGCCTCTGGAATACTCCATTAAGTGGCGCTCCTTTTACCTCACCAACTGCTTCTTTCTTCAAGGTACTCCTTCCTTTTCCTTTTCCACCACGCTAAATATGGTCAATTCACAGAACTGTGTGTGTGATTTTAGAATTTCAGTGTAGTTAGAAAACTCTGGAGTTCGCATCATATAATTTTTTTATTTCACAGATAAGAAACTCATGATGAGAAAATAGAGTTAGGTGTACAATCTAAGATCCTCTCTCTCCAAAGTAATTTTTCTTTTCTTATACTGACTGTAGTACAGTTGTTCTTTCTGTATCTCCTAAGGAAAAAAAATATCAGCTCTACTCTAATTAGGTCTAATGTCCATAAAGTATGCACACTCAGAATTATTTCCTAAAGCTGGAAAATCTTTACAAGTTTTCGTTCCTTAATTCTTCGTTCATCTTTTTAAATATTTTCTCACCTCACGGACTCAATTTTTTCTTTTTCTTTTTTTTTTTTTTTTTTTGAGACAGGGTTTCTGTCACCCAGGTTGGGGTGCAGTGGCATGATCTTGGCTCACTGCAACCTCCACCTCCCAGGCTCAAGTGATCCTCCCACCTTAGCCTCCTGAGTAGCTGGGACCACAGGCGCATGCCACCATGCCCAGCTAATTTTTTAATTTTTGGTAGAGACAGGGTTTCACCATGTTACCCAGGCTGGTCTTGAACTCCTGAGCTCAAGAGATCCACCCAACTCAGCCTCCAAAAGTGCTGGAATTACAGGTGTGAGCAATCACACCCAGCCCAAACTCAATTTTCACCTGGATGGAGGCAACTCTTTTTTTTTTTTTTTAATCTTCCTGTTTTTTTAGAGACGGGGTCTTGCCACATTGCCCAGGCTGGATACAAACTCCTAGCCCCAAACGATCCTCCTGCCTCAAGCACCTGAGTAACTGGGACTACAGGCACACACACACCACTGCACCTGGCTCAATTCTAATAATTTATACAACTCTAGAGCTGATTTCTCAGCAATTTACAGTTTCATACTTCTGCTCTCTAGTACTATTTTACTTTTGTCCTATCAAATGCAACCTAACTGAAATCAAATTTAGTATTTTAGTACTTATTAGCCCCATACATAGAGGTAATCCTTTAGCCTTGTTCAAAAGTGATCAGAAAAAAAGGCACTCTTTTTCTGTGTGTATAGGGAGACAGAGTCTCACTATGTTGTCCAGGCTGGTCTCAATCTCCTGGACTCAAGTGATCCTCCTGCCTCAGTCTCCCAAAGCATTGGGATTATACATGTGAACCACCATATGTGGCAAAAAAAAAAGGCATTCATATATACTACACATGGAGAGCAAAAATTGATACACGCTATTGAGGAACAATTTGTAATGATAAGAATTATAAATTTATCTATTCTTTGAATCAATAAACCCACCTCTAAGGAATTTATCTCAGATATACACTGTACATAAGCATGGTTATTCATTATAGCAGCACTGTTTGAACTATCAGAACACAATTCTGCTTAAAAAAAAAAATCTAACAGTCCAGGCATGGGGGGAAAAACAGTTCTCTACATAGATACGTAGAGAAGATATGGTGATATGTAGATATGTAGATATGGTGAATAAAGCAAGAAGCAGAACATTACACAGAATGTGTCATTTTGTGTAAGTATAGGGGGAAAAACAGGAATCGACATTTGTATTTCCTAGTCCACATAAAAAAATTATGGAAAGTTAGGAAAAAAAATAATAAACGTGATTGTATACCTTGTAATGATGACCTAGGGACTCTGGATGGTAGATTATTTGTAGTTTCTTTGCTTCTTGTTTGCCCCTACTGGGTTAAATGTAACAATTCTAGAGCTGACACATGCAGAACTAATGTGTTCATTTATTATTTTTTATCATACATTTTCTCAGAGAGGAAGTCAGGTTCATAGTATTATGCCAAGTTAACACCACCAAAAATTGTAATTTTTACTAAAAATACTAGTCAAGTTGGTTGGTGATTCTGGAGAACATGTGTGAGTCTAAATTAAGATTCTCAAGAAAGTACAGTATTTTGCTGCTATATTTTATTGTATTGTGAAAGTTTAGTTCCTCCTAAGAAATATGTCAAATAGGCTGGGAGCTGTGGCTCATGCCTATAATCCTAGCACTTTGGGAGGCTGAGGAGGTGAAAATCACTTGAGCCCAGGAGTTCGAGACCAGCTTGGGCAACATGGCGAAACCCTGTCTCTACAAAAAATACAAAAAAAAAAAAAAAAAAAGCCGGGTGTGGTGGCGTATGCCTATAGTACCAGCTACTTGGGGGGCTGAGGAGGGAGGCTGAGCCCAGGAGGGCAAGGCTACAGTGAGCTGTGTTCAAGTCACTACACTCCAGCCTGGGTGACAGGGTGAGGCCCTGAGTCAAACAAACAAACAAACAAAAAGAAATACGTCAAATATACACAGTTCTCCTACATTTGGGGAATAACATAATTAGTGAAAACTGTTAGAGGTACATGCTGGAGAGGATAGGAATAGAAGGACACACACACACACACTATTAGATTGCAAAGAGTTTATAGATATGTCAGTAAATGATTATCCAAAAGTAATTTTTCAGGTGACAACTGCTAGTACATGAACATTTTGAAATGTCACTTACAAAGCCATGAATTAAAAAATTCAAATTCAAATTAGTTTACAACTTCACTAGATATATCAACAAACTATAAAGACAGGAAAAAAGAAAAAGAAAACCACTATTATAATGCAAGATTTACACTAAAAATTCCAACATTTGGGAAAGCAGTATAGACCAATGGGAAGATTTGAATAGTCTTTCATTCAAATCCTAGGTTTGAAACAGCTATGTAAGACTAACTTATTTTCTCTGAGCTTCACTTATCTGTAAAAATGGAAATAAAACCATCTACCTCACTTGATGAGGGTATTTTGAGTAGTATTTGAGAAATAAAAGCGTGTGGAAGGTGCTCCATTTACCTCAAATTTCAGGCTAAAGCCAACTAAAGAAAAAGTGTTTTAGGCTGGGAGTGGTGGCTCACGCCTGTAATCCCAGCACTCTGGGAGGCTGAGGTGGGTGGATCACGAGGTCAGGAGATCGAGACGATCCTGGCTAACACTGTGAAACCCCGTCTCTATTAAAAATACAAAAAATTAGCCAGGTGTGGTGGTGGACACCTGTAGTCCCAGCTACTGGGGAGGCTGAGGCAGGAGAATGGCATGAACCCAGGAGGTGGAGCTTGAAGTGAGCGCATATCACACCACTGCACTCCAGCCGAGGTGACAGAGCGAGACTCCATCTCAAAAAAAAAAAAGTGTTTTTACTATTTCTCCCTAATTAGAGATGTTCCTTCTACTCATGAAGAAAGTTAGCACAATTAGGAGCAACAAAGGTTATTATAAAGAAGACACTGTTCCTTAGGAGAATTTCTCAAAAAAAAAAAGAAAAAAAAAACCTACAAAAAATGCTGAAAGCAACACACATTCATTAAAATAAGAAATATATTCAGAAATACGGCCAGGCGCGGTGGCTCACGCCTGTAATCCCAGCACTTTGGGATGGCCGAGGTGGGCGGATCACCTGAGGTCGGGAGTTCCAGACCAGCCTGACCAACATGGAGAAACCCTGTCTCTACTAAAAATACAAAATTAGCTGGACGTGGTGGCACATGCCTGTAATCCCAGCTAGCAGGGAGGCTGAGGCAGGAGAATCGCTTGAACCTGGGAGGCAGAGGTTGCAGTGAGCCAAGATCACACCATGGCACTCCAGCCTGGGCAACAAGAGCGAAACTCCGTCGCAAAAAAAAAAAAAAAAAAAAAAAGAAGTTTAGTCTATTTCATTCCTAAATATGGTATGGAGATGCATAAGATTTAAAGACAAAGCTACCCATCACAAAACTTAAAAGTTATGTCCCATAGCGAGACTAGACAATCTCTAATGAGCTAAATGAATAATTTGTTAATACTAGAGTTAACTTGTTACTAGCAAAATAATGGTACATTATTTGTTGGAAGTATGTTTAAAATACTAACTTGTTAAAATAACCGTTTAAAATACAGGTCAGTAACAGTGGCTCATGCCTGTAATCCTAGCACTTTGGGAGGATCACTTGAGGCCAGGAGTTTTGAGACCAGCCTTGGCAGTATAGCGAGACCTTGTCTCGACAAAATAAAAAAAAATAATAAATAATAAAATAAAATATAGGCCGATTTTAAACCAAAACAAAATTTGTAAAGAAATCTACTCAGAAACAAGTAATTTTATGATAATATTAAAATAATTTGTGTAAATCTATTTTAGAATAAATAATACAAAATGATAATTTTATTTATTAAATTGAAAGAACGGTGATTCATAAATATTACCTAGTCCACATGCCAAAAGTTAGTTATGCTTTAACACTAAGGATAAGAATGTAAATCTTACCAGGAAATGAAGACCAGCTGTGTAATATTATGTCTCCAGTTCTCAATTGTCCTTTAAAGTCAAAAACCATCGTATTTACCCACGCTACAGGATAATGCTGTTGAAAAAGATACCATTGCATAAATATGCTAAGAATAACTTTAAGGTGTAAACATGCACATGTCCTTTGTTTCAATAATGTTAGTTCTAGAAAGTTCTGGATGATTTCCAAAATAATCTTCTAAAATGAGAACAAGATATACATAGAAAAATGCTCACTATCTTTATTACGTTTAAGAAGAACCTTAAAACTCAATTAACATTTCATAATAAATAGTATATGAATAAAATAGAATATGGACTAAAAAGCCTTGTGAAAATGATTTTTTTTTTTTTTTTTGAGATGGAGTCCCACTCTGTCACCCAGGCTGGAGTGGTGGTGTGATCTCGGCTCACTGCAACCTCCACCTCCCAGGTTCAAGAGACTCTCCTGCCTCAGCCTCCTGAGTAGCTGGAATTACAGGCACCCGCCACCACACCCAGCTAATTTTTGTCCTTTTAGTGGAGACGGGGTTTTGCCGTGTAGGACAGGCTGGTCTCAAACTCCTGACCTCAGGTGATCCACCTACCTAAGCCTCTTAAAGTGTTGGAATTACAGGTGTGAGCCATCACGCCCAGCCAAAATGAGAAATCTTTAATAATCCAAGAAAACACGTATAATATCAGAATACTTGTTTTAAGAGCTTTCAACCTACATAAATCTCAATATGGAAGGAGATAATGTCTCTAGGCATATAAATATATCTCTAAAAAGGAGGCATTGAGCTGATAGGACTTTTATACAAACATTTAAATAGATTAATTTCACCATAGTGTATCAAAAATCTTATAATCAAACACTTTGAGGATAATTCTATATTAAGGAAGAAAAAAATACTAAGGAACTAATGCTTCTGTGACTTTTTAGTCATTAAAAGTTATTTTACTTTTAGGGTATTTTTTTTTTTTTGGAGACAGGATCTCACCATGTTGCCAAGATTGGTCTCCAACTCCTGTCCTCAAGCAATTCTCCCACCTCAGCCTCCCAAAGTGTTGGGATTACAGGCGTGGGCCACTGCGCCTAGCCTAAAAATTATTTTTAGAAGACTATATGATGATAACCAGAGGAGATGCTTATATTCCCATGTTAAGAATAAAAGAACACGGCCAGGCACGGTGGCCACGCCTGTAATCCCAGCACTTTGGGAGGCCGAGGCGGGTGAATCACAAGGTCAGGGGTTCAAGACCAGCCTGGCCAACATGGTGAAATCCTGTTTCTACTAAAAATACAAAAAATTAGCTGAGTGTGGTAACGGGTGCCTGTAACCCCATTTACTCAGGAGGCTGAGGCAGGAGAATCGCTTGATCCCGGGAGGCGGAAGTTGCAGTGAGCCGAGATCGTGCCATTGCACTCCATCCCAGGTGACAGTGTGAGACTCTGTCTCAAAAGAAAAAAAGAATAAAATAACACAAATTAATATATAGATAAATATAGTAACTAGATTTTAAAAACATATAAAATTAATGTCCCTATCCCCACCAAAAAGCTTTCAAAAAGCAAGAAGAAAGTGAAACATTTGACTGAAAACATAACATGGAAGATGAAAGTATGACAACAGGTCCATCCTCTTATATTCATAATTTCAAAATCCGAGAAGCTCTAAAAACTGAAGGTTTGTTCATAGCTCATGTGACAGCAAAAAGTGGCCAGAGATAACAAAAAGCTAATGATAGTCACATTTAGTGTGAATACTGATATATTTCACTCCAAATATTAACATGTTTGATGACACATTTATGCCCCAGACCCCACAAGATATGTTGAGTCAGTTACGACCAATGATCTTTCTAAAATACACAAAATTCTGAATTCTTAAACATATCTGTCACATGAAATTTCAGTTGAAAGACTGCAGAACTGTAAATTTTTCAAACATCATCATTCTTCATATCTTCTTAAAAGTATTACATATATAATAAAACACTTATAAAATAAACCTGCCAAAAGAAAATCCATGGTAGAAGGAGCAAGATTACAAAAAAAATGCATGAACATAAACATAAATAAATGCATGAACATAAATCTAAAGATATAAACATGGAAATTTCTTATCTTCTTAAAATCAGTTTTTAAGGATCAAAGTTACCTAATATAATTTAACTTATATTACTCAATTATTTCAAACAGTCTTAAAATTATTCCGTTATATAAAACAATCCTCAGAAGTTGGTATATCATTACCACTTTTCCAGCTTTCCTGATGGTCTGATATTTAGAGGGATTAATAGTTTTCGTTGATTTCTTCGTTTTTACTTTATCCAAAACTGCATAAACAGCAAAACATAATCGAGCCATTCTTGGTAAGTCACAAATATTAATATCAAATTCCAGTGGTTCATTCCAAATATGATCATTTTTCCCTGATACCTCTGAGCTTACGATGGTTTTACACAGGAGCTCAGTACCATGAAAAAGACCAGCCCTGACATGAACCTGTAACGAAGCAGACAAAAACAAAAACAAAGTCATGAATACTGTACCACGAAAAACATCTCTTTTTGTTTGTTTGTTTGTTTCTACACTAAAAACATCTTTATTTTGGAGAAGGAAGGAACATACTGGAAGAAGAAACATGCCAAGTTTTAGAAAGCCTACTTGTCTGCAGAACCACTAGAGTGTAATTAACCAGTATATCGTTCAGTAAACCGTAGTTAGTCTAATCTGTTTTTCACTTGCTAAGTAAACCAGCTATAAAATCACATATTGGTCCAAATGCCAGGGTGCTCAATGGTTTAAACAGGTCTAAAGAAACCGTGACAGTAAGTATAAGCATACTATCATATGCTTACTCACTGACTTCATTTACTTGAGGTCTTGTCTTACCCTTCTCTATGTGTAGGAAAGAATGAATGGATGAGATGGCTCCAAAGTTTCTTTCTACTTCTAAATAATTTATGAATTTGTCATACTAAGTCAAGAGCTAACAAAAGATATTCCATCCATATCTTGATTATCCTATATATCACGGTCCTTTGTTTTTCCCTAAAGGCCTGGGGCCAGAGTGATGCAGGGCATGCGTAAGATGTCCCAGACAATTTTACTCATTTGCAGTTTTTTAAAATATATGACCTAATTATCACCAATTTAAAACTCAGGGAGAAAGTAGAGCTAAAAACAGTAGTAAAACACAGAGATTGACCCAGTGATACACTTTTAAGGTCAAAGTTTTTATACCAGTTTATTCAGATGTGATACTAGCACACAATATTACTCAACAAATATTTACTAAACAAATGAATACATATGTGGAATTGTTTAGGCTTATCTTTCATTTTTCAAAAGCTTATCAGCAAAAGCTTTTCTAGCTAGTTAAGAGTTACCACGCCAATATTTGAAAAGGAAGATAAATACCCAAGAATATACACATACTTCATCTATAGATATTAAAATATATTCAAACAGTAATATAAAATTTTAAATACTGATGTAATCAGCAATTTTAATTATAAATATTTATAATATAATTATGAGTTTAAAACCTACTAAAATAGTTAAAACTATGTTATGCTGGCATAAATAAAACTGTAGGTTAGTAGGCCAGACATATCATAATATAGTAAAAAAAAGATGACTGACTTAATAAATAATATTCTTTTATCTAATTCCAGCTAAATGAACACAGATGGATTAGAGAATTAAATATTTTTAAATGATTAAAAGCTAAAGAAATATTATTAAAAAGCTATCAGAATAACTTTTGAATCTGGATGATGGGTTCATGGAGGTTCATTATACTATTCTACTTTTGTGTATATTTGAAACTTTTCTTTTGAAAAAAAATTAAGCTAAAAGAAAAAAATTGGTTATTCTAAACACAGATGGATTATTATAACATGATAAATATTCAAGTAACAGGTGTTACAAAGGATACTAAAAGTAGTTGCAGTAAATCCTCAGGTCACTAGGAATTTATATCTGAACACATGACCTAATTCCCTTCAACTCCAGAAAAAGGCGTAATCCTTCAAGTCCCCTGGTCCCATATTGCTCCAGCTCCCCAAGTACTGAGATGTTACTCCTTTGCTCCTCTGCATTGGAAAAATCTTCCTCCAGCAGGCTATAAACCTGTGCAAGTCTCTCTCAGATCAAACTCAAACAAAAATCTACCTTAGAAGCTGACTAACCATAATCACACATGTTCTTTCTACCACAGTGACAATGGTACCAGCAGCTACTCAGTCACCTCTGTCTCCTACTTTCAATTCATCATGAAGTCTATGCTGTATACAAAGAAAAAGTTGATTTATGATGTAACCTTAAATGAAAAACAGTATAACGCAACATACCATCAAAATACTATACTATAGCAAAATATTATCAAAAGCACAGCCAGGTGCAGTGTCTCACGCCTGTAATCCCAGCATTTTGGGAGGCTGAGGTGGGTGGATCACTTGAGGTCAAGAGTTCAAGACCAGCCTGGCCAACATGGTGGAACACCATCTCTACTAAAAATACAAAAATTAGCTGGGTGTGGTGGAGAGCACCTGTAATCCCAGCTACTCAGGAGGCTGAGGCAGAAGAATCACTTGAACCCAGGAGGCGGGTTGCAGTGAGCCAAGACTGAACCACTACACTCCAGCCTGGGTGACAGAGAAAGATTGTGTCTCAAAAAAAAAAAAAAAAAAAAAAAAAAAAAGCATGTTCACCTTGTAAACTGTGTGAAGAATACAAATAAAAGTAGTTTACAGGCTGGGCACGGTGGCTCATGCCTGTAATCCCAGCACTTTGGGAGGCCGAGGCAGGCGGATCATGAGGTCAAGAGATCAAGACCATCCTGGCCAACATGGTAAAACTCGGTCTCTACTAAAAATACAAAAATTAGCTGGGCACGGTGGCACACGCCTGCAGTCCCAGCTACTCAGGAGGCTGAGACAGGAGAATTGCTTGAACCCAGGAGGCAGAGGTTGCAGTGAGCCAAGATTGTGCCACTGCACTCCAGTCTGGGCAACAGAGTGAGACGCTGTCTCAAAAAAAAAAAAAAAAAAGAAGTAGTTTATAGTGGATAGCTGGAATATTGGTGATTGTTGTCTCCTCTGATTAAAGGGGGACAAATATTAAAATCAATGATCTTTGATTTTATTTTATATAATGTTACCTTTAAATATTTTTAAATAGCCCAGAAAGTATTATAAAATGGCTGAATGTCCAAATGTAAGACCCTATATACAGACATAACAGCAAAATGACCACAGTCAATCCAAAACTCATTAAATGAAACCATGAATGAAAATAGAAATTTTTTGTGGTTTTTTTTTAAACTTTCATTTTAGGTTTGGGGGTACATGTGAAGGTTCGTTACATAGGTAAGCTGTTGTCACAGGGGTTTGTTGTATAGATTATTTCATCATCTAGGCATTAAGCCTAGTACCCAACAGTTACCTTTTCTGCTCTTCTCCCTCCTCCCCGCTTCACCCTCAAGTAGGCTCCAGTGTCTGTTGCTTCCTTCTTTGTGTTCATAAGTTCTTATCATTTAGCTTCCTTATAAGTGAGAACATGCGGCATTTGGTTTTCTATTTCTGCATAAGTTTGCTAAGGATAATAGCCTCCAGCTCCACCCATGTTCCCTAAAGACATGATCTCATTCTTTTTTATGGCTGCACAGTACTCCATGGTGATCATGTACCACATTTTCTTTATCCAATCTGTCACTGATGGGCATTTAGGTTAATTCCACATCTTTGCAATTGTGAATAGTGCTGCAATGAACATTCGCATGCATGTGTCTTTATGCTAGAATGATTTCTATTCCTCTGGGTATATACCCAGTAATAGGATTGATGGGTCAAATGGTAGTTCTGCTTTTAGTTTTTTAAGGAATCGCCATACTGCTTTTTACAATGGTTGAACTAATTTACACTCCCACCAGCAGTGTGTATGTGTTCTCCACAACCTCACCAGCATCTCTTATTTTTTGACTTTTTAACAATAGCCATTGCGACTGGTGTGAGATGGTATCTCATTGTGGTTTTGATTTGCATTTCTCTAATGATCAGTGACATTAAGCTTTTTTGCATATGCTTGTTGGCCGCATGTATGTCTTCTTTTGAAAAGTGTCTGTTCATGTCATTTGCCCACTTTTAATGTTTTTTTTCTTATAAATTTGTTTAAATTCCTTATAGATACTGGCTAATAGATCTTTGTCTGATGCATAGTTTGCAAATATTTTCTCCCATTCTGTAGGCTGTTTACTCTGTTGATAGGTTCTTTGGCTCTGCAGAAGCTCTTACGTTTAGTTAAATCCCACTTGTCAATTTTTGCTTTTGTTGTGATCGCTTTTGGTGTCTTTGTCATAAAATTTTTGCCCATTCCTAAGTGCAGGATGGTATTGCCTAGGTTGTCTTCCAGGGTTTTTATAGTTTGAGGTTTTACATGTAAAGTAAATATAAGTGTACATTTACATTAAGTCTTTAATCCACCTTGAGTTGACTTTTGTTTATGGTGTAAGGAAGGAGTCCAGCTTCAATCATCTACATACGGCTTGCCAGTTATCCCAGCACCATTTATTGAATAGGGAGTCTTTTCCCCACTGCTTGTTTTTGTCAACTTTGCTGAAGATCAGATGGTCGTAGGTGTGCAGCCTTATTTCTGGGCTCTTTATTCTGTTCCATTGGTCTATATGCCTATTTTTGTATTAGATATGATTTTTTAAAACAACCATTTGGGTTTTTCTCCCTCTCTTTAAGCAGGCAGTTTCAGGATTAAGTAGTCACACCCTTAAGCAATCTTTCTTTAAGTCCATGTCTCTGAACTACTTTAAATGGTATTTCCCTGTGTTCCCAGAAATTAGTCAAAAAGCCTGGGCACTTTCATTTTTAGTTTCTAAAGACTATGAACTAAAGAAAATTATGAAGAAAGATTTACACAACAGCACTTTTAGAAAATCTTTATATCTACCTTATATGCTATAAACAAAGTATCTAACTTATCAGAAACTTACATTAGCTCAGTATTTTTTTTTTTTTTTTTTTTTTTTTTTTGAGATGAGGTCTCACTCTGTCACCCAGGCTGCAGTGCAGTGGCATGATCTCAACTAACTGCAACATCCATCTCCCGGGTTCAAGTGATCCTCCCACTTCAGCCTCCCAAGTAGCTGGGATTACAGGTGCGCACCACCATGCCTGGCTAATTTTTGTATTTTTAGTAAAGACAGGGTTTCGCCAAGTTGTCCAGGCTGGTCTCAAACTCCTGAGCTCAAGTGATCTGCCCACCTTGGCTCCCAAAGGTATGAGCCTTTAACACCGGTCTAGCGTGGTATTTTAAACAGCTAAAATAGAACACTAGAAAGAATAGGAATAAGTGAAGGCATATTAAGACACATTTCACTTCTCATATTCCCAATTACTTTGTTTCTCTAAATAAAAGTTTAGTTGCCTGTAAGAACCATACAACAATTATTTTCTCCTGAGCAATTAAGAAACAGCCCCATCATCAATGTCTGTATCAGCTCTGTATCATCTCCAGAGAAGTCTTTCAAGGCTGAAGAAATAATCAATTTCATAGCTTTAAACACATTACCAAAAATTCTGTATGATATTATATACTCAACATTTAACCTAAATTCCATTCATTTAAACTAAATTCATATAAACTCCCAATCTGCTCTGCAAACACTGACAAAAAAAAAGGGGGGTAGGGGAAGAAATGTGTATGTACAGTGTGAAAATAGAAAATGAGACCTGAAGAAATAGCTAGGCTAGAAAAAAAAAGCTTGGGAATCAAGCAAAGTGGTGTACTTTTTCAAGTTTCTGACAAGAAAGATACCAGTAATTGCTTTCCAAGATGTGAAGACGACTAAGTGAGAAGAAAATCACTAACAGGTATTGATGCAGGGTCCGCATGCCTGAGGCAAACAACCCATCTGACTCCTGAGTTCCTTGACCTAAATATCTCCAACTAGGTACTTCTCTCCTTCCCTTCAGCCACACAATCTCACGATGCCACCCTGAATTTGACTTCACCACACCCTAGCACCTCCAAATCACTAATTATTACATCTCAGTTTCCAACCACTTCCCACCCTGATTCCAACTTACTGTTAATACATTCCCAAAGGAAAACTTTGTAGCCATCACTAAGACCTCTATTTCAACAACCAACACCTCTTTCTCCCCACTTCTCTAATAGTTTTGTCTGCCTTCACTCTCACCAAAATTATCTGCAAGTGCCTCTCTCCCATCACACTCGTCTGGAAGTCTGTATCTTGGATAAACCTAATCACCTGCCTCCTCTCCATCCCAAATGTTTTCAGGCAGACCAGCACCATGACTGACTGTTTTCAAATGTAAAATTACTATTTCAGGCTGGGTGAGGTGGCTTACACCTGTAATCCCAGCACTTTGGGAAGCCAAGGCAGGCAGATCCCTTGAGCGCAGGAGTTCAAGACCAGCCTGGGCAACATGGCAAAAGCCCATCTCTACAAAAAAATACAAAAATTAGTCAGGTGTGGTGGCGTGCACCTGTAGTCACAGCTACTCAGGAGGCTGACGTGGGAGGATCGCCTGAGCCCTAGAGGCATAGGTTGCAGTGAGCAGAGATTGTGCCACTGCATGCCAGCCTGGGTGACAGAGCAAGACCCTGCCTCATTCAGAAAGAAAAAAGAAAAGAAAGGAAAGAAAGAAAATAAAGAAAAAACTATTTTGTTACTGTAAGATTTCTTACCTTTTACTGCTCAAAATTTCTATTACCATTTACTCTCCAGAGAGATAATAAGCCTGCAAACTACAAAAAAACTTCAAAGCCCTGTTTAAGCTACTTTTTGGGAAAATGAAAGTGATTTCATAGTCAACTAACACTCCACATATCTTCATGAAAGGTGAGTGGGGGAGAGGGCAGTGCCATCTATTCACACATGATTTCTGCTTAGAAACTTCATATCCTTAAGTTTTTTTTTTTTGAGACAGAGTTTTGCTCTCATTGCCCACGCTGGAGTGCAATGGCATGATCTCGGCTCACTGCAACATCCGCCTTCTGGGTTCAAGCAATTCTCCTGCCTCAGCCTCCCGAGTAGCTGGGATTATAAGCACCTGCCACCACACCTGGCTAATTTTTTTGTATTTTTATTAGAGATGAGGTTTCACCATGTTGGTCATGCCGGTCTCTAACTCCTGACCTCAGGTGTTCCACTTGTCTGGGCCTCCCAAACTGCTGGGATTACAGGCATGAGCCACTGGGCATGGCCAAGATGATTTAATGTTACTCTAGGCTCAGTTGATGATCCATGTGTGCATATATATGTATATACACTTTGATCTTATTTGACTTTAAATGAACACAACAAAGTCTCCACTGCCTAATCTTTCCCAAATCCAGTTTTGAATAAAAATATGCATACAGAATTTCCTGAAAAACACACAACATTTATTTAGGAAGTCCAAATATTATTCAATTAAAGATAAACCATCAAATGGGTGAATACAGTACTAAGACTGAATTAATTTGGTCTCTTCTAGAATGACTTTTTCCAGATTATACTGTCAATATTGTATTTTATGTCTACCTAGTGAAAGACATTATAAGAGAGATGAGAAGCATTATTTTGCCTACTATAATATGATGTTGTCAGAGGTGTTGGTGCTCACTACATTACTCACTGTGTCTCATTCATAAGGATTCCCTAAGCATATCTCTCTCAATTTACAGTATTGAAATATGCTACAAACTCATAAATAACTAGTTTGTTTTACCTTATGAGATTCTGAATATTATAACTGATCATGTTTTCTCTTTGCCTTGTCCACTAGGTGTAGGGCAAGCAGACAGTCAAATATGTAGCCCACATCAAAAAATTAATCACACAGGATCTAATATTATACACATACCTACTAGGAATCTTGCTACTGGGTGTTTTTTTTTTTTTTTTCTTATTTCCTGTCAATTAACTATCCTCTATTTTTTTTAAAGTCAAAACTGTCTGTATTGTATGTGCTATGTAAGAGACACACACACACACACACACACACACACACACACACGTGTGTAGGCTCACCTCAAATAATCTGTAAAATGAGATTTGGTAAATCATAAATAAAACAAAACATACATAAAATATATTTTGCATCTGTTGTATGGGAGGTTATAAGATAGGAATATCAGGATAAAAGTGGTATTCAATTCTTACTCTCGATAATCTTACCTGAATTTGTCACCTTTTTAATATGGCATTTAAATATAGTTTATGCAGAAAATTATGAATTTTACAAATGATTATTTTTCAGTGTTCTGGTGATAAAGACATTGAGAAATAAAGACAAATAAGTTCCCACCATATAATAAAGGCTCAATAAATGTTCGCTAGTATTTAAAAACAAAACAAAACAGAATGCTAGTTATAACTGCATCCAAAAACTTCTGGCAAAACTCAGGTATAGGAAATGAAGTAGAATTAGGGATGAGCTGCTATAAAAGCTCAAAAAAAAAAAACCCAAAAAACCCTGAATTATAATGGGCTAAAAAAAAGTCCCGTACCATCTGTGTGAACAGCCACAACAAAAAATGTGATCTTGAAAAGAATAACAATAAAGAATTAATCTAACTTGAGCATGGTGACAATTTAAAAAAAACAAGACCCTGAACATTCTGAAAAAATTTGTTGAAAATAAGTATCATTATTTAACAGTCAAAGTATGATTTATTTCAGGCCAAGTCATTAAGATTAGTTCTGCTTGAGAAATCTCTGTGTAATTTACCATAATTATTAAAGTTGACAAATCGTTAAAAAGAAACAAGAGTAGGAAAAAAGACCCAACTTTATAATGATGCTAAAAATTTTGTTCTCTGAATTTAGAATCTCCCAATAAAAAGAAAAGAAGCATAAAAAAAGAAGTTTTTGTTTTCAGAAAAAGCAGTAACAAAATCCATCCTCTAAATTTGTATCACATGAAATTTTATAAAAATTGTCCCATTTCCTGAAGTTTGATCTGGGTTATCTTCAATCTTGAGAAGTAAAGCATTTTAAAGTATAATTTATTTAAAGTATGATTTAAAACCTGGCACAGTGGCTCACGCCTGTAATCGCAACACTTTGGGAGGTCGAGGTGGGCAGATCGCTTGAGCTCAGGAGTTCGAGACCAGCCTGGGCAACATGGCGAACTCTCCTCTCTACTCAAAATACAAAAAATAGCCGGGCGTGGTGGTGTGGGCCTATGATCCCAGCTACTCAGGAGGCTGAGGTGGAAGGATCCCTTGAGCCTTGGGGCCAGAGCCTGTGGTGAGCCAAGACGTGTCACTGCACTCCAGCCTGGGTGACAGAGCGAGACCCCGTCTCAAAAATAAAAATAATAATCATGCTTTATACGGTTACATGTTTTATTATCCAACTTTAATAAATTTTCATGGAAACACTTCTTCACAAGCCCCAGAACATTAGGAGAGCAAAAGAAGTCAGGCTTTGACATGCAAAGGACTTGCCACTGTGCTATAGCAGGGAGGTGCCAAGCCAACACACAGACTGCATTCCTATACTCACCAATTAAAAATGTTCTGTGTTGAATAAGATATGAATTTTTTTCACATCAACATTTTAATTTCCTTCTTGTTCCACAATATGGCCAAAATCCACTACATTTTTGCCCTTAGATATTAGACACAAAAAAAGATCAGTAGCATGAATAGGTGGAAATTCCCATGTTTTGGGAATTTCCCAGCCTTGATCATTTGTAAAAAGTGAAAAACTGTCTCTTCTACCTTCATCACTTCAGACACCAAATGTGAGGGTTTTCCTACACCAACCAATTCTCCAACTCTCTGGACACCAATTGGGTATCCTACAATTCAATTTTGATGCTACCTGGACTTAGGGCAGATGCTACCAGGTTATGGCATTAGTTCCATAAGACTGACTTCCAATTCAGGTGACAATTGCAAATCTCAGGTTATTATTTGTACTTGTGATCAATCAAGGGTTCCCACAAATGCCCTCCTCAGGTTCAATTTGCTCTAACGGCTCACAAAACTCAGGGAAACACATTTACCCATTTATTATAAAGGATATTACAAAGGATAGAAATGAATAGCCAAATGAAAAGGTATATATATGTTCTTCAAGGTCCAGAAGGGTTCCAAGTGCAGAAGCTTGTCCCCATAGAATTTGGCTGCACTATCCTCTCAGCATGTGGATATATTCACTAACCCAGAAGTCCTGCAAATCCCATTATTTAGGGTTTTTATGGAGGAGGCTCCATTAAGTAGGTATGGTTATTAAGTCATTGGCCACTGTTAAGTCGGTCTCTGTCCTCCCTCCCCACTCCAGAAGTCCCGGTGTGGAGCTGAAAGTTCCAATCCTCTATTCACGTGGTTGGTTTCTCTGGCAACCGGCTCCATCCTGGAGCTATCTAGGGACTGTAAGTCTCCATTCATCTTGTCAGCATACAAAAAGACACTTCTATCATTACCCAGATTCCATGGGTCTTGAAAGCTCTTTTGTCAGGACACTGAGACTAGATCAAACCATTAGAATAATAGATGCTCCTATCACTCAGGAAATGACAAGGGACTTAAGGAGCTCTGTGCCAAAAGCCACGGCGGAGACCAAATGTATATTCTTTATTATGTCACAATTTGTAAAAAGGTAGCTTTGTTCTGACTTATGAGAAGAATACTACATGACCTTCAACTAAGGATAAAATGTTAGAGACAGTTACGTTAAAATGTATTCATTCATTGCACAAATATTTATTCAGTGTTCCAGGCACTGAAAGAAGATAAAAAGAGGAAAATACGGGGAAGGTGTGGGGGTAGGGGGTGTGGGTGTGAGGTTTGAAAATTTACCTGTTGGGCAGTGTTCAGTATTTGGGTGATAAATACACTAAAAGCCCAGACTTCACTTCTATGCAATATATGCCCAGACTTCACTTCTATGCAATATATGCATGTAAGAAATATGCATTTATACTCCCTAAATATATATATTTTTAATGTTTAAGATTAAAGATACAAGTTCCTTGGGTTATATACTTTAATAGATAAGGAGTCCTGAGACCTATATAACTAGGCTATGGGGAATTATGATGTATGACTAATACGTGTGATACAGGATATGTCTGCACTTGTATTTCTCTTGGGATTCTTGAATTTGTGTTTCTGTCTTTTGCTGACTTTGCCGATAATCTAGTTTCCTGTGATTATTTCCTTAAGTAGTCTTCCTGAACTGTACTCTTTCTCTTATTTTTCTCAAAGTCAGATTGCACAAATGTTAGACTTTCTAGTATTTTCTCACAGGTTCCTGGGGCTCTATCGAATTTTTCTCCCATTTTTCTCTCTGTTGTTCAAACTGGAAAATTTGTATTGATTAATCTTTAAGTTCACTGATCCTTTCCTTTTTCATCACCATTCTGCTATTGGGTCCATTCAGTGTATTTTTAAATTTCAGTTATTATATTTTTTAGTTCTGAATTTTCCATTTGATTCTTCCTTATATCTTCTATTTAATGGCTGAAACTTTCTCCCTCTCCAGTCCCTCCTGCTGATTTGCCCTTAGTTGTTATAGCATTTTCATAACTGCTTTAATGTCTTTGTGAGATAATTCCAACATCTGTGTCATCTCGTCACTGACGTCTATTGAACTATCATTGTCCACACAACTTCAGATTTTCCTCATTCTTTATGTGTCAACTAATTTTGAATTGTATTCCAGATATTTTGTCTATTATGTTATGAGACATTGGGTCTTGTTTATATCCTATGGAGAATGTTGATATTTTTGTTTTGGGGGACCATAGTTAGTTAGGTTCAACAGTTGGAAGTTTCCATGAGCCTTCTGTGAGCTACAGTTCCGATACCAGTTCAGTTTTCAAGTCTTCTTGCAGGGCTATTTGCATCTGTCCCATGTGTGCACTACACATTAACCAGTTTGAGACTTGGCTAATGGAATATGCCACTGTTCAGTTCTCAAAGTATGTAGACTGTTAAGAGCAGATCCTCATATGCACAGCTCAGGAATAAGCTTATAAACACAGATAACTTTAAGAGGTTGCTTTCCTGAGCTTATCTCACTCTGCAATGTTCCAAGTATTTTTTAGTAGGCTGGGGTTCCCCTTTACTTGTTATCCAACCAGAAAGCTGCGGCTTTATTCACTCACACTTCCTGCAACTATGCTAAACACTAGGGGGGTGAGGGAAGGGGAGACTTACTCCATTCTCTTGTATCTACAACTCCTATAATTGAAACGGACATTCAACTCTGAGTCTTAGGCTCTGCCTGTCCCCGCTTCTCCTGCCACTGCCACTGCTACCACCGTTGCTATTGCCACAATACTGTTCAGAGACCGGGGCAATGCAGAAGAGAAAAAAGAAACAAAAAGAGGAGAAAAAGAGGTACAATTCATACATTCTCTGAGAGTTAGAAGACCCCTTTCCCACTAGAGCTATAAACAGCTATAAATAATGTCATCTTCTAGACTTTAGGCAACACTGAGTTCAGGCTTCTGCTGAATATTAATTAAGATGTACACATGAAAGAGGAAAACACTACAAGGCTAGCCAGGCTCGGTGGCTCATGCCTGAAATCCCAGCACTTTGGGAGGCTGAGGCAGAAGGATCACTTGAGCGGAGGAGTTCAAGGCCAACCTGGACAACACAGTGAAATCTCGTCTCTATAAAAAGTCAAAAAAAAAAAAAAATTAGCTGGGTGTGGTGGTGCATGCCTGTAGTCCCAGATATACAGGAGTCTGAGGCAGGAGGGTATCTTGAACCCAGGAAGTCAAGGCTGCAGTGAGCCGTGTTTATCCACTCCACTCCAACCTGGGTGACGGAGCAAGACTGTCTTTAAAAAAACAAAAAACAAACAAAAAGCCCTACAAGGCCAAGGAAAGATTGATCAGGAAGCTATATGCTACAGAATTCCAAGCACTCCCACAGAGATGGAAGATGTTCAAGTGCCAGGGAGGCAGAGTGGTGAGTCAACACTGAACATTTGAGATTTCTGTTATAGACCTCATACAGAGTCATGTGTCCTATATGATCTCTCAGACTGCAAATACGATGGATTAGACGCCTGTGATTAGGTTATACTATATGATACTGTCAGCTTTAAGGAGGGCAGAGAATCCTCAGTGAGACTGACTTATTTGTTGAACCCTTAAAAGACACTCAGCTCTTCCTAGCAAAAGAGTCAAAGAATGAGAAAATTTGATGCGTGAGAAATTTTCCAGACTTAAAAGTTAGACAGGGCCACAGGGCAAGGATCTGAGAGCTGTCTCTAGTTACAGAGAGAAGACCCCAGCCAACAGCCAGCAGGGAATTGGAGACTTCAGGCCTACAATCACATGGAACAGAACTGGGCCAACAACTTGAATCAGTTCAGAAGCAGACTCTTTCAGAGCTTTCAAAAAGGAGTGCAGCCAAAGTACACCTAGATTGCTGAGCTAGTAAGTAAATGTTGTTTTAAGTTTATGGTATTTTGTTATCCAGCAACAGAAAACTAACATAAGGGACTACTATGAACTTTATGCCAATAAACAACAACAAAACAAATTCTCTGAAAGACAAAAATTACCAAAATTGACACAAAAGAAACAGAAAATCTGTCTACCATACCCATTAAATAAATTTTGAATTTCTTTCTTTTTTTGTTTTGTTTTGTTTTGTTTTTTTGAGATGGAGTTTCGCTCTTGCTGCCCAGGCTGGAGTGCAATGGTGTGACCTCAGCTCACTGCAACCTCCGCCTCCCAGGTTTCAGTGTTAGCCAGGATGGTCTCGATCTCCTGACCTCGAGATCCGCCCGCCTCGGCCTGTTGGTTAGGCTGGTCTCGAACTCCTGACCTCAGGTGATCCACCCGCCTCGGCCTCCCAAAGTTCTGGGAATGTAGGCATGAGCCACGACTCCTGGCTATAAATTAAGTTTCTAATTAAAAACCTTCCCATAAAGAAAACTTAAGGCTCAGCTGGCATGGAGTAAGTTCAATTAAATATTTAAGCAATAAATAATACCAGTCCAACTGGTATTTTCTGAACGTAAACTTGTTCAGAAAATAGAGAAGGCTTCTCACCTCATTATATGACCAACGTTATTCTAATACCAAAATCAAAGAAAGACATTACAAGTCAAGAACACACCAATATTCCTCAATTTTCCTTATGAGCATAGACCATAAAATCCATAACAAAATATTAATAAGTCAAATTTAATAATGTATAAAAAGGCTAACACATCTTGACCGAGTGAACATTATTTCAGAAAAGTAAGGTTGGTTTCAACTTTTGAAAACCAATGGATGCCAGGCGCAGTGGCTCACGCCTGTAATCACAGCACTTTGGGAGGCCGAGGCGGGTGGATCATGAGGTCAGGAGATCGAGACCATCCTGGCTAACATGGTGAAACCCCGTCTCTACTAAAAAAAATACAAAACATTAGCCAGGCATGGTGGCGGGTGCCTATAGTCCCAGCTACTCAGGAGGCTGAGGCAGGAGAATGGCATGAACCCGGGAGGGGGAGCTTGCAGTGAGCCGAGATTGAGCCACTGCACTCCAGCCTGGGTGGCAGAGTGAGACTCCGTCTCAAAAAAAAAAAAAAGAAAACCAATGAATTAAAATATACAAATCATCTCAAAAAATGCAGAAAAAGTGATTAACTTTTTCTTAAAGGATAAAAATTTTCAGCAAACTAGGAAGAGAATTTCTTGAATAAGGGGCATCTATGAAAAAAACTACATTATATTTAAAGTTGAAAGACTTAATGAATGCTGTCCTTTAAGATAAAGAACAAAATCAAGATGGCAGGCTGGGCATAGTAGCTCACATCTGTAATCCCAGCATTTTGGAAGGCTGAGGTGGGTGGATCACCTGAGGTCAGGAGTTTGAGACCAGGCTGGCCAACATGGCGAAACCCTGTCTCTACTAAAAATACAAAAATTAGCTGGGTGTGGTGGCAGGTGCCTATAATTCCAGCTACACCGGACACTGAGGCATGAGAATCACTTGAACCCGGGAGGCGGAGGTTGCAGTGAGGTGAGATTGCGCCACTGCACTCCAGCCTGGGTGACAGAGTGAGACTCTCTCAGAAAAAAAAAAAAAAGAAGGTCTACTATAATGGTTAATTTTATGTGTCAACTTGATTAGGTCACAGGGTACCCTGGTATTTGGTCAAACATTTTTCTGGGTGTTACTAATGAGATATTTGGTCAAACATTATTCTGGGTGATTTTGGATGTGATTAACATTGTGATCAGTAGACTGGGTAAAGCAGATTGCCCTCCCTGATGTAGGCTAGCCTCATCCAACTAGCTGAATACCTGAAGAGAACAAAGACTGACCCTCCCCAAGTAAGACAGAATTCTTCCTGCTTGACTGCCTTGTAACTGGGACATTGGCTTTTTTCCCTGCCTTGGGACTCTAACTGAAACATTGGCTCTTCCTGGGTTTGAGTCAAGCCTACCAGCCTTCAGATAGGAACTACACCCACTGGCATTCCTGGTTCTCAGGCTTTCAGATTCAGACTGGAACTCAACCACTGGCTCTCTTGGGTCTCCAGTTGCCCACCTCCATAATCATTTAAGTCAATTTCTTATAATAAATCTTCTATATTTTTTGCTTATTTATATGTGATAATATAGATATAGCTATACATATTGTATCCTATTGGCTCTGTTTCTCTGGAGAACCCTGAGTAATCCATTTACCCTTATCACTTCTATTTGAAATTGTACTGGGATTCTTAGCCAGTGCATACAGGAAAGAAAAAAGTTTGGAAAGAAAGATGTAAAGCTGCCACCTTTTTTCAGATTTTGCTTTAACATTCTACTGGAGCTCCTCACCTGTGTAGCAAGGTATATCTACAGGAAAATCATGTCATAATTACATTTAATGTACTCAAATTCAACTATATAATCCTGCTGGGGAGAAGAAAGAAAAAGAGAACTACAGTGCTAGGTACGGTGGGGTGAGGTACATACATTAAATACTACCTGTCATTAAGCCCATTAATCCTCTCCATGAACATAACAACGGCAAACAATAGAATCAATCAAGCTTGATACCTGATAGAAGTGGCAAAACATATGGACATAAAATGTCAATGACTTTATTGGGTTTCTGACCACTGACAAAGGAATAACGCATAATGCTTGAGAAAAAATAAAACACGAATGAAGGCTTCTTGGATATTCTTTAGGAAGAAATTAAGTAAAGGGCTGCAGAGAAATACCAACCATAAACAAATCAAAGAACTGATAAATTATCTACAGAAGACAAATATGATAACCTGCAAATGGGAAGAACAAGCAGAAATTCCCATTTGTTACTACGTAGATTCTATATCGATACCTATAAATTACTAAACAAAACCATATATATATATAATATTCCATATGACTTGTGGGTAGATTTGACTCCATGTGATTTTTGCCTTTAAAAATGAAATCTGGTCTGGCATGGTGGCTTGTGCCTGTAATCCCAGTGCTTTGAGAGGCCAAAGCAGGAGGACTGCTTGAGGCTAGGAGTTCAAGACCAGCATTGGCAACATAGCAAGACCCTATCTCTATAAAAATAGAAATAAAAATAAAAATTAGCTGGAAGTGATGGTGTATACCTGTAGTCCTAGCTACTTGGGAGGCTGAGGTAGGAGGATCGCTTGAGACCAGGAGTTCAAGGTTACAGTGAGCTATGATCATGCCACTCAACTAGTGAGGGTGACAAAGTAATACCCTGTCTCTAAATAAATAATTTTTTTAAAAAAAGAATAAAATCCTCAAGGAAGTCTACTATTTACTAATCCAGAGGACTGTCCAGCACATATTATAAAGTGAATAAATCAAGTTATAGAACAATGTACATAGTATCATCCCTTTATTAACAAACCATTTGACAAATCACAGAAATAAACACAACCAAAACCCCTTTAATTCCATATCATATGTTTATATATATTTTTATAAACCTGGAGGACATTCACAAAGCTTGTTAACTTTGAATCCCTTATGATGGTAAGGAGAGACCAGTACCTTTTTTCTTAATCATGTTTGCACTTTTTCTTTTCCTTTCTTTTTTTTGGGGGAGATTGGGTCTCACTCTGTCACCGGGGTGGAAGGCAGTGACACAATCTCAGCTCAGGGGCAGCCTCGACCTCCCAGGCTCCAGCGATCCTCCCACCTCAGCCTCCCTCATAGCTGGGACTACAGACATATGCCACCATACCCAGCTAAGCTTTGTATTTTTTGTAGAGATGGGATTTCGCCGTGTTCCCCAGGCTGGTCTTGAACTCCTGGACTCAAATGATCTGCCCGCCTTGGCCTCCCAAAGTGCTAGGATTACAGGTGTGAGCTACCACGCCCAGCCTGTTTGCACTTTTTCATTTGTTGCAACAATTAGTCTTGTTATACTTTTGCAATTAAAAAATTTAAATTAAAAGATAAAAACAGGATTACCACTAAAATAGAAAACAGAGGTTAACCGGCCATAAACATGCTCATTAAAAAGAAAAATCTAGGCTGGGCGCAGTGGCTCACACTTGTAATCCCAGCACTTTGGGAGGCCACAGCAGGCGGATCACGAGGTCAGGAGTTCGAGACCAGCCTGGCCAATATGGTGAAACCCCATCCCTACTAAAAATACAAAAATTAGCCAGGTGTGGTGGCGTGTGCCTGTAGTCCCAGTTACTGGGGAGGCTAAGGTAGAAGAATTGCTTGAACCCGGGAGGCAGAGGTTGCAGTGAGCCGAGTTCATGCCACTGCGCTCTAGCCTGGGCAACAGAGTGAGACTCCATCTCAAAAAAAAAAAAGAAAAATCTAGCTGAGGATATAAAAGCAAAGCCTTTATTTTAATGATAGCTACTCAAAGAATCTTCTTCTAAAATTGCATATATTTAAGGTGTACAACATTGATGTTTTAATATAGAATGAAGTGCTTGCTACACAGTCAAGTAAATCAACATATCCATTACCACACACACTTTTCTTTTCTGAGGAGCGGTAAGAGTACCTAAAATCTACTTTCCTAGCAAATTTCCTGTATACAATATTATTAACTATAGTCTTCATGTTGTATATTAGATCTCCAGAATTATTCAACCAAGATAACTCTTTGTACCTTCAAATTATTTCTCTCAACTTTTTTCACAGCCTCACCCACTTGTCTAACACCAAAGGCGGTAACCACCCTTCTACTCTCCCCCAAAATCTTTAATACCCATGTACAAAAGCAAGACATTGGTAATTTTTGGCAAGGGGCTCCTGAATATATCTTCAAGCAACAAACATTTCAAACAAACCAAATCTCTTTCTTGGATCACAAAAATTATTCACTTAATTTCCTACCCAGCAAATTAGGGAAAATAAATGCTTTATACTCTGAGACAAAATGCTTTGTTAAGTCTTTATTTAAATGTATGGGATTGAGCAATAAACCCCCATGTGTTAACAACTTGTGGTCCATAACGTAGTAATCTATTTTCTTCCAGGAAATGGTATTACATGTTCTCTGTGCTCAGTTTAAAAGGAAAGAAAAGAAAAAAAAAAAAAAAAAAGACTGAAAGAGGGGTTCAGTGCAGCTCTAGGCAAGGCTGAGAGAGGAGAGTAAGCTTGCATAAAAACATGAGATCTATAGTTTTGGCTTAACTTTCACTTGCTGAAATTTAACATATTCATCATCACATATAGTTACCTTTGTTTTTTTTGAGTAAGGAGTGGTAAGAGTACCTAAAATCTACTCTCCTAGCAAATTCCTGTATAAAATATCATTAACTATAGTCTTCGGGTTGTACATTAGCTCTCTAGAATTATTCAACCAAGATAACTCTACTTTGCACCTTTGAATTATTTCTCTCAACTTTCTTCACAGTCTTACCCATCTATATTATATATTTCTTCTATATAATATATAGAAGAAATATGTAATATATACTGGAAAAATAATGTCAATCTTTCCAGTAGATCTCTAATGATTCAAAAGTCTTTGAATTTTAAAACAAAATTTTAAAATTTTAAAACAAAAATTCTCAATAGTCTTATAATAAATTACCATATTCTATATCATGTAATTGATCAATATGGGTAAAATTCAATCTCCAATGTGACATTATTGAGCATATCAGTGAGTTATTCAAATACTGGAGCGGATGGCAAATTCAAATCTTAGTGGGTACTCACTTTTACAGTTTCCTCTGTGTTAAGTTTATTTCCCTTAACCAAGACAATTTGGAAAGGGTTGTTATTTTCCCAAACATGCTGTAAAAGAATAAAATAAATACAAATTATTTTAATGAAAGAAATGAATATTCTATGCTAGCAATGCAATTGTCATCAGTTCTAATGTCTATTGGCAAAACTATGAAAATAGAGCTCTAAACTAACAACTGAAAGTCACATATACTAAATTAAGCATTGACCGGGCGCGGTGGCTCACGCCTGTAATCCCAGCACTTTGGGAGGCTGAGGCAGGTGGATCATGAGGTCAGGAGATCGAGACCATCCTGGCTAACACGGTGAAACCCCGTCTCTACTAAAAATACAAAAAATTAGCTGGGCATGGTGGCGGGCGCCTGTAGTCCCAGTTACTTGGGAGGCTGAGGCAGGAGAATGACATGAACCCGGGAGGCGGAGCTTGCAGTGAGCCAAGATTGCGCCACTGCACTCCAGCCTGGGCGACAGAGCAAGACTCTGTCTCAAAAAAAAAATTAATTAATTAATTAAGCATTATAACCCCTAGCACTTGGCTTTCATGGCAAAACATAGGCAGCATTCCACTAATGCTAAGAGATTTCACTAAATTAAAAAGCATTAACAAATAGTAATAAAAGCTTTGTATAAATTAAGAGCTGACCATTTATATTAATATAGAAATAACATCATCAAGGAGTAGTTCAATATACAATTTGTGACGACTGAGTAACTGACTAAAAAGTATTAACTGTTCAAATAAAGACAAAGTTAAAATTTGCTTTATACAAATATATTACATTCTGAAAAACAATAGTGCCCTTCATATATGTTTAGTACTAAAAGAATTCAGTATTAAGAAGGCAGGCAAATTATACCAAAAATACTACCATAGTTAAGCTGATAGAAATGAAATATACTGGTTAATTCAATTATTTCTGCACATCTAACTTTTCTACTAGGATGTCTCCAATTACTCATTGAAGTCCTATATTTAAATCAAAATCTCTAATTTGATGGCATTTTTCTTCGGCAGAAAAAGACATCAAAAATATAAACGGCATATTTACATTTAATTGTGGCTTGAGTAAAAATAATAGTATCTAGAAAGATAATTTTTAAATAAATGGTGATCGATTTTTGGCAAATATGTATTGGTTTTCACAGAAGGAGAAGTGAGCAAAGGAAATATGTGTGAAACTTATGTAAACTAACACAATCACATGGCTTTTGGGGTTACTAAAGGTTCAGAAATAAAACTTACAGAAATAATTCGTGTTTTCTTTGGTGGTAATGGAAGAGGAAGATTAGATGAATTTCGATTTATGGCAGCCTCTATGGCAATCATTTCTTGTTCATACATTTTCTTGATCTTGCAGCATTCCACAAGTATAAAATGGGGCAGGGCTCTGTTCATCACACAGTTCCGGATATACTATAGGGGCAAGAAAGGGGAAGGTATTGATTTTCATGCCAACACCTAAATCAATAGAATAAAATGAAGCTGAACAACACTATATCAAATGCACTGTGAAAGTATGTCTTAAACCACAGCAGAATATCAAGAAATTAAAAAAAAAAAATTTTTTTTTTTTTTTTTTGAGACAGGGTCTATGTTGCCCAGGCTGGAATGCAGTGACACGATCACAGCTCACTGCAGCCTCAATCTCCTGGGCTAAAGCAATCCTCCCACCTCAGCCTCTGGAGTACCTGGGACTACAGGCACACACCACCATGCCCAGCCAATTTTTATATTTTTTGTAGAGACAGGGTTTTGCCATGTTACCCAGGCTGGTCTTGAACTCCTGAGCTGAAGTGATCTGCCTACCTTGACCTCCCAAAGTGCTAGGATTACAGGTGTGAGCCACCAAGCCCAGCCTAAGCATATGAGAATTTTAAATCACAATACAAAAAATAGCTATCATTAACTGAACACCTAAGTACCTAAAGAAATGAGTTAGATGATTATTGTATGTTACAGCTAATCTCATTACACTCATTTAACATATTAAAGAAATGAAACTCAGAAGGGTTAAGTTGCACACCTAGTATCTGTAAAACCTAGATTTAAACCCATTTGTCTAACACTAAAGTCATACTTCAGCCATACTTTCAGCTTGGCTAGAAAAGCTGAATACGTGGTTCGCATGTGGCAGATTCACACTTTCTATGGATCCCTGAGATGGCCCCTTTCCATCACAGAGCTCTAGGCAAGTATTACCAGCCGTCTTCCCATCAAAAACCTACCGATCATCCCAGTTTGATGTTCTATTTTCACAAAACTAGAATGACTCTCCAGAGGCATATAAGAAAAGGGGTGATTATTCATATTACCAAAGATTCCTAACAAAGTGAATAGGAATCCAATGTATTCCTCAGAAGAATGAATTTCCTATACAGATCCAGAGTGTGATTCAATGTATCGTAATTCAATTCAGAACCATTAAAAATACATTTTTGTCAGAGAAAAAAAACTTCCAGAATGTCTCTCAGAAGTTATATATGATATTATGATAAATATATTCATCCAAAAACTTTTCACTATGAAAGATCCATTTCTCTCACATTCCTTTGCCTACACTGTATATTCTCTCTCTCTCTCTCTTTTGTACAGGGTCTCTCCTGTCTAACCCTGCACAAAAACACATACATGCTTCTGTTTTTCTTTATAATAATAGAGGATAATGCTGGTAAAATATACATTCTCCTTTACACCTCTTAAGGTAAAAAGAAATGTTAAATTAAAGAAACAGAAATCTACTTGAATGATGGCAGAACATGAAGAAAAGTCAGTACTTCTATGTTGCCCACCAAGCATTTTTCATCTTGTTTCTTCTTATGGACTAGAGTTCAACAGCTTACTATCAGAATACCACAACTCCCAAAGCTGTGCACATAAGTTATAACTGCTCCTGGACCTTATATGTACTAAACCACAAAAATTGAGGGCCACACCAGAAACCTGAGAAGAGGTGTAACATCATGTTATCTGCTAATAAATTGCAGCTCCATATTCTCAAACACATATTACTTTATAATTGGCATGCCTATACCCCTCTTGTTTAAACAACAACAACAATAATATCACAAAATAACAAGACTTTCCTAAAATTCTGTAACTACTAACCTCTAACTGGGCACTTATAATAATATTCCTTACATAATGACTATTTTTTAGTCTCCAAGATATTTCAACAAAAACATCTTCAAGTTACTTGAAGGCAAAGCCAAGGACCTAGTCTTTAAACAGTATACCTTATAGGGAGAGGGGTGCTGCACTGCACATAGCATATTTAAACTCCACTTTACTCCAAAAATAATCTGGGGCAATTCAGTGCCGTATAGAAGCATATTCTCAAAGAATTCTTAATTAAATGAAAATAAATAAATACCCGAATGATTAATAAAGGCTTTTGAGAATGGTCAAACCTAATGCCTGCAAAATTCTTGCCATTCATGGAAGTAACAAAAAAGGGGCAAGGGAAATTCCACGCATAAATATTTCAGACTGGAATTGAAAAGTTTTCCTTTAGTTAGCTAATGGATAATCACAAATAAGTTTTTATACAATTCAATGGATGACCATTTAATCGATTTTTAAATACTTTACCTCCCCCAGAATATTTCACGTTTATACTATATGATGAAATAGAAAGCAGCTATAAGTGTTAAAAAAATTCATAATGATATAAGACAATAATTATAAGGCTAACTAAAACAATCAAAACAGCCGAATGAGCCGGGCACAGTGGCTTATGGCTGTAATCTCAGCACTTGGAAAGGCCAAGCAAGTTGGGCGGATCACTTGAGGCCAGGAATTTGAGACCAGCTTGGCCAAGATGGTGAAACCCCATCTCTACTAAAAATACAAAAAGAAGCTGGGCATGGTGGCGCACACCTGTAATCCCAACTACTCGGGTGGCTGAGGCACAAGAATTGCTTGAACCTGGGAGATGAAGGTTGCAGTGAGCCAAGACTGCATGCCACTGCACTCCAGCCTAGGCGACAGAGCAACACTCTGTCTCAAAAAAAAAAAAAAAAAAAAAAAAAAAAGCAAAGCAGAATACAAACATATACATACACATATTTGTCTGTACAATCATTATGCTAAAATACAAACATAACTGCAAAAAGTGACAAAAACATGCCAAAAGGGTAACAATGATTATCTCAGAGGTAAGTACTATTATGAATATTTACTATTTAATACTGTATAATTTTCTGTATATTCCAAATGTTCCAGTGTGGGAACACATTTTTAAAGTCAGAAATAAAATATATATATATATATATATACTCATAGACTTTTCTGGTAAATTAATAGTTAATATACATACCTGGAACTGAATTAGTGGATGATCACCAAAAACATATTCTACTCTCCCGCTGACTTGCAACACATAATCATAGGGGCTAACTTCATCTTCCTTCCCATGAATAGTCAAACGTTTTTGGATTGCCAATTCATTTACTTTGATAGGATTCATATTAGGAGACACTTGAAAGCTAAACACGTCCTGAAGGGGGAGGGAGATGGGGAAAAAAGCAGTAAATGTTATATTTATGCTGAAAAATCACATTACAATCATTATGTAATAATATGTACAAATGTACATAATATTTATATGGGTACATCCTTAACAAATTTTATATGGATGCATATTTAGAATGTAGACAAGTTTACTGAAAGATAAAGATTTCTGATAATTTGAAAGTCATCTTACTGTATTCATAGTGCACAGCTTCCACAGGTAAGATTAATATTTAACTAAAGGTTACCATTAGGCATTTTCCAATGAACATCTCATCTTTTTTTTTTTGAGACAGAGTCTCACACTGTCCCCCAGGCTGGAGCGCAATGGCTCGATCTTGGCTCACTGCAACCTCTGTCTCCCAGGTTCAAGCAATTCTCCTGTCTCAGCCTCCTGAGGAGCTAGGATTACAGGCGTGCACCACCACGCCTGGCTAATTTTTTGTATCTTTAGTAGAGACAGGGTTTCACCATGTTGTCCAGGCTAGTCTCAAACTCCTGACCTTGTGATCCGCCTGCCTCAGCCTCCCAAAGTGCTGGGATTACAGGCACGAGCCACCATGCCCGGCCACATACTGCAGCTATATTTTGTATATATATTTTTAAAAACTTACACATTTCTCACTGGTAAGAAGACAGCCATACTTTATACGAATTAAACCATAAATTAGCAATTACGTCCAATTTTAGAGACATGTAAATAGAAACATATAGAAATTCTAATCAATTAAAAATGAAGATATAGTTTGGAATCGATATAGCATTACCAAATCTGTTCATCATAAGACTGAATGATACAGTTAACACCTGAATCCTCTCATAATCTAGCAAGGTAATTTTTCATTATATGATCATATACTAAAGATATAAGAAGCTATCTCCCAAAGCAACCAACTGCTACTCTGAACAACTAACTTATTGCTATTCTCTATACTGACCTGACATCAATTCCATAATATTTTCCACTAATTTAATTTAAATAAATCACTCCCCTGAATTTAAGATGTCTTACATTCAAACTTTTAAAAACTAAACTTACTATTTCACATCTATTTTTTCCAGTATTTTACTTGTTCTTCTGTGTTTTCTATGAGTTGGTGCCTGCCATAGACTGAATGTTTGTGTCTCCCCTGGCGAATTCATATGTAGAAACCTAATCTCTAATGTGATGATATTTGGAAGTGAAAACTTTGGGATGTGATTAGGTCATGAGGGCAGAGTCCTCATGAATGGGATTAGTGTCCTTATAAAAGAGACCCCAGAGGCCGTGCACGCTGGCTTACATCTGTAATCCCAGCACTTTGGGAGGCCGAGGTGGGCAGATAATGAGGTCAGGAGATCATGACCAGCCTGGCCAACATGGTGAAACCCTGTCTCTACTAAAAATACAAAAATTAGCTGGGCATGGTGGTGCATGCCTGTAGTCCCAGCTACTTGGGAGGCTAGGCAGGAGAATCACTTGAACCAGGGAGTCGGAGGTTGTAGTGAGCTGAGATTGTGTCACTGCACTCCAGCCTGGCGACAGAGCGAGACTCCGACTCAAAAAAATAAATAAAATAAAATAAAATAAATAAAAAAGACCCCAGAGAGCTTCATCTCCTCTTCTGCCATGTAAGGACATAGCAAGAAGACAGGTACGTATGGACCAGGAAGCAATCCCTCATAATGAACTAGTGCCTTGATCTAGTACTTCCCAGCTTTCAGAATTCTGAGAAACAGGCCAGGTGCAGTGGATCACACCTATAATCCCAGCATCTTGGGAGGCCGAGGCGGGCGGATCACTTAAGCTCAGGAGCTCAAGACCAGCCTGGCAAACACGGTGAAACCCTGCCTCTACTAAAAATATAAAAAATTAGCCAGGCATGGTGGCCCCTGCCTGTAGTCCCAGCTACTCGGGAGGCTGAGGCAGGAGAATCCCTGAACCAGGGAGTTGGAAGTTGCAGTGAGCCGAGATCGTGCCACTGCACTCCAGCCTGGTGTCAGAGTGAGACTCCATCTCAAAAAATAAAAAAAAAAAAAATAAAAGAGACCCCAGAGAGCTTCCTCTCCTCTTCTGCTACGTAAGGACATAGCAAGAAGATAGTTATGTATGCACCAGGAAGCAATCCTCATAAGACACGGAATGAACTGGTGCCTTGATCTTGGACTTCCCAGCTTCCAGAATTGTGAGAAACAGGCCAGGTGCAGTGGCTCACACCTGTAATCCCAGCACCTTGGGAGGCCAAAGCGGGTGGATCACTTAAGCTCAGGAGTTCAAGACCAGCCTGGCAAACACAGTGAAACCCTGCCTCTACTAAAAATACAAAAAATTAGCATGGCGTGGTGGTGCCTGTCTATAGTCCCAGCTACTCAGGAAGCTGAGTCAGGGAATCCCTTGAACCTGAAACGGGGCAGTTGCAGTGAGCCTAGCTCATGCTACTGCACTGCAGCCTGGACGACAAAGTGAAACTCCGTCTCAAAACAAAACAGAACAAAACAAACAAAAAACCCTACAATTGTGAGAAATAAATTTCTGTTGTTTATAAGCCACCCAGTCTATGGTATTCTGTTACAGCAGCCCAAACAGACTAAGACAGTGTCACACACATCAAAGAACACAGGCTAGGATGCTAGGAATCATTTTGAGAAGTCGCATGCCTCCTCTTTCCTCCTTGACCTCACCTCCCAGTAAGACACCAATGATCTTATATCCTAATAGTTTTCCCATATTTCAAGCAGTTGTTCATTATCACTTTCAATGACTTCATGAAATATTGTACCTTTTTTTTTTGAGACAAGGTATCCCTCTGTCGCCCAAGCTGAAGTGTGGTGGCGCAATCTGGGCTCGCTGCAAACTCCGCCTTCTGGGATCAAGCAATCCTCCCACCTCATCCTCCTGGGTAGCTGGGACTACAGATGTGCACCACCATGCCCAGGTAATTTTTGTACAGATGGGGTTTCACCATGTTGCCCAACCTGGTCTTGAACTCCTGGGTTCAAGAGATCCTCCCTGTTCAGCCTCCCAAAGTGGCTGTGCGCCACCTCACCTGGTAAAGCCAGTGTTCTCAAGTTGAACTCTCATCACCTTTCAACAGTAAATTCCCCTATTCTACCTCTCTTGACCACGGAGAATTCCTTAAACAGTATTGTAAATTTGACCTTGACATTTTAATGATACTCAAATCTTGACTTAAATTGAACTTTAGACTCAACGTATCTCAGGACAGAATGACAAATGGTGTTTTTCCCTAGATAAACTTACTTGTTTAGAGAAAATGCCTGAAGGCAGAATCTTTTTTTCACATCTGTCCTAACAAATACTTATTAACATGTTGTCTAAAAGGAGGCAAAACTGGGTAAAACCAGAGACACCTGGATGAAATCCTGGCTCTACCACTGACCAGCTATGAGGACTGGCACAAAACACTAAACTTGTCTTCCTTTCAGTCTCTTCACTGTAAGATGGGGGAAAGACAACAACGCTTGTAAGGTTGGTGTGGGAACTGGAGAATATATGAAAAATAAGCCATACCAGGAATTATGCAGAATAAGTGCTCAACACAGAACAACGACTGTTAAGTCATTGAGCACTTACCCTGCATAATTGGTTGTTGTCATTGCTATGGTTATTCACAGTAATTCAAGAACAAAACAAAACAAAACATCTGGCTGTGTGCAGTGGCTCATGCTTGTAATCCCAGCACTTTGGGAAGCTGAGGTGGGTGGATCATCTGAGGTCAGAAGTTTGAGACTAGCCTGCCAACATGATGAAACCCCATCTCTACTAAAAATACAAAAATTAGCCAGGTGTGATGGCAGGCGCCTGTAATTCCAGCTACTCAGGAAGCTGCGGCAAGAGAATTGCTTGAGACTGGGGGGCTGAGGTTGCAGGGAGCCAAGATTGCGCCATCGCACTCCAGCCTGGGCAACAGAGCAAGACTCCGTCTAAAAAAAAAAAAAAAAATCCTTGAGTTTCTACCTTAATCTAATGCCAGACCCTAGATGCTAGAACCACTATACTTGATACAACAGTAGTAGCATCATCTAGTTTGTATAATTGCTATGAACATTCAGAAATGGATGGGCTGTATATCAACTCTATTATAATGCCTACTTCCATATCATTAATTAATTCACATAGTCACAGAATGCAAATTTAAGAATATGGAAACAAAGAGACCATTTTGATTAGGCTTTCATTTCTACCGATGGGGGAGAAAAGTCACATGAGAAAAAAATATTTCCAATAAGGAACACTATCTAGACCAGCAACTGGCAAACTTTCTCTGTAAAGGACCAGGTTTGGCAAACAACATACAACACAGTGGTCTCTGTTGCATATTCTTTTTACTTCTTCTTCTTTTAAACATCCCTTTACAAATCTTTGAGGTTTTTTTCTCTTTTTAACATCCCTTTAAAACTGTAAAAACCAATTAAACAGTCCAGTTTGCCAATCCCATTCTAAATCACCATTCCACTGTATCAAAACAGATACGTGTACAGAATATCACTTTAGACTATTATATATAATCCTAAATACATTTCTATCTGAAATATAAAATTGTTCTTTCTAATAGTGTTTGCTAGGCAAGCGACAGACACTTCTAAAAATGCAGTTGTATTCGGGTAAAAATGAGAAATTTATTACAAAATATTTCTTAAAAAAATATAATCCTACCTGGCAGTTTTCAAAATGAACAGCTACGATGAGCTTTCCCCCATAAAGTTTATCTTCTAAGTTTTCAGGGATGGATGGTTCATGCTCTGGTGGATATGTTTGTTTTAGCCAGTCCATCCAAGACAATCCCACAAGTGACAGGATTTTTTCCTCGCTGAATTTGCGCATTTTTCTTCGAAATTCATTTACTTCAGGATCCTTCAAGGAATCAAATTCATGCAGACCTAAACACATTTTTTAAAGGTGTCATTTTCAGTAACTAACAATAATAAAAGAATATAGAAAGAATACAAAGTATATTCAACAAAAACTAACTTGGATGTTGGATGCTTGGCTTTTATCAAGCAGATGAAACTAGGGAGGAAAATACCATTAAAGATCAAAAAACCCAGATAAAACAATAAATCTCATGTACAGAAGACAAACATACAATTATATTTTTTTAAAAAATACAACTCAAAACCTCATAAAGAAATGTAGTTTGCCTACCAGTTTTACAAAGTAATTCACAATACATATTTTAAAGCCACACATAAAAGATTCATTGTTTTTATTTACAAACCAAGTATTAATAAATCACATTTAAAATATGTGAGAAAGACTAAGAATCTGAAAAACAGTTTCAATACTATATTAGAAGAAAACTAAGAATCAAGTTATTATTTCACCAAAACTTGGTATACTATGGGAATGGCTACAATACACAGGGGCAGAGGGAATACGGAAAATCTCTGTATCTTCCTCTCAATTTTGCTGTGAACCTAAAACTGTTCATAGTCTTTAAAAAAACAAAAACAAACCAAAGAAAACCTAGTACACTTAAATTTTATAGACTGAATTTTCAGTTCATTGTGATTTTTAAATGGTTATCATATATTGTTTTAGTTAGTCAAAAATCCCATAAACATAAAATTGTTCTTTATTGTTTGGTTGATTCTCAAACAACATGGTGGATGGGGCACCAACCCCCTACAGAGGAGAAAATTCACATATAACATTCATTCATTCATTCATTCATTCACTGAGACAGAATCTTGCTCTGTTACCCAGGCTGGAGTGCAGTGGTGTGATCACGGCTCACTGTAGCCTTCATCTCCTGGGCTCAAGCGATCCTCCCACCTCAGCCTCCCAAGTAGCTGAAATTACAGTCACAAGCACATGCCACTATGTCTGGATAAATTTTTAGTAGACATGAGGTCTTGCTATATTGTCCAAGTTGTCTTGAACTCCTGGGCTCAAGCAATCCTCCCACCTCAGTCTGACAAAGTGCTGGGATTACAAGTGTGAGTCACCATGCCCGGCCTACATGTCCCTTTTGACTCCTGAACAACTTAACTACTAATAGCCTACTTATGACCAGAAGCCTTACCAACAACATAGTCAGTTAACACTTATTTTGTATGTTATACATGTTATATACTGTATTCCTAAAGTAAGCTAAAGAAAATGTTAATTATTCCAGCACTCTTCTGATTAGAAAAAAAGAAAATGTTATTAAATAAATCACAAAGAAGTGAAAATATATTTACTATTTATTAAGAGGAAGTGGATTGGTCGGGCGCAGTGGCTCACGCCTGTAATCCCAGCACTTTGGGAGGCTGAGGCGGGTGGATCACCTGAGGTCAGGAGTTCGAGACCAGCCTTACCAACATGGAGAAACCCCATCTCTACTAAAAATACAAAAAACATTAGCCAGGCGTGGTGGTGGGTGCCTGAAGTCCCAGCTACTCGGGAGGCTGAGGCAGGAGAATGGCGTGAACCCGGGAGGCGGAGCTGGCAGTCAGCCGAGATTGTGTCACTGCACTCCAGACTGGGTGACAGAGCGAGACTCCCCCAAAAAAAAAAAAAAAAAAAAAAAAAAAAAAGGAAGTGGATCACCATAAATGTCTTCATAACTCATCATCTTCACACTGAGTAGGCTGAGGAGGAGGGGGAGAGGTTAGTCTTGCTGTCTCAGGGGTGGCAGACACAGAAGAGTGAAGGAGGTACAAGGGGAGGCAGCAGACGCAGGCATACTGTATGTAACTTCACAGATATACATCATAATTTCTGACTTCTTTGCTTTTTCTTTTCTGTAAAAATGTTTATCTGTATAGTACCAATCCTACCACTGTTTGCTTTAGTTTCAGTGCTGGTATCATAGAAGGGGCCATATTATAAAAGAAGTAAAAAGCATTCTTGAATAATCAGAAGCCTTCTGTCAGACTGTTGCATGTGAATTTGTTTTCGGGCACTGTTTCTTCTACATCTTCTTCCTCATCATCTGGCACTGCTTCAGAAGCACTCATCTCCATGAAGTTGTTTTCTGTTAATTCCTCTCATGTGGTGTTTATTAGCTCTTGGATTTCTCCACGATCTGTATCTTGAAACCCTTCACCACCACTGCTGCCTTTTATGCCATACCACAATCTATTTCTTAATTTCCTTGATTGGTTCTGTTGTCAATCCTGTGAAGTCATGTACAATATCGGGACAGAGATTTCTCCAACAGGAATTTACTGTTTTGGGTTTGATAGCTTTCACAACTTTTTCTATATGAACGATGGCATCTTCAGTGGTGTAATACTCCCAGACTTTCATGATGTTCTATCCAGGTTCTCTTTCATAGAGTACCATGAGTAATGAGCCTTAAAGGTCCTTATGACCTCCTGATAGGCTAAATTAGAGATGTTGTGTTTGGGGGTAAGTAAATCACTTTGAGGCTTTCAGTGTTGAACTCAGGGGGTTCTGGGTGGCCACGGGCATCATCCAATATCAAAAGAACCTTAAAAGGCAGTCCCTAGGCTGGGCACAGTGGCTCACACCTATAATCCTCCTGTCATCCTAGCACTTTGGGAGGCCAAGGTGGGGGGATCACTTGAGGTCAGGAGTTCAAGACCAGCCTGGCCAACATGGGGAAACCCCATCTCTATTAAAAACACAAAAATTAGCCAGACATGGTGGTGTGTGCCTGTAATCTCAGCTACTTGGGGGGCTGAGGCAGGAGAATCGCTTGAACCCAGGAGGCGGAGGTTGCAGTAAGCCAAGATCGCACCCCTGCACTGCAGCCTGGGCGATGAAGTGAGACCCCATCTCAAAAAAAAAGGCAGCCCCTTACTGGCAAAGTAGTTCCTGACTTCAGAACAAAGCAGTGATGGAACCAATCCAGAAAAAGGGTTCTTATTGTCCAGGTCTTCTTGTTGTACAACCAAAAGACTGGCAGCTGGTGTTTCTTTTTCCCTTCGAGGCTTGGGGGTTAGCAGCTTTACAAATAAAGTGTATCACAAACTAGTCTGCATTTGCACAAAACAGTAGTTAGCCTTCCTGTCTTAAATCCTGGTGCTGACTTCTCTTCCTAATAAATGACCTTTGTGGCATTTTTTTTCTCCAGAATTGGGCACTTTGATCTGCATTAAAAACTTGTTCAGGGTCAGACAAGGCAGCTCACACCTATAATCCCAACATTTTGGGAGGCCGAGGTGGGAGGATTCCTTGAGGTCAGGGGTTCGAGACCAGCCTGGGCAACATAGTGAGACCTCATCTCTATAAAAAATTAAAAATTAGCTGGGCATGGTGGTGCATGCCTGTAGTCCCAGCTACTCAGGAGGCTGAGGTGGGAGGATCACTTGAGCCCAGGAGGGCAAGGATACAGCCTGGGCAACAGAGTGAGATCTTGTCTCAAAAACAAAACACTAAAAATCTGTTCAGGCAGGTATCTATTCTCCTCAGTGATTTTTCTTAATGGCATCTGGGAACTCATCTGCTATTTCTAGGTCAGGAAAAATAACTTCTCCTGTTACCTTGATTTTTTTTATGCCAAACCTTTCTAAAATTGTCAAATCGGCCGGGCACGGTGGCTCACGCCTGTAATCCCAGCACTTTGGGAGGCCGAGGAGGGCGGATCACGAGGTCAGGAGATTGAGACCATCCTGGCTAACATGGTGAAACCCCATCTCTACTAAAAATACAAAAAAATTAGCCAAGAGTGGTGGCGGGGACCTGTAGTCCCAGCTCCTCGGGAGGCTGAGGCAGGAGAATGGCATGAACCTGGGAGGTGGAGCTTGCAGTGAGCCGAGATCACGCCACTGCACTCCAGCCTGGGTGACAGAGTGAGACTCCGTCTCAAAAATAAATAAATTAATTAATTAAAAATAAAAATAAATAAAAATAAAATTGTCAAACCATCCTTTGCTAGCATTAAAATTCTCCTGTACTAGATCCTTCAGTTTCTTATTGCTTTGTCACATAACTTTGCCTTTTCTTGAATCAGATTAGAGTCTATTGGTATGCCTTTCTTATAGCAATCCTGCACCCACATACAAGCTGCATTTTTACTCTGAGATAAAAAGGTGATTCACAAAAAGTGCAAGGTTTAGCACCTGCTGACATAGCTGCGGCGACAGTTTCATGAATTTGTTTTTTCACAATGGTACTTATACTGGATTGATTTATCTCGAAATGGCAGGCAACCACAGCTGCAGACCTCCATCTACAGTACATATCAAGCTATTCAGCCTTTATATATATATATATATATATATATATATATATATATATATATATATATATATATATATGGCATTTGCAGGCACAATCACAGCACACTAGTACCTAGAACTCCTGGGCTTAAGCAATCCTCTTGCCTCAGCCTGTGCACCCAGCTGCATTCAACTTTTTTCTTATAATATCATGACTTTTCTCTGTTCTTAGAAGTACTTCCAGGATCACAAGTAGCATTTTGTATGGGTCCCACAGTGTTATTCAAGGTTTGCAGTATTCCAGTAAACACAATTTAAAAAATACATGAGAACTCGGAGAGATCCCTTTTTACTGCAATATGCAATTTACTAGACAGAGAAACTGCTCAAGTGGAGATGATTAGAGTCACATGGCATTTCTGAGCATATGCTCACAACACTTAACCTCACCACAATAGCAACAGGAGGTGGCTGCAAAATTATTACAGTAGTATAATACAGTTAATTTTATGCAGTTATGATTTAATACTGTATCTTTACATTTGTTTGCACTTCTTTCAACTGCAAATGGCACCATGTATGGTTGTCTAAATGTCTGTGTATGTAAGTTTTGAAATTTTAACTTTTTATAATAGATTTATGTGTATTTTATGGTAGTAAATGATACATACATATCATGCATTAATGACACTTAACTTTTTAATTTTTTCACTATTTCTAGGCTGTGATTCGTCTGCAAGTTTTTTCAAATTGTCACAAATCTCAAAAAAAGTTTCAATATACGTATTAAAAAATATCCACGTATAAGTGGCCCTGCACAGTTCAAACCTATTGCTGAAGGATGGGTTGTACTTAATTTTTAGTCACTTCTGCCATTAAGACAATTATATATGACAACTTTTTCAAAAACTTATGATTATTCCAGTAAATAATTTTAGAAATCTAAAAGAATGAATCAACATACATAAATGTTTATGTGTGCATTTATTTTTACCTATCAGGTTGGCACATATTTTAAAATTTGATAATACCCTGTGCTGGAAGGGGCAGAGAGAAAAAGGCATTCTAGTATAGTTTTGTTGAGAAACTACATTAATATGAACTTTTTGGAGGGCAATTTTGCAATATTTATTAGAAATCATACACACACACACACACACACACACACACACACACACACACATCCTTAGACCTCACAATTTTATCAATCGTAATCTCAACCTGAGAGATTCAGGACCAACGAAGAAAGCCAAGTATACTAACCCAACACCAATCACATAAGATGCCTTGCTTCTAATTAGCCCACCTCCAGCTCCCTGCTGCCAATAATTTCCCATCAGGCATCTCTGAAACCTTCCCTTTTTTTTCACTGTAAAGCTTTCCCACTCCCCTGCCTGCCTCTGAGTCTCTGCCAAGCTCAAGTTCTTTTACTATAGCAACCTCTGCATAAATAGTCTCTGTTCTCATCTGAGTGGTCTTTGTTTATTTCTACAAACCTATGGATATACTATCAATATATGAATATTTGCTGCAGTTTTGTGTATAATAATTAAAATGTAATCTAAAGGCCATCATTCAGGACTGGTTAAATAAAGATACATCCATGTATCATTATACAGTGGTGCAGGAGATAAAAATACAATCAATCTTTGTGTTTTTAAGGGCACCAGATATTTTTTAAAAGTAGGTAGAGAATGGGTCAGGTAAAATCCCTTTTCTGAAAATTCAAAAGGAAGAATACAGAATATGCATAAGTTTTTGTTTTGGATACTTGAGATGACTCTATTGCTAGTGGTATTTTGTAGTATTAGGGAGGAATGCACAGTGAGGAAAGTTACTTTTTATTCCATAAAATTAATCTATACTATACTATTTGAACATATGCATGTCAGTAAGGGTTGCATTGTCTTTTTACTTTTATGCACTGAAAACAATAGTTGTTATTTCAAAAATATATCCTAGAATCAATTTTGTGGTATTAAATATAGAAAAATAAAACACAGCAAAGGTATAACACAGCAAAGGTAAAATGATTTCCTGGATAGTTTTAGATCTGGAATAAAATACATTACTCTAAATTAGCTATGAATGGACTGTAATTTGGGTGGAATGGCTGAAGCATTTTAGTGCACTGTTAATATTCATTCTATTCACAGGCAATAGGTATTACAGGTGACGAAAGGGAAATAAGTACCCAATAATATATACATCTAACAAAAATCAAATGCTTTATTTCCCTTAATCTGCTACAAATCATGTTTAACCCACCTTCTAAATGTCTCTCAACTCTGTCCACTTCTCTCAATTCCTGTAAACATTAACCTAATCCTGGCCATCATCACCCTTCCTTTGGGTTACAACATTTTTTCACTAATTTCTCTATTCAAATTCTTAATCCCTCCAATCCACTCTTCATTCTACAACCTAAATAATCTTTCTAAAATGCAAATTTATCACGTTACTCCCCTACCTATATTTCTTCAATAGCTTCCCAAGTGTTCTTAGTAGTAAAGCTCTACTTTTTACATGGCCTGGATGGCACTGTATGCTCTGCAGATGGCTGCCTCTCTAGTCTTTCCTAGTTGTCCTATCTGTCCCCCTACACCACCCATAATCAATTTCTTTTCCTTGAATAGGCCATTCTTCACATGTGCCATTTCTTTTTGTTTTTTCCTTTCTCCACCTCTCTTTACCTGCCAAATTCCTAATCAGCATTGATGGCTCAGTGTAGGTATACATCTTCTAAGAGGTCATCCCTGATTCACCTAATTGATTTAAGGTGACTTTCCTTTTCAAAAGTTTTGTTTTTCATTAATTGGCAAATAATAATTGCATGTATTTTTGAGGTACAATGTGATAGAGTTTTTTTGTTTGTTTGAGACAGGGTCTCACTCTGTCGCCCAGGCTGGAGTGCAGTGGCATGATCACAGCTCACTGGAGCCTCAACCTCTGGGCTCAAGCCAAGTGATCCTCCCACCTCAGCCTCTCAAGTAGCTGGGACTACAGGCACACACCACCATGCCTGAGTAATTTTTTGTACTTTTTGTAGAGATGGGGTTTTGCTATGTTGCCCAGACTGGTCTCCAAATCCTGGGCTCAAGTGATCCACCCACCTTATCCTCCCAAAGTACTGGGATTATAGGAATAAGCCCCCAAGCTCGGCCAATGTGATGTTTTGACACATGTATACATTGTGGAATGATCAAATCTGGCTAATTAGCATATCTATCACCTCAAATATTTATTATTTCTTTGTGAAGAGAACATTTAAAAATTCTCTCATAAATATTTTGAAACATACAATACATTATTATTAACTATAGTCACGGTGCTATGCAATAGAATGGGGGTGGGGGTGGTTTTGGGATGAAACTGTTCCACCTCAGATCATCAGGCATTAGATTCTCGCTCATTAGGATCACACAACCTAGATCCCTCACATGTGCAGTTCACAATAGGATTCTTCGCATTCAAGCTCCTATGAGAATCTAATGCTACCACTGATCTGACAGGAGGCGAAGTTCAGGTGGTAATGCTCACCCAACCTGCTGCTCACCTCCTGCTGTGCGGCCTGGTTCCTAACCAGCAACAGGGAGCAGAGGAGAACCCCTGCAATGGAACACCAGAACTTATTCCTGCTAACTGAAACTTTGTACCCAGTGACCAATGTCTCCCCTTTCCCAGCCCAATACACCCCTTTCTATGCCCCCAACTGGCTCTGCTAACTACCATTCAACTGTTTACTTTGAGTTCAACTTTTTCAGATTCCACATTTAAGTGAGATCACACAGTATTTGAAGGTGACCCTTTCTGACATAGCATAGCAGTTAATACATTGCAATAAAACTGTGTTTACTGATCCTCACTTCCCACTGGATTGTGAGGTCTAAGCAGAGACCATATCACCCACGGTCACTGGTAAAATTTCAAGTATAAACACTCAATACTACTGAACTGCAATCACTAATGTTTTGGTAATGTTTTTCAATATATTATGAATAAGGGACCCTGTTCATGTAACTGTTAGAATCACATAAAAAAATACAGCTTTCATTTATTCCAGACACACTGAATCCCAATCTCTGAGCATATTCATTTTAAGAAACTGATACAATCTAAATTTGGGAACCACCATAAAGATCTCTTAAATACAGAAATTTTAGGCCGGGCGCAGTAGCTCACGCCTGTAATCCTAGCACTTTGGGAGGCCGAGGCGGGCGGATCACGAGGTCAGGAGATTGAGACCATCCTGGCTAACACAGTGAAACCCCATCTCTACTAGAAATATAAAAAATTAGCCAGGCATGGTGGCAGGTGCCTGTAGTCCCAGCTACTCGGGAGGCTGAGGCAGGAGAATGGCGTGAACCCAGGAGGTGAAGCTTGCAGTGAGCCGAGATGGCGCCACTGCACTCCAGCCTGGGCGATAGAGCGAGACTCCATCTCAAAAAAAAAAAAGAAATTTTATCAAAAATAACGAACACTTTAAGCTAAGTAATTTAATTTTAAACCTAGTTAATACCCTACATACCTTCTTCTAAGAGAATCTAACAGCAAAGCTTAAATTTTCCTTAAGGCTACTGTAAAATTTATAGTCAAATATAATTTTTATATTTAAAAAGTACTGAGTGAACAATTTATTCATACTAAAGAGGGTGTTAAAATCCTACAGACTAGGTCGGACATGGTGGCTCACACCTGTAATCCCAGCACTTTGGAAGGCTTAAGGTAGGCAGATCGCTTGAGGTCAGGAGTTCGAGACCAGCCTAGCCAATGTGGCAAAACCCCATCTCTACAAAAAATATAAAAATTAGCTGGGTGTAGTCATGCAATCCTGTAATCCCAGCTACTTAGGAGGCTCAGGCATGAGAATCACTTGAACCCAGGAGGCAGAGGTTGCAGTGAGCCAAGATCACGCCACTGCACTCCAGCCTGGGCAACAAAGTGAGACTCTGTATATAAAAAAAAAAAAAAAAAAAAATCCTACAGACTAGCTATTTCCCTCACTTAAGGTATACCACAGGTTTAGATAGGTCAGGAGAAATAAGGGAGTTTACAAATATGTTTTTCAGAATGCTAACAAAATCCTCTGATTACGATTCTTTTACTGAGTGTTTGGAGAAATTAATATGGGGTGGCATACACCTTACTACAGAGAACAAACAGAACTCAAACAACAGCTCTGTAAATAATTATTTGGAATAAACACAGAAAAAAAAAAGATTAGCCACATCATCTTTCAGGAAAAGGTATTTTTAGCCTAGTCAGGGCAATTACGTCTCTAAAGGTTCTATTGTTTTCTTTGGAGAGAGGAGGTGGCAACCTTGTTCCTAAAGTTAAACTGAAATAATTGTATATTTTTTCCCAGGAGGCATGGCCTCATCAAGCCATGGTCATCACAGACAAATCAGCAACTGCAAAAATTGACTTGACTTCTCAAGTATTAAAAGTGAAAATTCATTCTTAAATACACAACTTACTCAATTTCTTAAATAAATGTTAACATTTAAATTTGTGTATATAATCAAAATGCCAAAGAATACAAAAATTAGGTGGGCGTGGTGGTGCATGCCTGTAGTCCCAGCTACTTGGGAAGCCAAGGTGGGAGAATTGCTTGAACCTGGGAGGCGGAGGTTGCAGTGAGCCAAAAAGGCGCCACTATGCTCCAGAGTGGGTGATAGAGTGAGACCTCGTCTCAACAGAAAAAAAAAAAGAAAAAATTAAATTCATTAGTCTAATATAGATTATACCCCTATGCTATGGTAGGATAAAAGGTAAGGTTGCCAGGTTAAAAAAAAACAGTATGCGCAATTCAATGTGAATTTTAGATAAACAATGAATATGTTTTTAGCATAAGCACAGCATATGTAATATTTCAATCTTCAATATTTTTATTTGCCACATTTGGCAGGCATAGGAAGAGGTAATGGTGGCCAATGAATCCATGTTTTGGTAAATGTTGGGAAGGAGGTAAATTTCAGAGAGATACCAATGCCTTGAAGAAACTTGGCCCACATCCTGGGTAACACAGTAAGATTCCATCTCTACAAAAAAAAAGAAAAAATTAGCCAGACTTGGTGGCTTGCACTCAGCTACTCAGGAAGCTGAGGTGGGAGGATCACTTGACCCTGGGAGGCTGAGGCTGCAGTGACTGGTGGTTGCACCACTGCATTCCAGCCTGGGTACAGGGCAAGACCCTGTCTCAATTTAAAAATAAAAACAAAAACAGCTGGGCGCAGTGGTTCACACCTGTAATCCCAGCACTTTGGGAGGCCGAGGCAGGCGGATCATCTGAGGTCAGGAGTTTGAGACCAGCCTGTCCAACATGGTGAAACCCTGTCTCTAATAAAAATACAAAAACTAGCTGGGCATGGTGGCAGGTGCCTGTAATCCCAGCTACTCAGAAGGCTGAGGCAGGAGAATCTCTTGAACCTGGGAGGCAGAGGTTGCAGTGAGTCAAGATTGCACCACTGCACTCCAGTCTGGGCAACAGAGTGAGACTCTGTATCAAATAAATAAATACAAATAAAAATAAAAAGGCCAGCACAATGGCTCACACCTATAATCCTAGCACTTTGGGAGGCAAAGGCAGGTGGATCACTTGAGCTTAGGAGTTTGATACCAGCCTGGGCAACATGCTAAAATCTACATGGGCATGGTGGCATATGCCTGTGGTCTCAACTACTCGGGAGGCTGAGGTAGGAGGATCACTTAAGCCTGGGAGGTTGAGGCTGCAGTGAGCTGAGATCGCACCACTGCACTCCAGCCTAGGTGACAGAAAGAGACCCTATTTAAAAAAGAAAAAAAAATCAAAAAGAACATGGCCTACTCTGTGGTACTTTTTGGATTAACAAATATTTTAGCTTCCCTAAAAATCAATGTGGTTCTGGTTTGCTTTCTTACATTAGCATGAGAATACAGAAAAGCTAAGTATTTTAATCCACAGAAACAAAAACAAATAAAAGCCTTGAAATACATATAATTTATTCAAAAGAAATATATCAAAATATTGTCGGTCAATATACTTGTCCTGGATGATAAGACTATAAGTGATTTTTTTTCTTTCTTTCTCCTCTTCCATATATTCTTCAACTTTTTATGGGCATGAGAACAAAGGGAAAACCTTTTATAATGGACAAAAATTTAAATTCTATAAAAATATTTGGGCCAGGTGCTGTGGCTCTGAAGGCTGAGGCAGGCAGACAGCTCGAGTCCAGGAGTTTGAGACCAGCCTGGGCAACACCCTGTCTCTACTATAATAAAAATACAAAAATTAGCCAGGCATGGTGGCTTGCATCTGTATGTAGTCCCAGCTACTTAGGACGCTGAGGTGGGAGGATCGCTTGCGACTGAGGGTCGAGTCAAGGCTGAAGTGAGCCATGATCGTACCACTGCACTCTAGCCTGGGCAACAGGGCGAGACCTTGTCACCAAAAAAACAAAAACAGAAACAAAAAACAAACAAAACAAAACACACCTTTGTAGCTCTAGAAAATAGAAAGGCATGCTTTCTAATAATGCTTTCTAATTATATGTCACTAATATATAAGAAAAAATTTTGTATGATACATAACTATAAACTTGTTAACTGGGAAAAATTTATTGCCAAAAATAAACTAGCCACCCTCTGAAGTAATCAAATATTTTTAAATATCAGAGTATCCCTTAGTAAACTAACAAGGTTCTATGCACTCAGAGGGAGTAGTCCCACAGTATAATCATTAGCTAGCCTGAATTATTATAGGGTTAAGATCAAAGAATAGTATTTTAAAGGGGATGGTACTATATTATCCTATAACAGTGAATCTGATCAATACAGGTACCCAATCTAGATACATAAATCTCCAGTGGATTTTCTGGTTTTGTATTTAAACTATAAAGTCCCCTCCTCAGTAACCTTTTGTAGTTCCTAATTCAAGTCAGTACCCTCTCTAAAGCAAGATATTGATAAAACATTAGCCCCTGAGACTCCTAATGTTATATAGCAAGAGAGACTCCTCCATGTTCTTGATTGTGTTACTCACAATTTTCCATGGAATAAATTTGCAAGGAATAATGTGGACATGATATTTCCTGACTCTCTACCAAAATAACTTCTACTTAAAGATAATTTCAGTTAAGAAGTAAAATTTGTCAATAATTTATTTATGGAAACATCAAACAGCTTAAAGTCTTGGTTGGCATAGAGAGTTGTGTATAAAATATGTTCATTCTATAGGAGCAGTTCATAAGAAACTAAGGATAATGTCTCCTTTAGTCAAGGACTTCTCAAACAATCTGAGGTAAAGCAACAACTTTTTTCTTTCCAATCCATCAAAGATCAATATTTTTGTAAAATAAAAATAAATCAGCCATGCACAGTGGCTCATACCTGTAATCCCAGCACTTTGGGGGGCCAAGGTAGGAGGATCACTTGAGCCCAGGAGTTTGAGACCAGCCTGGACAACACAGTGAGACCCTGTCTCTATTTTTAAAAATTAAATAAATAATAAATCATTAGACAACAAAAACATATACTAAACATAAGCCCTTGGATGCTATGGCAATATCATATTGCTAAAGGGGTTTCTAAACATTTATTCTCAATTTCTATACTTACCTTATCTCAAACTGGCAACAATTTACAGATCAGCAGTGGTCCATGGACCACACTTTGAAAAGCAATGTCTTAAATATACTTACTATATGTTTATATAAATAGATATATTAAGAATTTGTACTTTTTTTTTATTTTTTAATTTACCTTTTCCTATAAGGACTCCAATTTTTGAGTCTAATTTTTCCCCTGGGTCACAACTTCTTGTCACTAATTTGAGAACTGGAAGAAAAGGTCTGACATCACAGAGTCTTCGTGTTTCATCTTCAAGCTCCTCATATACAGCAGTCTGATTCACACATGCAAACATATAGGAGTCAATATCCATAAGGAGGTTGAACATTGGGTAATTGTGAACTTGCTTCCATAACATCTATGAGAAAAAATAAGACATTTTCTGGAATGGAAACACTTGCTCAAGTGTACAAAGATATAAGGATGCTCACTGCAGCACTGTTTGTAAAAATAAAAAACTATGAACAAATCAAATGTTTAGCAATAAAAGATTGGTTAAATGAATTATAGAATATTACAGAATGGTGAAAATAATAGAAATATATTCAGAAAAATAGAAAAAAATATAAATTCATTCTGAAATGGAAAACCATACAAAATATTCAAGTTTTCTTACAACAGCAAATTATAGGAGAGTATATATGGTATTATCCCATGTTTGTAGGGTAATATAATGGCATAGTGCACAAAAAATGCATTATAAATGAAATTACTAAAAGCAAATTATCTATGACAAGTAAGACTCAATGAAAACTTTCATATTTCACTTTCCTGTAAGCAGAAACTACTGATCAGGAGTAATCAAAAAAAAATTTTAATTTAAAGTATGTATCACCACCTCCATACAATATTTAAATTATTTTTGTCCTGCACTCTTTTCTTTTATCAGGGGTATCCTTACTAACACTGTCCTGTCAGAATGATCATAATCAATCTCTCAACATCTCTTTCCATGTCTCCTGGATGAGATAATATAAAAGAAGTTCACCACACAAAAACAAAAAGGGATTGCATATTTTGTTAACAGCCAGTACAAAAGCTAAGAGCTGAAAATAACAGACCTGAGTTAAAAATTGTGGCCAATCCTCAGCTCAGATTCAGTTACATAAAACATACAGGAGAAAGTACAAGCAACAACAATAATAATAATGATAGGTAAACTTTTCATTCTAAAGGCTCAAAATAGTAACATTAAGAAAAAAAGGTAAACTGAACTTCACCAAAACTTAAAACTTCTGTACAGCAAAAGACATTATCAAGAGAATGAAAAGGCAACCAACAAAATGGGAGGTAATATTTGCAAATCATATATATCTGACAAGATATTAATATCCAGAATATATAAAGAACTCCTACAACTCAATAACAGAAAACAAAGTTTAAAAATCAGTACAGGTCTAGAAAAGATAATTCTCCAAAAAACATACAAATGACCAACAAGCACATAAAAAGATGCTCAACATCATTAGTCATGAGGGAAATGCACATAAAAACCACAATGAGGCTGGGTGCAGTGGCTCACACCTGTAATCCCAGCACTTTGGGAGGCCATGGTGGGCAGATCATGAGGTCAAGAAATCAAGACCATCCTGGCCAACATGGTGAAATCCCATCTCTACTAAAAATACAAAAATTAGCTGGGCATGGTGGTGTGCACCTATAGTCCCAGCTACTCAGGATGCTGAAGCAGGAGAATCACTTGAACCCAGGAGGCGGAGGTTGCAGTAAGCCAAGGTCATGACACTGCCCTCCAGTCTGGCGACAGAGCGAGACTCCGTCTCAAAAAAACAAAACAAAAAACAAAAAAAAACCCACAATGAGATACCACTTCACATCCATTAGGATGGATACTATTAAACACACACACACACACACACACACACACACACACACACACACAGAAAATATGGCAAACAAGATCGTATCTCTTAGACAAACAAAAAAAGGAAAGAAATAATGTAAGAAAAGAGGAAGGAAGAAAGGAAGGAAGAAGGGAGGGAGGGAGAGAGGGGAGGGGAAGGGAGGAGAGGGAGAGGAAGGAGGGGAGGTAGGAAAAGAGGGAGGGAGGGAGGAAGAGAGGGAGGGAGGAAGAGAGGGAGGGAGGAAGAGAGGGAGGGAGGGAGCGAGGAGAAAATAGCATGTGTTGGCCAGTATGTAGACAAACTGGAACCCTTGTACACTGCTGGTCCCAACATTATATGGTGCAGCCACTGTGGAAAACAGTGTGGCAGTTCCTCAAAAGTTAAAACATGGAATTACCACTGTGAACCAACAATCACACTTCTAGGTATATACCCAAAAGAACTGAAAGCAGGAATTCAAACAGACATTTATACACCAATGCTCAGAGTAGCATAATATTCACAATAGCCAAAAGCTGGAAGCAACCCAAATGTTCATCAACAGATAAATATACAAAATGTGGCATATACATACAATGGAATATTATTCAGCCATAAAAGGGAATGAAACTAGGATATATGCTACAACATGGATGAACTTTAAAAACACTATGCTATGCAAGCCAACTACAAAAGGATAGCTATTTATTGTATGTTTCCACTTATATAAAGTACCAAGAATAGGCAAACTGGTAGAGATGGAAAACAGAATAGAAATAAAAAGGAATTGAGGGAAAGGGGCAGTTATGGGTATGAAGTTTCTGTTTGGGATGATGGTTAAGTGCTGGAAATGGATACTGGTGATGGTTGCACAGCACTGTGAATGCACACCTAAAAATGTCTAAATAGTAAATTCCAGGTTATGTATATTTCACAATTAAAAAGAGATAAATGGTTAATCTAATGTGAAGTATAGCCATAGGAATCCATACTTGTCACTGGTGACTATAAAAATAGGTGCACCATGCATGAGCGTATGAGATGCTTAAGTCAATTCTGTATTTTCTTTTTACTTTAAGGATCATGCCATTTTAGAATTCCAGTTTCTCTAATGAAGAAGCTTGGAAAGGAGTTAAGAGGCTTGTCCAAAGCCAAGAGTTTTCAGAGGTATATCATAAATATGTTTTCTTAAAAATACCGTAACTCCTGATATTCACATTGGGTTCAGCTTTTTGAAAAACATTAGAAAGAAAGTTTAGAAAAACAAGTTCATGTATATGCTGGTTTTTACAAATCAACGGTGCTCATCAATTTACTTTAAAAACTAATGCAACAGAAAAGGCAAGCCTGCTGAGGGAAAAATATCTGGTGAACAGCAGAAAAGTCTTTCTTCCCCCAAGAGTCAAGGAAAGGGGGAAGAGAAGAAAAAGGAGAGAAGAGAAAATGAACCAAAAATCACATTTTTAAAAGTGTGACAAGCTCAAAGACAGTAATTTCAAAGACGAACTCAAAAGAAAATCTTCTTGACAGTTTTAATAACCCAAACAAACATTTCAAACTAGCTAACATAAACTAATTTTTCTTAATTACCATCACTTCATTACTATCATTATCACATATAATTTACATTAACATTTTCTATTATAGAATGATATTTCCCCCAAGTGACACAGTATGCTAAACACATAGAAATTATACCTATTAACATACCTGCTTAATATAAGAAATGGTAGCTTCCCGAGGTACCTCCAACTGGATATAAATCCCAGTGGGCAAAAGGAAATCCACAGGTATGGAGCCATCAGATGCTATCTGTGAATCCACCGCCCAGATGTCAAGGATGTCTGCCATAGCAGGAGGCATTATGAAACTGAAGCACATTCATAACCACGGGGCCCTAGAAATCAGTAATTAAAACATAGCAAAACAACCATCAGCCAAATTTTATACCAAGATATGATAAAGACCACTAATCTACAATTAGTCCTTAGATTTCAATATAGCCAATAATGTAACAGGAGGCCAATTAAATAATGTGATATTTTAAAAACCAAGAGTAAGTCAGCAGAAATAAATTATTTAAATACACTTTTATCACTTCACAAATTATATATATGTACATTATCCAATCCATACCACCAACTAAAGGAAAAAAATTATTCTTATATACATATAAATAAAAATATATACACATACATATGTACACACACACACACCACATTGATTCAAATTCAACATAGATATTTGACATCTGAATAAACTGCATGCTTAAGGATTACAGGGTCCTAAGAAATTTAGTTAACCAGCACTTGACAGGTGATTTTTCTCCAAACTTTATTTAGAAAATATTAGCTTCTTAGGCTGAGTTTTTCTCTGCAAATTCCAATGAAAATGACAATCAAGAGGGCCCTCTCTCAACAAGAACAATTTGCAATCAAGAGGGCCCTTTCTCTACAAGGACAATTTTTTTTTTTTTTGAGATGGAGTCTCTCTCTGTTGCCTAGGCTGGAATGCAGTAGTGACATCTCAGCTCACTGCAAGCTCCGCCTCCCAGTTTTACGCCATTCTCCTGCCTCAGCCTCCCGAGTAGCTGAGACTACAGGCGCCTGCCACCATGCCTGGCTAAATTTTTTGTATTTTTAGTAGAGACGGGGTTTCAACCGTGTTAGCCAGGATGGTCTCGATCTCCTGACCTCGTGATCCGCCCGCCTTGGCCTCCCAAAGTGCTGGGATTACAGGCGTGACCCACCGTGCCCAGCCAACAAGGACAATTTTCTATCAACCTCACGGCCCATCCCCTAAGCATTAAAAACACCAAATCGCTCAATACAGATGGCAAGGCCCCTTGTGCTATTTCTCTGGCCTATTTTTCTTGCTCTCCCATCACTCTACAGCCCGAGACTGGTATCACAGTGCCTTCTGCCTTCCTGCTGCTAGACCTATGTTCACATGAGGAATAAACTCCTCATATCAAAACAAACGCACTATCCCAACAAATGCACCCTTTAATAGTGCCATTTAAGTCTTACCTATTCCTTAAGGGCTTCCTTCAAGAAGATACAACAATAATAATTGGAAGAACATGAGCGCTAAAGTTAAATGAACCAAGGTTCATTTAACAATTATGCCATTAATGAAAGTGTCATATCAAAAGAGACAGGAGGCCGGGCACAGTGGCCCATGCCTGTAATACCATTACTTGGGGAGGCTTAGATGGGTGGATTGCTTGAGTCCAGGAGTTTGAGACCAGCCTGGGCAACAAACAAGACCCTGTCTCTACAAAACATACAAAAAATTGGCCAGGCGTAGTGGTGCATACCTGTAGTCCCAGCTACTTGGGAGACTGAGGCATGAGGATTGCTTGAGTCCAAGAATCTAAGGCTGCATTGAGCTAAAATAGTACCACTGCACTCCAGCCTGGACAACAAAGTGAGACCCTGTCTTAAAAAAATAAAAATTAAAAAACAATTTTTAGAACTTCTTTTGCTAATAAATGGAAAAAGAATAATAAATTAGAAAATCACAATTCTGCAAGTGCTAATGAACTAACAGATCTAGGCAATGATCATTAATAGATGCTAAAGACATAAATAATAATAAGGTGAAAGGAGAAGAAACTTTACAATCGTCCGTGTCTGTCTTGTTGACACTACAGGAATCCCCTGATCTTAGCATTACTAAAAGTGGGACTATCAGACATTATGTGTCTCCTCATGAAATGCAATAGTCAGTACTTACCATTCACACAAAACAAAACTGAACTTGAATCTAATCAAGGCTTTAGATCTGATCTATGTGCTAGTTTACAGGAAACAGAGAAAAAAGTTAAATACTTCAAGGAAGCAATCAGCCAAGTAGAGAATGTGGCATCTTCAATAAAACAAATTATATGGTTTCTCCAGCTAATCAATATCAAGAAGAGGAGGAAGAAGATGGTGGAAGGACTGTTAAAGAATTTAAAAAACACTTAGGAGACACAGCCAAATCCAATGTTAGCTGGAACAAATCAACTATAAAAAACTATCTTAGCCAGGCACTGTGGCCCATGCCTGTAATCTCAGCACTTTGGGAGGCCAAGGCAGGTGGATCACAAGGTCAGGAGTTCGAGGCCAGCCTGGCCAATATGGTGAAACCCCATGTCTACTAAAAATACAAAAATTAGCCAGGCATGGTGGCGGGTGCCTGTAATCCCAGCTACTCAGAAGGCTGAGGCACGAGAATTGCTTGAACCTGGGAGGCAGAGGTTGCAGTGAGCCTAGACAGCACCATTGCACTCCAGCCTGGGCAACACAGCGAGACTTCGTCTCAAAAAAATAAAAATACAAAAATTAGTCGGGGGTGGTGGCGTGTGTCTGTAGTCCCAGCTACTCGGGAGGCTGAGGCAGAAGAATCACTTGAACCAGGAAGGTGGAGGTTGCAGTTAGCTGAGATCACGCCACTGCACTCCAGCCTGGGCAACAGAGTGGGACTCTGTCTCAAAAAAAAAAAACCAACTATCTTTGGGCCAGGCACGGTGGCTTATGCCTGTAATCCCAGTACTTTGGGAGGCCGAGGTGGGTGGATCACCTGAGGTCAGGAGTTTGAGACAAGCCTGACTGACATGGCGAAACCCTGTCTCTACTAAAAATACAAAAAAATTAGCCAGGCATGGTGGTTCAAGCCTGTAATCCCAGCTACTCAGGAGGCTGAGGCAGGAGAATCGCCTGAACCCAAGAGGTGGAGGTTGCAGTGAGCAGAGATTGTGCCATTGCACTCCAGCCTGGGCAACAAAAGCAAAAATCCATCTCAAAAAAAACAAAAAACAAACAAACAAAACCTATCTTTGAAATAATCTGGGAAATTTAAATATGGATTCATTATAAGCTCCTTGAGGAGATATAATGTCTAGTGGTCTTACTTTTAGCCATGCTAAGATTGATCACAGAATTCAGGTATTGTCAACATGCTTTTTAAAGTACTGTTTCTCACCACAGTATATGGAAAGGTCTCTATACTCAGGAACTCTTAACCAATAAACTTCCATAAACACGAACAAAACTACACAGTCACTACACATGTTATTAAGGCACTAGTCCTAAAATTAAGCAAATCACTTCAGAGCAGCCTTTGAAGATCTGGTGTAGGAGCTTCTCAATCTTGCAAGTAATAAGCATTCAATAAGTATTTGCTGAATGAAAACATGCTGTATTAACTTATAAAGACCATACTTTGCAGGGCCAGGTAGGGTGGCTCAGCCTATAATCTCAGCACTTTGGGAAGCCGAAGCAAGTGGAGTGCTTGAGCCCAGGAGTTTGAGACCAGCCTGGGCAACATGGTGAAACCTTGTCTCTACTAAAAATACAAAAAAATTAGCCAGGCATGGCGGCAGGCACCTGTAATCCCAGCTACCAGGGAGGCTGAGTCAGGAGAATTGCTTGACCCCAGAGGGTGGAGGTTGCAGTGGGCCAAGATTACACCACTGCACTCCAGCCTGGGCAACAGAGTGAGAGTCTGCCTCAAAAAAAACAAAACAACAATAAAAAAATATATATATATACTTTGCTTATATTCAAATACCACCATGCAAAGACAGAGGTGGAAGCCAGCTACTGAACAAGTAACTCAAGTACTATGTCTAACCAAGAGCTGCCAACAAAAGCTGGAGGAAAAATGAAAGTTAGTATGTATGTATGTATGTATGTATGTATTTGTTTAGAGATGGAGTCTCATTCTGTCACCCAGGCTGGAGTGTAGTGGCATGATCTCAGCTCACTGCAACTTCTGCCTCCCAGGTTCAAGCAATTCTCCTGCTTCAGCCTCCTGAGTAGCTGGGATTACAGGCACACACCATCATGCCCGGCTAATTTTTGTATTTTTAGTAGAGATGGGGTTTCACCATGTTGGTCAGGCTAGTCTCAAACTCCTGACCTCATGATCCACCCGCCTCGGCCTCCCAAAGTGCTGGGATTACAGGCATGAGCCACCGTGCCCGGCCCAGAAGTTAGCATTTAAAATTGAGGTGGGTTTATGAAACATCAGCCCTCTGTCACAGAATTAGAAACATAATAAACCTGTACACGTCCCTAGTTTCTTCAACACAGATTTTTGTCAAGAATCTCAGAACTGAAACCAAATCACCCAATTAATACAATACTAATAAAAGAGCATGAAACTAGAAAAATAAAACTCTGGGATCTCACCCTTACCAGACAGCTGGAAATGGTAAGGCATCTGAGACATAATGCCCAGAGCAGCAATCTTTTCAAAGAGACTGACTGCATCTCACCAGCACTCCCATCCTATAGCATCAACTGCCAAGATATAAAATTCTAAATTTCTAAGCCATTAGAGAAAATGCATTAAGGTAGATACAAAAATTTCTTGATGAAGGCCAGGCGCGCTGGCTCATGCCTGCAATCCCAGCACTTTGGGAGGCCAAGGCGGGCAGATCATGGGGTCAGAAGTTCAAGACCAGCCTGACCAACATGGTGAAAACCCGTCTCTGTTAAAAATGCAAACATTAGCTGGGCATGGAGGCACGCCCCTGTAATCCCAGCTACTTGGGAGGCTGGGGCAGGAGAATCGCTTGAACTCGGGAGGCGGAGGTTGCAGTGAGCCGAGATCGCACCACTGCACTCCAGCCTGGGCGACAGGGCAAGACTCCATCTCCAAAAAAAAAAAAAAAAAATTCTTGATGAAATGATTATATCTAAAATGAATTACAAGGCTAAGAGTGGTGGCTCATGTCTATAATCCCAGCACTTTGGGAGGCCAAGGCAGGAGGACTGCTTGAGCCCAGGAGCCCAAGACCAGCCTGGGCTACATAGTGAGACCTCATCTATCAAGAAAAAAAAAAAAAATTAGCCAAGAGTTGTGGCATGCACCTGTGGTCCTAGCTACTAGGGAGGCTAAGGCAGGAGGATCACTTGAGCCCAGGAGGCTGAGGCTGCAGTGTGCTGTTAATTGCACCACTGCTCTCCAGCCTGGGCAAGAGTGAGACTATGTCTCAAAAAGTAAAATAAAAAATAAAATGAATTATGAGACAGGGCATGGCAGCTCACACCTATAATCCTAGCACTTTGGGAGGCCAAGGTGGAAGAACTACTTGAGGTCAGGAGTTCGAGACCAGCACAGGCAACAAAGCAAGACTAATTTAAAAATTGAATTATGAGAATGAATTCATGATTGGGCCCCTACTTTCCTTCCTCTCTAAATGTGTCATTCAACACACAGGATCCTTAGTCCAGTCATGCTGAATCACAGGTACTTGCCAGCATATCTCACATTCTCTCCTGCCTCCTACTTTAAACAGATTATTCCCTCTTCCTAAGATGTCTTCAGCTCCATATTGCCTGACCAAATTTTATTATTCTAGATTCCTGGAAACCTTCCCTGATACTCCTCGGTGTGTCTCAAGCACCCAGGACATACCTGTGACAACACTGGAGCACACTGTATTAAAGCTCACTGTGTACTCATCTCTCCCTAGTCTCATATTATTTCTAGCTCTTTAGCTCCTGGCACATATTAGCCTCTCAATAAATAATCACTTATGGTTAAATGAAGAAATGAGTAACAAATCCCACAGAATTTGTAAGAAGGAGGCCGGGCACAGTGGCTCCCGCCTATAATCCCACTAGCACTTTGGGAGGTGAATCACTTGAGGTCAGGAGTTCGAGACCAGCCTGGCCAACATGGCGAAACCCTGTCTCTACTAAAAATACAAAAATTAGCTGGGCGTGATGGCTGCCTGTAATCCCAGCTACTCAGGAGCCTGAGGCAGGAGAATTGCTTGAAACTGAGAGACGGAAGTTGCAGTAAGCCAAGATGATGCCACTGCACTCCGGCCTGGATGACAGAGCAAGACTCCATTTCCAAAAAAAAAGAATCTGCTAGTAGGACAATTATATTGGATATTAAAAATTTGATTTAAATCATGCTTGACAGGAAAACTTGAACCTTGCAATCTTCAATATAGTCTTTCAGCACTTACTCTAAGAAATATCACAAACAGCCTCCGCAAGTGATACCTTTATATGAAATCAAAATATTTTACCAATACATAGATAAAATGCCATATATATCTACATATCCTACAACTCTTTAAATTAAGAAAACTAGCCAGGTATAGTGGCTCATGCCTATAATCCCAGCACTTTGGGAGGCTGAGGTGGGGGGATCACTTGAGCACATGAGTTCAAGACCATCCTGGACAACATGGCAAAACCCCCTCTCTTCAAAAAAAAAAAAAAAAAATTAGCTGTGCATGGGACTACATGGCACACACCTGTAGTCCCATCTACCTGGAAGGCTAAGATGGGAGAATCACCTGAGCCCAGGAGGTTGAGGCTGCTATGAGCTGTGATCATGCCACTGCACTCCAGCCTGGGCAACAGAGTGAGACGGAAGGAAGAGTGAGACGAAGTGGGGCGAAAGAAAAAAAGTTGAAATTACTTAACTCAGACATTCAAGTCTATTTGCATGTGGTTTTACAAAATCTCAACCTACATTTCAGGTAGCCCATGTATCTTTCCTTAAAAGAATAAAGTAAAAAATATTAACAAACATATAAAATTCTTTTGCATAGATCAGGCTTTGCCTAATGCTGCCATGTCTCAAATACATAAACTCCTGTCATGTGAAGAAGAGCATAAAATGGATCTCACCTATAACTTAAAGATGGCACCCTCACTGTGTTGCAATCCCAGTAATGTTATAGGTGTTTCTGAAAATGATGTATTTTTTTAACTAATGTTTGACTATAAAACTGCTATTTTCAGGATAAGGCATCCTCTCCTAAATTTAAATAGGCTGAAGAACTCCCTTGATGTCAAAGGGATAACCATTATTTATTTCTCAAGCTCCAACAGACTGAAAATTGTTTCTAGTATAAAGAAAATAAAAAACTCATTTCAGAATAATTCACTAAGTTTTTATGTTTTATGTACTTTTCTATATCTGTGCTATATTTCACATTTTAAATGTCTTAAAATTTTTTTAATGGCAAAATACACTGCAAAGGCTAAGTATCTTTCTTGTGCCATCTTTAGGTGCATCATAAAGAAAAATTTTATCCTTTACTTTAACAGTTGCCCATGCTTAAAAATAGAAAAATCCTTCCTCACTTACAAAGAAAAATTTTATCCTTTAACAGTTGCCCATGCTTAAAAATAGAAAAATCCTTCCTCACTTACAAAGAAACATCACACCAATCTCCAAAATCAATTCCCCTATCTACAATTTCAAGGACAAAACCCTCACATTCAAAGTATCAATTGATTCAGAAATATTCTAATGATTCAGCAACATACTGAAGATGCCTGTAAAGCAGAATTATTGTGTTTAAAGACCTAGAAATGTTTTTCCCAACTAGGAGTAAATCATCAGAGGGAATACTGCAAGGTTAAATATATCTACCTTGATATTGTCATTAGCAATTTACTAATAACTGAGTTAGACTGGCTGTCAAACTTTGTAAACACTCTAAGGAGATATATAGTATTAAGCTAAATATTCTCCAGAAGAATGATTTTCAATTTTGTCATATTCAGTATTCCCCTTTTTTTTTTGAGACAAAAAAAAAGTATCCGGGCATGGTGGCACATGCCTGCAATCCTAGCTACTTGGGGGGCTGAGGCAGGAGAATCGATTGAACCTGGGAGGCAGAAGTTGCAGTGAGCCAAGATCGTGCCACTGCACTCCAACCTGGGTGACAGAGACTCTGTATCAAAGAAAAAACGAAACCAAAAACAAAAACAAAAAACAAGCTTTTCAAATACATAGATATCTGTAGAAAATTCAAAAATCATGTTTATATAAGACTTTTTTTGTTATACAAAACTGTCCAGTGTACTTCAGGATGTTTGATTATCCATTACCTAACAGTAGCACTTCCCTCAATCACTGTGCCAACAAGAACAAAATCATAACCCAACAAATTTCAAAACCATCTTTTGGGGGCTTCACACAGTCCACTTTCAGAATCACTGCCCTAAAATAATTCCTACTGTTACAGGATCCTTGGGGTGTTGTTTTTCTGGCCAGAAACATCTGTGGCCAGTGGCGCCTTTGCCTTAGTTTTGACAGGGCCCACTAGGCTCAGTCTGCCCACTTGGCCTAGCAGGCTGCACTCGATTCACACTATGGGACTGGATCCCATGACTGCCAAGGGAGACTGTGTGAAGCAGCAATGGGTGTGTGAGCAAGTGTGGGGTCCAGCCCCTGCACAGTCAGACTTGCCAGCTGCTGCAGCAGGGCAGGCAGCTCCAGGTGCCAGTACGGGCACCAGCTCTCCCTGAGGCTACGGCTGGACCAGGTGTACCACAAGCAGCTTCCACAGCTGGCACTGGGGGACATGGTGGCACCCGGAAGCTTGGAGATGTCAGGAACCCCGGGGCCCCAAAGAGGAAGTCACAGTCCTGGCTCGGGGAGTTCCCAGGTCTGGGCTCCCCAAAGGGCTACAGCTCTTCTCTCCTCTTCGCCTGCAATGCGATGAACAAAGGTCATGTTTCAGCCCTGTTTGTGTTACAGTTCTTTTAGCCTCAATTGGCAGGTCCCAAGAATGAAGTACGCAGCCAAGCGGAGGGTGAGCAAGACAAAGAGGAGCTTTACTGAGTGACAACAGCTAAGAGGAGGACCTGGAGTGGGTAGCTCTTCTCTGAAGGCAGGTCATCCTGTCATCTCTGCAGCTCTTCAGCAGACAGGAGGCCCTGAAATGGGTAGCTCTTCTCTGCAGCTGGCTGTCCTGACATCTGCTGCTCTCAGCAGAGAGGAGGCCCTGGAATGGGTAGCTCCTCTCTGCACCCTGTTGTGCTGATGTCTGCTGCTCTCAACAGAGAGGAGGCCCTGGAGTGGGTAGCTCCTGTCTGCAGCCTGTTGTCCTGATGTCTGCTGCTCTCAACCAAGAGGAGGCCCTGGAATGGGTAGCTCTTCTTTGCAGCTGGTCATCCTGATGTCTGCTCAGCTCAGGCTGAGCCTGGGGCTTTTATGGGCCTCAGGGAGAAGGAAGTGTGTGCCAACTGGTCCACAGGCAGCCATGGGCAGGCCCGGAAAAGGCACAAGTTCCCACTCTAGTCCATGGAACTGGCAGCCTGGTCCCTAGCCTTCAGACCCTCCCTGGCCTGAAGATGGAGGCTCATTGAGGACCCAACCTACTTCCACCCAGAAACCTGTCTGCCTCCTGTTGCTGATCATGGCACCCAAGCTGTAGGTACCGCCTACAGGTCAGCGCCAAGCTGCCCTCAGCCTCCCCTCAGCTTCCCTCCTATGTTCATTGGTGCCCAAAATCTGGAGGGGGCCAAGGTGGCAGGGGGCTGGCGTGTCAGCACTACCCTGAGCATGTGCACACCTGGCTGGGATGTGACAACACTTGGGCTTGGCCCTGACTCTGCTCCAAGGTCAGACTGGGTGCCGACAATAGGGAAAAGCCAGACAGTGGGAGCAGGCATTTCCGAGCCTGAGAGGGCAGAGTGGGCCTTCTTGGGCCCCTAAGGAGTGTGGGGATGCCTGGTTGGGCAGTTGCACTGGCATGGGAGAGAAGGGGCTGGGGGGCCAATGGCAAGGAGTGTGCTCCTGCCTGCTCCATGGAGCAGGAGGCCCGGGTCTGCACCCACAGTTTGGGTAGCTGCAGCTGCTCCTGGGAAGCTCCCACCCACTAACTTGGAAGGGATGTGGCCCCATTTGTTCCCCAGCTCCCGCCAGCTCCACAGAGCATGCAGCCCCGGCCACACCTCCTTGCTGCAGCTGGCATGATGGCAGCAGCTGTTCTAGACGGTCCACCGCTGCCATCACTACTATTTCTCAAAGTAGCAACAGAGTCTCCATAATTTATCCAGATATAATTGTAGCCTATATTTTTCAAAGTAATGAACATAACAGTATACATTTCTATCTGCCAATGAATGATGTTTCCTATATTTGGCTATGTTGTTTTTGGCTAATTCTTGAAGGGTAAAGAAGCTCTAAGTCAAGAAAACTAGACCCTTAACTAATCAGAGGAATGTAAACCCAGTATAACTAGCTCTTAGTTTTCAAGACCTTTAGTAACAAATTTACCGAAGAGATATTCAAACTAAAACCACAAGATGACATGTAACTCTTCAGAGCTTCATGCACAACCCTTTAAGAAAATTATTGAGGGAGAGGGCATACTCACAAAATGTGGTGTTCTGCAATTAAAATATCATGTGTTTTGTCAGACTTAAAACTGTAACATGCCACTTTTAAAAAATGAGGTAACAAACCAATTGGTTACCAATAAATCTTCTGTAGCTATATTTTGAAGGAAATTAAATTATTGCCACTAGGTTGAAAATAAAATATATTCTGCTATTTCCCTTAGTCACTCTTATTTTATAGGACTACACAAACAGTTCAGCCTGAGAGAAGTGACTCAGAGTTTCAACTTGGAGGTATCTTAGGAGTTACAGACCCTACCCATTTTAAAGATAAGAAAACTAAAGCTAAGAGAGTTTAAGTAAATTATCCAGGAATACACACAGACAGAGTCAGACCCAAAAGTCAGATTTTTTCCCCAAAGCAATTAGCATAATTTTCCCCTTTTTCTTTTTTCTTTTTGTATTTAAAGGAAATGTCTTTTCACAGGCCTACCTTGCCTGGCAAGATCCTCAGTCTTGTATCATTCTTCTGTTTGAGCATCAAAGCAAGAGATCAAAGGCTAAGGACAAGCAGAGTTTTTAAACTATGAAAACTTTTCAAGGAAGCTATCAGAGGGCACAGGAACTTCAGCAGTGACAATTAGTTCAATAAACCCTTTAACTGTAACTATAACCCATATCCTGTCGATTGTTCACTGGAGAAAGGGGAAAGAGTTTAAAAGTTCTCAGCTTCCCCACCAATGTGCCAGCAGAACCCACTGGACTTTACTCCTTTACATCTAATGATAAGCAGAAAACAACATAAATTTGTTCTATAGGTGAACAAATTCAACCAAAATCATAGGAGATATTTAAAAAGAGATTTTTTTTGGCCGGGCACAGTGGCTCATGCCTGTAATCCCAGCACTCTGGGGGGCTGAGGTGGACGGATCACGAGGTCAGGAGATCGTGACCATCCTGGCTAACACAGTGAAACCCCATCTCTACTAAAAAATACAAAAAATTAGCCAGGCATGGTGGCAGGTGCCTGTAGTCCCAGCTACTCGGGAGGGTGAGGCAGGAGAATGGTGTGAACCCAGAAGGTGGAGCTTACAGTGAGTCGGAAAAAAAAAAGAATTCTTTTTAAAATATAAAAGAAAAAACATTACTTCTTTTGTTTTTGTTTTTGTTTTGAGACTAAGTCTTGCTCTGTCACCCAGTCTAGAGTGCAGTGGTGCAATCTCGGCTCACTACAACCTCCGGCTCCCAGGTTCAAGCAGTTCTCCTGCCTCAGTCTCCCGAGAAGCTGGTATTACAGGCACCTGCCATCACGCCCGGCTAATTTTTGTATTTTTAGTAGAGACGGGGTTTCACCATGTTGGCCAGGCTAGTCTTGAACTCCTGACATCGTGATCCACCCGCCTTAGCCTCCCAAAGTTCTGGGATTACAGGTGTGAGCCACTGCACCTGGCCACATTACTTCTTTAAATACTACATTTGCTATCACAACTTGAGGTTTCATTCAGAGGCAACTTAAGGTATGGGATCTTGATTCATCTGGGCTTTGGTCCCTACCCCCGACGTTGCTCAAAGACAACAAATCAGCCCCAACTGTTGATGTGTTCATGGTGAAGTATGCATTATAATGGGTACTTAAAAACTGAACAGTATAGAACTTCATTTTGCCTTTTTTTTTTTTTTTTTGAGACGGAGTCTCGCTCTGTCACCCAGGCTGGAGTGCAGTGGCGCGATCTTGGCTCACTGCAAGCTCTGCCTCCCGGGATCATGCCATTCTCCTGCCTCAGCCTCCTGTGTAGCTGGGACCACAGTCGCCCGCCACCGCAACCAGCTATTTTTTGTATTTAGTAGATACGGGATTTCACGTGTTAGCCAGGATGGTGTCAATCTCCTGACCTCGTGATCTGCCCACCTCGGCCTCCCAAAGTGCTGGGATTACAGGCGTAAGCCACCCGCGCCCGGCCCTAGAACTTCATTTTCTAAAGGTGATTATTTATTCCGAATTGCTATAATTATATGTAAGAGCTATTTCTAAAGTAATTCCACAAATTATTAAAGAATTGCTATAACATTATATATCATATCATTTATAATAAAATGACATTTAAACTTATCCTCTCAAATCAAAGATGGCACTCTAAACAGCTTTTACAAAACATCTGCACCAGCCTGGGCAACATAGTGAGACCCCATCTCTACAAAAATTTAAAAATTGGCTGGGTGTGGTGGCACATGCCTGTGGTCCCAGCTACTCGAGAGGCTGAGGGAGGAGGATCTCTTTCTCTTGAGCACAGAAGGTGGAGGCTACAGTGAACCCTGTTTGCAGAACTGCACTCCAGCACGGGCAACAGAGCAAGACTCAGTCTCAAAAAAAAAAAAAAAAAAATTTGCAAATAGGCACTGAGCCTTGAATAACTTGGTAATTCCAGTTCTGGAATGTACCTATTTACAAACCTGAATACAGAAAAAGTTTCATGTATAAAGCAAAATATATAAAAATGAAAAATTTAAAAAAATAACAGACCCACCTGATGGCATCCACTTGGTGCACTCATTTAAAATCATGTTTATCAAGAATATGTGGCAATGTTTAGAAATAACATGAAAAAAATCCAAATATAAACTAATATACACATTAGAATTAGAACTGTGTTTAAAGTTAAAAGAAAAAACTGCAAGTATAACCTAATGCGCGGCAATTAAGGGTGGAAGGAAAGACACTCATACAGTTCAAAAGTAACTATAAAATAAATGTTTCTTTTATTCAACGTGCCTTTAATGATGGCATACAGTTTATACACTCTTTTAAAGTTCTATTGTTCCAGACACTTTGAGTGGGTCCAAAGGAAGGACTTAGGTTAGAACTTAGCAATTTATTCTGTATTTTTAAAAATTATTTTATTTTATTTATTTATTTTTTTGAGACAGGGTCTTACTCTGTTGCCCAGGCTGGAATGCAGTGGCACGATCATGGTTCCCTGCAGCCTTGACCTCCCAGGCTCCAGCAATTCTCCCACCTCAGCCTCCTGAGTAGCTAGGACTGTAAGCACACACCACCACACCCACATCATTCTTTTGATTTTTTTTTTTTTTTTTTACTAGAGACAAGGTTTCGCTACATATTCCCCAGGCTGAGCTTGAACTCCTGAGCTCAAGCAATCCTCCTACCTCGGTCTCTCAAAGTTTTGGGATTACAAGCATTAGCCAAAGCACCCGGCTATTTATTCTCTTTTTTTTTTTTTTTTTTTTGAGATGGAGTCTTGCTCTGTTGCCCAGGCTAGAATGCGGTGGTGTGATCTTGGCTCACTGCAACCTCAGCCTCCCAGGTTCAAGTGATTCTCCTGCCTCAACCTCCCAAGTAGCTGGGACTACAGTTGCCTGCCACCGTGCCTGGCTACTTTTTTTGTATTTTTAGTAGAGATGAGTTTTTGCCATGTTGGTAAGGCTGGTCTCGAACTCCTAACGTCAAGAGATCCACCTGCCTTGGCCTCCCAAAGTGCTGGGATTACAGGCCCAGCTATTTATTCTTAATATGTATGTGTTCATTAGTATTTCTAAACCACAGCCCAGGCACGGTGGCTCACGCCTGTAATCCCAGCACTTTGGGAGGCTGAGGTGGGCGAATCACTTGAGGTCAGGAGTTCAAGACCAGCCTGGCCAACATGGTGAAACCTTCTCTACTAAAAATACAAAAATTAGTTAGGCGTGTTGTCAGGCGCCCACCTACTTGGGAGGCTGAGGCAGGAGAATCACTTTAACCTGGGAGGCAGAGGTTGCAGTGAGTTGAGATCACGCCACTACACTCCAGCCTGGGCGATAGAGTGAGTGAGATACTGTCAAAGAAAAAAAAAAGTATAAAGATAAATTTAGACATATAATCCATAACACTGGTATTTCAGTGGAGAGGGAGGACATTATTGGTATTATTTCATCAAACTAAAAGGGCTGATGAAAAAAATTTAATAAAAGTCATATCACTCTATTATTCCAAAATATACAGCTAGCCTCTTTAAAATATGCCATTTTAAGTTACTTAATACAGTCCTTGAAATGGAAAAAAAATTTAAAAATTAAATGGTCTTCTTCCAAACACATAATTTTTTATTAAGCAATGCTAATAAAACTCTTCAGATTTCTAGTTTTTAGTCTACCTTCCTCTTTTCTAATCTAAATGTTCGACCGTGTTTACCCCTAACATCAACAAGATAAGTTATTCCAAATGGATATATGTATTTCCAGGAGAAATGTATTTCATCCCCACAGTCTTCTCTCCTCACCCTCTCCACCCCTTGCTGAAACCCATTCAAGTGAACAGTATTTGGGACATGGGAACTATCATTAAGTGTTAAGCTATTCCAATCACTGTTTGACAATAACCACGTTTTAAGGTAAAAATGATTATTTCCCTAAATAGATAAAATTAATAGGACAAAGACTACCAAAGACCAATATCTACTACATTAACATAGAGACCTTCTCTAGCCTTTGAAGATATAACTAAGGGAATTCTCCTACATTACAGGAGAGCATTTTCTGTTTTTAAACACTTTTGCTAATAACGCATAAACAAAAATACCCAACATGTAATTGTACAGTTCAATGAATTTTTGGAAAGCAAATACCTATTGCAAAGCAAACCACTATCCAGGTTAAGACAAAGAACACTGCCAGCATCTCAGGAGACTCCTTGTTTGTCTCTTTCAGATAGCAACCCTCTCCCAAACCTCCTACCACCATCTGACTTCTTTTGTAAGAGGTGGGGGTTGTTTTGTTTTTTAATCACTTTAGGTAACAGTATGGGAGCAAAGCAAATATCCAAATAATTGTGGCTCACTGGATACACTTTTGCACCTATCATTCAAGTATATATTTTAGACAAAAGTTTCATTGTCTAGATGACTGCTTCTGTTTCTCACTCCAATGAGTGGCAATGGGTCCAATAGACTAACTGAGGTGGGTGCTTTTGAATGTCAACAAATCTTCCTTCTAGAAATGGTATCCAATCAATTCTGGTTCTTGTTTACAAGTACCATCATGACAATCAGGAATGACTGTTTGTGTAGCAGAGTACCCACATGTAATTGCAATGAGAGTGAGTCATGAGCCAAATTGTACAAGTGTGTGGTGGTGCTGGTGAGTAACTAACCAACAGCTCTCACATCTAGGAACTGAACCAGTGCCAGAAAGCCATCTGGATAGCAAACAGTAACATGAGAAGAATTTTAAATAGCTTACAGCTGTAGAAAATGCACTATTCCAGGCTTTGAATTCTTTTAGTTATTTCTGTCTGCTGTCATTTTGAAAATAAGTCATAATATGTAAAAATTAAAAGAGCATCCAATAAAGGCTGGCATTTATCCCAAGTAATTTCAGGATTACTCCTTTGCATGATGGTTTAAGTTTGGTCTGGCAAGTACTTATCATTTGTTTGTCTGTTTTAAACCTTTTCCTTGGAGACCAATTTTCTTCCTAAGCTATCCACCCATGAATGACAAAATGCTTCTGTGTGTAGCTTTCATTTCTCCCTCACTATGGACTGTAAATTGAGAGGGAAAAGACTAAGAAAAACTGAAGAAGTATCTGTCCTTGATGCCAAGTCTTCTTTCACTGGTTATTCTCTCTAGAGGACACAGAGAGTCCAGAGAGGCAGGCTGATAATGTCATCTCAGTGCTAGGCCTTGATCAAAAAGAGGAAGAGAAGAAAACTGCAGAGGGACAAAGTGGGAAAACAACTGAATTTCAAGGAAATGAATATTTAATAAGTACTTATTCTGTTTAAGATACCATATCACACACTTGATTGGGAGATGAGGTAATTACAAAACAAAACGAAGCAATTTGCAATCCAGCCTGTACCAGAGCAGTTAGGTCTAGTGAGAGACTAGCGGAGGCATGTCTGTTCTCTGAATGATTGCAGTGTTTTTTACCTCGACCTCCCAGAGCCTCAACCAGAAGGGATGAGGATGGAATACTGGAAAAGGGAAATACAGAGTACCCGCCTGAACTTCTTAAGGTGTGGGACTGCAGTGTCTGGGGATCAGGCTATGTCATCTAAAAAGTTGAGGCAGCACCACAATGTTGCTGTCATGAAACCCCCTCACTGCCTCACTGCCCCAGCCTATGACCTGTGCATAATGGGATGAGTACTGGGAGTTACATGGTTTGGAATATAATAATTAATCACATGTTACTATGTCTAAGATCCCAAAAGATCTGAAATCTTTATCTGTTATGCATTAACAGGACAGCTTTTGGATACTGTCCTGTATTTAAGTTATAACATCACCCTATAAGCTAATAAATTATATTTCGTTTCAAAACCCTCAAATATAGCATTCTTTTAAATTAAAAAGCATACATTGGCCAGCCGCGGTGGCTCACACCTGTAATCCCAGCACTTTGGGAGGCTGAGGTGGGTGGATCACCTGAGGTCAGGAGTTGAAGACCAGCCTGGCCAACATGGTGAAACCCAGTCTCTACTAAAAATACAAAAATTAGCCGGGCGTGGTGGCGTGTGCCTGTAATCCCAGCGACTCAGGAGGCTGAGGCAGGAGGATCACCTGAACCCCGGAGGCAAAGGTTGCACTGAGTGGAGATTGCACCATTGCACTCCAGCCTGGGCGATAAGAGCAAAACTCCATCTCAACAAAAAAAAAGAAAGAAAGAAAAATGACATTAGTATCCATTTCATACCATTAGTATAACAGTTAATAATTTAAAATGTTTCCTGACTGAACGTAGCTACTAAAACCAACCCATACCTTTTTCTTCTGGAAACTATGGGAATACTCTCAAGGGATTAAAAATGTTTTGGATAAAACATTAGCAAGGAAAGAAAGCTTTAAGAATCTAAGGCCGGGAGTGGTGGCTTATGCCTGTAATTCGAGTACTGTGAGAGGGCGAGGCAGAGGATCCCTTGAGGCCAGAAGTTCGAAACCAGCCTGGGCAACTTGACAAAACCCTGCCTCTACAAAAAAATACAAAAAATACAAAAATTAGCTGGGCGTGGTAGCACACACCTGTAGTCCCAGCTACTCAGGAAGCTGAGGGACGATCGCCTGAGCCTGGGAGGCAGACATTGCCGTGAGCTGTGATTGTGGTACTGCATTCCAGCCTGGGCGACAGAGTGAGACCCTGTCTCAAAAAACAAACAAACAAACAAACAAACAAACAAAACCCCAGCATGGGCAACATGGTAAAACCCTGTCTTTACCAAAAACACACCAGGCATGATGGCATGCACTTGTGGTCCCAGCTACTTGGGAGGCTGAGGTAGGAGGATCACTTGAGCCTGGGAAGCGGACATTGCAGTGAGCTGAGATCATGCTACTGCACTCCATTGTTGGTGACAGAGTGAGACTCTACCTCAAAAAAAAAAAAAAAAAAAAAGAATCTAAATAATCTAACAAAGTATTGAAAAGTAGCTTAAAAAAATTGTGATTACACGATCAACAGCACTGCTGTCACAACCTGGGATGATTTTAAAACATGGCCACAAAATTATTTTACATCACTCCTGCACCTACTGGTGCTGCCTGCCAAGGCTGTGGGCAAAGTCATCTCCAAGCTGAGCAGGAAGGTCACTGGCATAGCCTTCTATGCCCCCACCACCAATGTGTCCCTCATGGACCTGACCTGCCATCTGGAGAGACCTGCCAAATGTGATGAGAGGTCAGGTGCACGATCCCTCTCCTTGAATATGGCTTCAGTGATGGCTTGACCTCTAATAGAATACAGCAGGGGTAATGCTCTACTAATTCCCAGGTTTAAGAAGCTGCAGCTTCCATTTCCTCACTTAAGACACCTGCTTGTGAGATGCTCACTCTTAGAAGGTAGCCACCAAGCAGTGAACAGCTCAGGACAGACACATGGGAGAGGCCAAGGATAAGTGTTGACAAACTCCAGCTGACTGCTAGTACCAATAGCCAAACTTCTGAGTGAAGAAGCCTTCAATGACTCCATCCCTCAGACGTCATGTTTTTCCACCTGATGCCCAGACAACATGGGCCAAAGACAACCTGACTCTGGTGTGCCCCATCCAATTCCTGACTGCAGAACCAGAGCATAATAAAATGAATGTTTTACACCACTAAGTTTTGGGATGGTTTGTTACAGCAATATATCATTGCAGCATGACCTATTAGAATGAAATCACGCAATTACTACAGTCAATAATTCATTTTTTTCTTAAAAAAAAAATTTACACTTTCTGTTCCTCCCATTCAACAGCCACATCTTCTCATGTAACACCCATCACATCCCTGAGACATCACAATGAAAGTGAAAGCCAGGTAAACTGATTTGGCCTTATTAGACACCTGGTCACCAAGGCTGCTTTTAACTCTGGCGAAGTGGATATTGTCTCATCAAGGACCCCCTCATTGCCCTCAACTACACGGTCTATATGTTCCATGATGATTCTACCCATGGCAAATTCCGTGGCACAGTCAAGGCTGAGAATGGCAAGCTTGTCATCAATGAAAATACCATAACCATTTTCTAGGAGCAAATTCCCACCAAAATCAAATTGGGTGATGCCACCACAATTACATTGTGGAGACCACTGGCATCTTCACTACCTTGTAGAAGGCTGGGGCTCATTTAAAAGGAGAAACCGAAAGGGTCATCATCTCTGCCCCCTCTGCTGATGCCCCCATGTTTGTAATGGGCATGAACCATGAAAAGTAAAAAAACACCTCGCAATTCCCAGCAAACCTTCTATACCACTAACTGCTTAGCACCACTGGCCAAGATCACCCATGACAACTTTGGCATCATGGGAGGAATCATGACCTCATCCATGCTACTATCACTGACATCCAGAAGACCACTGATGGCCCATCTGGGAAACTGTGGTGCAATGGCTTTCCAGAACATCACTCCTGTACCTACTGGTGCTGCCAAAGCTGTGGGCAAAGTCATCTCCAAGCTGAGCAGGGAGCTCACTGGCATAGCCTTCTATGTCCCCACAGCCAATGTGTCCATCATGGACCTGACCTGCCATCTGGAGAGACCTGCCAAATACAATGACATCATGAAGGAGGTGAAGCAGGCGTGGGAGGACCCCTCAAAGGCATCCTGGGCTACTCTGAGTACCAGGTTGTCTCTGCCAACTAACAGTGATAACAACTTTTCCACCTTCAATGTTGGAGCTGGTATTGTTCTCAATGACTACTTTGTCAAGCTCATTTCCTGGTATGACAATGAATTTGGCTACAGCAACAGGGTGGTAGACCTTATGGTGCACATGGCCTCCTGGACCACCAGCCCCAGTGAGACCATGTAAGTAAGAGAGAGGCCCTCAGCTGCTGTGCAGTCCTGCCCCACTCAGTCCCCCGCCATCACACTGAGAATCTCCCTTCCCAGACACGGTTTCCATGCCAGACCCCCTGAAAAATGGGATAGGCCTAGAAAGCTCCACTTTGTAGTGCACCATCAATAAAGTCCTCTGTATTCAGCACCCCTCTACTGCCAAAAAAAAAAATAGCAACACACACATTTTCCAAATATATATCTTACTCTATGTCATTTCTTTTTTTTTTTTTTTTTGAGACGGAGTCTCGCTCTGTCGCCCAGGCTGAAGTACAGTGGCATGATCTCGGCATACTGCAAGCTCTGCCTCCTGGGTGCACGCCATTCTCCTGCCTCAGCTTCCCGAGTAGCTGAGACTACAGGTACCCACCACCATGCCCGGCTAATTTTTTTGTATTTTTAGTAGAGACAGGGTTTCACCGTGTTAGCCAGGATGGTCTTGATCTCCTGACCTCATGATCTGCCCACCTCAGCCTCCCAAAATGCTGGGATTACAGGCGTGAGCCACCACGCCCGGCCTTCTTTTTTTTTTTTTTTTTTTTGAGACAGGCTGTCACTCTGTCACCCAGGATGGAGTACAGTGGCACGATCTTGGCTCACTGCAACATCTACCTCCTGGGCTCAAGCAATCCTCCCACATCAAGCCTCCCGAGTAGTTGGGACCACAGGTGCATGCCACCATGCCTGGCTAATTTTTTGTATTTTTGGTAGACGTGGGGTTTTGCCATGTTGCCCAGGCTGGTCTCGAACTCCTGAACTCAAGTGATCCATCTGCCTTAGCCTCCCAAAGGGCTGGGATTACAAGCATGAAATCGCTGCACCTGGCCAAATTTTTTTTTTTTTTAATAGAGACAGTGTCTTGCTTTGTTGCCCAGGCTGTCTTGAAACCCTAGCTCAAGCAATCCTCCTGCTTCGGCCTCCCAAAGTGCTAGGATTACAGGTGTGAGCCACCATGCCTGGCCCAAGGGCATTTCTTATGAGAAATATTTTCTTCTAATATACAGATAACTTTAGTATATCAGCAAACAAGTTAATCTCTAAAATTAGAATTATGCAGGTCCAAGTTCTACTGAAATTTAAATGGCACTGAGAACTTTTTTTTTTCTTTTGAGACAGAGTCTCGCTCTGTTGCCCAGGCTGGAGTGCAGTGGCGAGACCTCAGCTCACTGCAACTTCTACCTCCCAGGTTCAAACAATTCTCCTGCCTCAGCCTTCCAAGTAGCTGAGATTACAGGCACACATCACCACACCCGGCTAATTTTTGGTATTTTTAGTAGAGACAGAGTTTTGCTAATGTTGGCCAGACTGGTCTCGAACTCCCGACCTCAAGTGATCCACCCACCTTGGCTTCCAAAGTGTTAGGATTACATGTGTGAGCCCACCAGAAAACTAACTTTTGTTTTTTTGTTTTTTTTGTTTTTTTGAGACGGCGTCTTGCTCTGTTGCCAGGCTGGAGTGCAGTGGTGCAATCTCGGCTCACTGCAACCTCCGCCTCCAGGGTTCAAGTGATTCTCCTGCCTCAGCCTCCCAAGTAGCTGGGATTACAGGTGTGTACCACCATGCCCAGCTAATTTTTGTATTTTTAGTACAGATGGGGTTTCACCATTTTGGCCACAATGGTTTCGATCTCTTGACCTCGTGATCTGCCCACCTTGGCCTCCCAAAGTGCTAGGATTACAGGTGTGAGCCACTGTGCCCAGCCCTTAAACTATAATTAACTTACTTTAGTTGTGAATGTTACTATCATTTCCAAAAAGAAAGCAGTGTGGGCTAAATGTTTTTAAAATTATGTCTTTTTTCTTTTTTTCTCTGAGACTTTTTTCTGAGTGTCTCTCACTGTCATGCAGGCTGGAATACAGTGGCGCCATCTTAGCTCACTATAGCCTCTACCTCCTGGGATCAAGCCATCCTCCTGTCTCAGCCTCCTAAGTAGCTGAGACTACAAGCATACACCACTTCACCTGACTAATTTTGTGGGGTTTTTTTGTTTTGTTTTTTTGTAGAGACAGGGTATCGCTATGTTGCCCAGCCTGATCTAAAATTCCTGGCCTCAAGCAATCCTCCCGCCTCAGCTTCCCAAAGTGCTGATGTTACAAGCATGACCCACAATGCTCCAGCTAAAAATTAAGTCTTTACATAAAAATGAAACTTCTGGGCTCGTGCCTGTAATCCCAGCACTCTGGGAGGCCAAGGCAGGAGAATCGCTTCAGCCCAGGAGCTCAAGGCCAACCTAAGCAACACAGTGTGACCTCATCTCTACAAAAAAATAAACAAAATTAGCCAGGCATGGTGGTGCTCACCTGCAGCCCCAGCTACTCAGGATGTTGAGGTGAGAGAATTGCTCGAGCCCAGTAGGTTGAGGCCATAGTAAGCCAAGATCTTGGCACTGCACTCTAGCCTGGGTGACAGACTGAGATCTTATCTCAAAAAAAAAAAAAACAACAAAAAACGAAAATGAAACTTCTGGCTAGGCATGGTGGCTCATAGCTGTAATCTTAGCACTTTAGGAGATGGAGGTAGGAGGGCGGCTTGAGCCCAGGAGTTTGAAGCCAGCCTGGACAACATAGTGAGACCCCCATCTCTACAGAAATTTTTTTTTTTTTTGAGATGGAGTCCCACTCTGTCACCCAGGCTGGAGTGCAGTGGTGCAATCTTGGCTCACTGCAAACTCCGACTCCCGGGTTCAGGTGATTCTCTTGCCTCAGACTCCCGAGCAGCTGGGATTACAGGTGCCCACCACCACGCCTGGCTAATTTTTTTGTATTTTTTAGTAGAGACTGGGTTTGTCATGTTGGCCAGGCTGCTCTCGAACTCCTGACCTCAGGTGATCTGCCCGCCTCGGCCTCGCAAAGTGCTGGGATTACAGGCGTGTGCCACCGTGCCCGGCCCAAAAAATTTTTTTAATTAGCCAGGTGAGGGGGTGCACACTTAGGGTCCCAGCTACTTGGGAGGCTGAAGTAAAAGAGGATCACTTGACGCCAGGCAGTCGAGGCTACAGAAGGCCACGTTAATGCCACTGTACTCTAGCCTGGGTGAAAGAGCGAGACACTGTCTCAAAAAAATTAAAGTTTTAAAAAACAATTCCTATTACCCAACTTTGGTTACAAAACTATCAAGACAATTTCCTTGCACTAAATTGCTAACACAGACCAAATTTATGAATCAATTGACTCAAGCTCTAGCCAACTTTGTTAGATGTTTTAAAATATATTTAAAATTCTTATTTTCCAGAGAAAATGTAGACTATTTAAACAAGTTATATTTCAAAAGCAACTAGTATCATACCAATACATTTGCCTACAACTAAAACTTCAGAATTATTTCATCTCACATTATAAGCTTCCATTTGCTATAAGGCCATGATGCAGTTTGTACTCGGGCCTGGATAAAGCCACAGAGCTGTGAAGACCTTGGGTGTGATAAGAAGGAGAAGACAATGATTAATACTACCTTTAGCATCTCATAATCCTTCAAAATTGAATTGGAACAAGGCGAATGAAGAAACGATGGAAACACTTTGCTTGTGCCTTTTAAATTTAATCACTAAGGAAGAAGGGTGTGTGTGTGATAAATCTCCTGAGTATAGATCCCTTTTCTTATACCTTAGAAATTGAGACCTACAGAAATATGACAACTATACCAAGGTCACTATGGCAGAGACTAATTTTTTTCTTCCACAGTTACAGGATTGTGGCTGGGCACTTAGCGGATACACATTCCAACTTCCTGTGCAATTAGAAGTGGCCATGTACTAAGTTCTTTCCAGTGGAATGTTCAGTGGAAATGACCTGTGTCACTTCAGGTCAGGGCTTAATTTAAGAAAGTTGGTGTGACACTTACACCTTCTCTTTCCTCTTCCACTGGTCATAGTGGAATAGAGGATGACAGAGTCACAAGATGGAAGAAACCATTTGAAAGAGAACCACCTACCAAAGAGGGCCATCCAACTTAACTGTTCCACGAGTGAGAAATAAATGTCTATTAAGTTTGGACCATTATTCATTTTTGGTCTGTTGACAGCAATTTAGCCTTCACTAATTTAGTCAAACACATAATCTAAGTAGCTGCAAGGCCATGATTAAAACCCACATATCCTCCCTCAGTCAGTCCAATATCACTGTTTTCCTTATCACCCTTCATCCAAACAGAAAACAGAATTATGAAGAGCAGTGGGGGATATCATTAATGAGGCTACCATTATGACACCAGCAAATCATTCACTCCTGCTGAAGCTCAACAACTTTTATCCTTGTTCATTACTCTGCACAATGCATTTTAAAATCCCCTGGCAGAAATGAACATATCGACAGCTCTCCTCTTCCTCTGTAATCTTCTGATGAGAATTATTTTATTTTCATAAACAAATGTAGAGGTTAAAACATGTTAATTTGAGGCAGATAAAGAGGGTGATTTTTTTTTTTTTAATTTTTTTTGGGACAGAGTCCCACTCTGCCACCCAGGCTGGAATGCAGTAGTGTAATCATAGTTCACTGCATCGTCAACCTCTGGAGCTCAAATGATCCTCCTATCTCAGCCTCTCAAGTAGCTGGGATTACAGGTGCATGGCACCCAGCTAATTTTTTCATTTTTTGTAGAGACAAGATCTCACTATGTTGCGCAGGCTGGTCTCAAACTCCTGAGTTCAAGTGATCCCCATCCCCCGGCCTTGGTCTCCCAAAGTGCTGGGAATAGAGGCATGAGCCACCATGGCCCATGAGGGTGATATTTTAACAGAGACAATGTAAGACAGGAAATTAGCTAGGCAGGCAAGGAAAGAAAGACTATATGCAAAGACCTGAGAAACCTTAAGCATTTATGGAATTCAACAAGCAGAGTACAGGGGCAGAATGGTACTGGGGAGGCTGGTAGGTCAAATTAAGGTGCTGTTCTTCATGCAAAAGAACAAGAGATTCAATGAAGAATGTCAAACAGATAAATAAAAAATGATAAAATAAACAACTTTTGAAAGTTACAGTGTGAAAAAGAACATATAAAGAACATGAATCCAACAAAAAAAATTGGGATAATAATTAGTTTCCCAAAAGCCCAAATAACCCATAAACATATGGGGGAAAATGTTCAACCTCATTGGTCACCAAGAAAATGTAAATTAAAACCACACTGAGATGCCATTTCATAGATCGTTGCTTATGGGAGAATAAACTGATTTAACCTCTTCCAAAGGGAGTTTAGCATCAAAAATTGCATTACTAGGTATAATATTCTACGAAAATGCTTATCCGGGCCAGGCACAGTGGCTCACGCCTGTAATCCCAACACTTTGGAAGACAAGTGGATCACCTGAGGTCAGGAGTTTGAGACCAGCCTGACCAACATGGTGAAACCCCATCTCTACTAAAACTGCAAAAATTAGCTGGGTGCAGTGGCATGCACCTGTAATTCCAGCTACTTGGGAAGCTGAGTGGAATCACTTGAACCCGGGAAGCAGAGGTTGCAATGAGCTAAGATCACGCCACTGCACTCCAGCCTGGGCAACAGAGAGAGACTCTGTATCAAAAAACAAAAAAAGGCTCTCCCTCTCCCTCCCCCTCCCCCTCTCCCTCTCGTCTCCGTCTCCGTCTCCCACTTTGCACGGTCTCCCTCTGATGCCGAGCGGAGGCTGGACTGTACTACCACCATCTCGGCTCACTGCAACCTCCCTGCCTGATTCTCCTGCCTCAGCCTGAGGAGTGCCTGGGATTGCAGGCGCGCGCCGCCACGCCTGACTGGTTTTTGTATTTTTTGGTGGAGACGGGGTTTCGCCCTGTTGGCTGGGCTGGTCTCCAGCTCCTGACCGCGAGTGATCTGCCCGCATGGGCCTCCCGAGGTGCTGGGATTGCAGACGGAGTCTCGCTCACTCAGTGCTCAATCTTGCCCAGGCTGGAATGCAGTGGCGTGATCTCAGCTCGCTATAACCTCCACCTCCCAGCCGCCTGCCTTGGCCTCCCAAAGTGCTGAGATTGCAGCCTCTGCCCGGCCGCCACCCCGTCTGGGAAGTGAGGAGCGTCTCCCTGGCCACCCATGGTCTGGGATGTGAGGAGCCCCTCTGCCCGGCCGCCACCCCGTCTGGGAGGTGAGGAGCGTCTCTGCCCGGCCACCCCGTCTGAGAAGTGAGGAGCCCCTCCACCCGGCAGCCGCCCCGTCTGGGAAGTGAGGAGCCCCTCCGCCCCGCAGCCGCCCCGTCTGGGAAGTGAAGAGCATCTCTGCCCAGCAGCCGCCCTGTCCGGGAGGTGGGGGGCAGCCCCCGCTCGGCCAGCCGCCCCGTCCGGGAGGGAGATGGGGGGCAGCCCCCGCCCGGTCAGCCGCCCCGTCCGGGAGGGAGGTGGGGGGCAGCCCCCGCCCGGCCAGCCGCCCTGTCCCGGAGGGAGGCGGGGGGAAGCTCCCGCCCGGCAGCCGCCCCCTCCAGGAGGTGGGGGGGCGCCTCTGCCAGGCCGCCGCCCTGTCTGGGAGGTGTACCCAACAGCTCATTGAGAACGGGCCATGATGACGATGGCAGTTTTGTCGAATAGAAAAGGGGGAAATGTGGGGAAAAGAAAGAGATCAGATTGTTACTGTGTCTCTGTAGAAAGAAGTAGACATAGGAGACTCCATTTTGTTCTGTACTAAGAAAAATTCTTCTGCCTTGGGATGCTGTTAATCTATAACCTTACCCCCAACCCCATGCTCTCTGAAACATGTGCTGTGTCCACTCAGGGTTAAATGGATTAAGGACGGTGTAAGATGTGCTTTGTTAAACAGATGCTTGAAGGCAGCATGCTCCTTAAGAGTCATCACCACTCCCTAATCTCAAGTACCCAGGGACGCAAACGCTGCGGAAGGAAGCAGGCAGGGCCCTCTGCCTAGGAAAACCAGAGACCCTTGTTCACATGTTTATCTGCTGACCTTCCCTCCACTATTGTCCTATGACCCTGCCAAATCCCCCGCTCCGAGAAACACCCAAGAATGATCAATAAATACTTAAAAAAAAAAAAAAAAGAAAATGCTTATCTGAGGATATGACATTCACATGAATGTTTAAGGTGAAAGTTTTCATAGTAACAAAAAACTAGGCATAATCCTAATGTACATTAATAGATCAATAAATAATAGTTTACAATAGGAAAAATGAATAAAATACAGCTACACACATCACCATTAATGAACCTTACCAACAATGTTAAAAGAAACAAAAGAATATATATAGCATGACCACATTTACTGGAGTATATGAAGCAAGACTCCATCTCAAATAAAATAAAATAAAAGTAAAATAAAATCAGGCTGGAGCTTCCTCATTTTCCCCAGTTCTCTTCACAGTGTTAAAGAAAACAGTCTCTCCTGGGTGCTCAGAAGCAGCAGAAAGAGAGCTCCAAAGGTTGCTTTAAAAATGTCTCCTCACAAAAATTACAGATTTGTAGTCATGAGCTATATATAATAATCTCCATTCACTAATAATCCTTAAAACTTTGAATAAAAAGTTTAGGTCCTTTTTGAAAATAATGTGATTTTCTATTTAATTTTTTTTTTAAGATGGAGTCTTGTTCTTGTCACCCAGGCTGGAGTATAATGACGCGATCTTGGCTCGCTGCAATCTCTGCCTCCCAGGTTCAAGCCTCAGCCTCCTGAGTAGCTGGGATTACAGGCACGCACTACCATGCCCAGCTAATTTTTTGGATTTTTAGTAGAGATGGGGTTTCACCATGTTGGCCAGGCTGGTCTCGAACTCCTCACCTCAGGTCATCCACCCACCTCGGCCTCCCAAAGTGCTGGGATTACAGGCATGAGCCACCGTGCCCAGCCTGTATTTAAATTTTAAATACTATAAGTTTTATAAAATTATACTTAAAATGTACTATACTATGCATAAAACTGGTAATCCTCCACATAAAACTATTTAATAACATGTGACTATTTAACATGGTTTAAAAAACAGTATTGAGACCAACAAGGCAGCCATTTATATTACCCTTTATGTACTACTTCCTCTATCATGTGGCAGTCAAAAGGCTAAGTGAAATGCTTGCAGCAAAGAAAACAGTTTTGAAAGGTCATGCTATGCAGACAGCCAGAATTTCTTTCACAATATCCTTACTGTCTATGGCAAACTGCATGACAATCTGACCACAGTTATTTTCTGTGTAAAAGTAAAAAGCACACCACATTATCAAAGGACCAGAAACAGTAAGCACTCAACAATATCATCTTTATGAACATTTTTTCTAACTGCGTAAACATCCATACATATTAATGAAAAAGAACCCCGAGGCAAAGACAATGAATTGGAGAAAGAGGAACTTGGAAAAACTGGAAGGCAAGTTTAAACTATACCACTCTGTTTACTCATAGTGTTCACATAACATAAGAAGCTCCTATAGCTGGGCGTGGTGGCAGGTGCCTGTAATTCCAGCTACTCAGGAGGCTGAGGCAGGAGAATTGCTTGAACCTAGGAGGCAGATGCTCCAGTGAGCCGAGATCGCACCACCGCACTCCAGCCTGGGCGACAGAGCAAGACTCCGCTCAAAAAAAAAAAAAAAAAGAAGCTCCTAAAGGAAAACTTTTCAAATTAAGACACATCATTTACAAAGAAAAAAGCCTAATTATAACAATATTGAAGACATTAAGATCATCTTTCAAAATTTCCATTATCTTAATGACAATTGCAAACAAGGTGCAAAGCTTCAAAAACCTCTCTGTGGCAGCTGTAATCCCATCACATTTTTTCCCTTTCATAGCTTTTACTGGTTTATCATTCATCTGAATAGGGAATATATTTTTCCAACAGTTAAGGTAGTACACAATCAATCAGTAAACACAAAAGTGAAAATTTCTCCAGCTCCTTGTAAAATTTCCAAACAGGAGGTTAACAAATGTATTCTTTTTTTTTTTTTTAAAGAAAGAAAAAAAAATCTAGTTTGTTTAATTGCTGTCCTATCCTAAAAGATCATATTCATGACTACACACAGCCAAGTAACATGGACACGGTCCCTGAAGCTTATGGCAAAGCATACTTAAGATTTTTTAAGGCCCCAGAATTTTAATTCCTGTGAAAATCTCTCACTAAAATTTAACTAGAAGACTTTTTTTTTTTTTTTTTTGAGACATGATCTTGCTCTGTCACCCAGGCTGGAGTATAGTGGTATGACCTCGGTTCAGTACAACTTCCGCCTCCCAGGTTCAAACGATTCTCCTGCCTCAGCCTCCCAAGTAGCTGGCTCTACAGGCATGCACCACCACACCTGGCTAGTTTTTGTATTTTTGGTGGAGATGGGGTTTTGCCATGTTGGCCAGGCCGGTCTCTAACTCCTGACCTCAGGTGGTCTGCCCGCCTTGGCCTCCCAAAGTACTGGGATTGCAGGCATGAGCCACCACGCCTGGATGAAGACACCTTTCTTTACCAGTTCTGACCTTGTAGCAGAGCATAAGGATTTGTGCTACTTCTAAAACTACCAGAAAACAGTGTATGATAAACATTCTTTTAAGGAAATAAACTTAAAACATTCCATTATTCAAAAACCACAACTATACTACTGGCTGGGCACAGTGGCTCACGCCTGTAATCCCAGCACTTTGGAAGACCGAGGCGGGCAGATCACCTGAGGTCAGGAGTTGAAGACCAGCCTGACCAACATGGCAAAACCCTGTCTCTACTAAAAATACAAAAATTAGCCAGGCCTGGTGGCATGCGCCTGTAATCCCAGCTACTTGGGAAGCTGAGGCAGGAGAATCGCTTAAACCTGGGAGACTGAGGTTGCAGTGAGCCGAGATCATGCCACTGCACTCAAGCCTGGGTGACAGAGCAAGACTTTGTCTCAAAAAAAAAAAAAAAAAAAAAAAAGGCCAGGGGCGGTGGCTCACCCCTGTAATCCCAGCACTTTGGGAGGCCAAGGCGGGCGGATCACCTGAGGTCAGGAGTTTGAGACCAGCCTGGCCAACATGGTGAAACCCCGTATCTACTTAAAATACAAAAAATTAGCTGGGCATAGTGGTACGCACCTGTAATCCCAGCTACTAGGGAGGCTGAGGCAGGAGAATCGCTTGAACCCGGGAGGCGGAGGTTGCAGTGAGCCCAGATCGTGCCATTGCACTCCAGACTGGGGGAAAAGAGAGAGACTTCGTCTCAAAAAAAAAAAAAAAAAAAAAAAAAAAACAAAAAACAACACCACAGAGTTTTTTTTTTATAAAACCAAACCCAGGCAAGGCTGTGGAGAAACTGGAAATCTTGTGTATTGCTGGTGCAAATATAAAATGGTATAGCCAGTATGGAAGACAGCAGGATTGTTCCTCAAAAAATTAAAGCATATGGCAGGGCGTGATGGCTCACGCCTGTAATCCCAGCATGATATTGTTGAGTGCCTACTGTTTCTGGTCCTTTGGAGGCCAAGGCAGGCAGACAGCTTGAGCCAGGTGTTCAAGACTAGCCTGGGCAACGTGGCGAAACACTGTCTCTAATAAAAATACAAAAAATTAGCCAGGTGTGGTGGTGGGCACCTGTAGTCCCAGCTACTCAGGAGGCTGAGGTGGGAGGATCACTTGAGCACAGGAGGTGGAGGTTGCAGTGAGCCATGACTACACCACTGTACTCTAGCCTGGTTGACAGAGTGAGACCCTATCTCAAAAAAAATAAAAAGAAAAATTAAAGCATATGATCCACTATGATCTAATAATCCCACTTCTGGTGATGTATGCAAAAGAAATGAAAGCAGGGATTTACTCAGATTTGTACACCAGTGCTCACAGCAGCACTGGTCACAACAGCCAGAAGGTAGAAACAGCACCAGTGTCACCATCAACAGATACATAGACAAAAAAAATGTGGAAATGTGGTGTGTACATACAATGGAATATTATTCAGCCTTTTTTTTTTTTGGAGACGGAGTCTCTCTCTGTCGCCAGGCTGGAGTTTAGTGGTGTGATCTCGGCACAAGCTCCACCTCCTGGACTCAGGGGTGATTATCCTGACTCAGCCTCCCGAGTAGGTGGGACTGCAGATGCGGGCCACCACACCCAGCTAATTTTCATATTTTTAGTAGAGACGGGGTTTCACCATGTTGGCCAGGCTGGTCTCGAACTCCTGACCTCGTGATCTGCCCGTCCTGGCCTCCCAAAGTGCTAGGATTACAGGCGTGAGCCACCAGGCCCAGCCTATTCAGCCTTTAAAAGGAATGAAATTCTACTATATGCTACAAAATGAATGAACCTTAAAAATATAATGCCAAGTGTAATAAGTCAGAAACAAAAAGACAAATATTGTATGATTCCAATTATACAAGGCATCTGAAGCAGAGTAGTCAAATTCATAGAGACAGAAAATAGAACAGTGGTTTCTCAGGGACTAAAGAAGAGGGGGCAATGAGAAGTTATTATTTAATAGGTATGGAGTTTCGGTTAGGGATGATGAAAAAGTTCTGGAGATGGACAGTGATGATGTACTTTTGTGAATGTACTTAATGCCACTGAATTATACACTTAAAAGTGGTTAAATTTCCCCCAGATGCAGTGGCTCACACCTATAATCCTAGCATTTTGTGAGGCCAAGGTGGGCAGATCACTTCAGCTCAGGAGTTCGAGGCCAGCCTGAGAAACAGGGCAAAACCCTGTCCTCATTAAAAAAAAAAAAAAGCAAAATGATAAATTTTATATTGTGTGTATTTCACCAATTTTTTTTTTTAAACCCTGAGACCGGGCACGGTGGCTCATGCCTGGAAGCCCAGCATTTTGGGAGGCCGAAGCGGGCAGATCATGAGGTCAGGAGATTGAGACCATCCTGGCTAACACAGTGAAACCCCATCTCTACTAAAAATACAAAAAAAAAAAAAAAATTAACTGGGCGTGGTGGCGGGTGCCTGTAGTCCCAGCTACTCGGGAGGCTGAGGCAGGAGAATGGCGTGAGCCCAGGAGGCAGAGCTTGCAGTGAGCCAAGATCGTGCCACTGTACTCCAGCCTAGGTGACGGAGTGAGACTCCTTCTCAAAAAAAAAAAAAAAAGAAAAAACCCTGAGTCCCAGCTACTCAGGAGGCTGAGGCAGGAGAATCACTTGAACCTGGGAGGTGGAGGTTGCAGCAAGCCGAGATCACACCACTGCACTCCAGCCTGGGCAACAGAGTGAGATTCCACCTCAAAAACAAAACAAAACAAAAAACCTGAAGCCAAATAAACTTGTCCATTATGAACTTACAGGCCCTCTGTGCCTCCAACTCACCTTTTTCAACGCTTCCTACCTCCCTGTGGTGTTCAAAAATCTGTTTTATTGTACACCCTCTTCTCTCATCTTCACTTTCAGATACTTCAAACATCTGACCTCATGGTTGTTTTTTTTTTGAGATGTCTTGCTGTGTCACCCAGGCTGGAGTGCAGTGGTGCAATCTCGGCTCACTGCAACCTCCACCTCTCAGGCTCAAGCAATCCTCTAGCCTCAGTCTCTCGAGTAGCTGGGACTACAGGCATGCGCCACCACGCCCGACTGATTTTTACATTTTTTGTAGTGATGGGGTTTTACCATGTTGCCCAGACTGGTCTCTAACTCAAGGGATCTGCCCGTCTCAGCCTCCCCAACTGTTGGGATTACAGGCGTGAGCCACTGCACCTGGCGGCCTCACAATTCTTCAGCCTGAAGTTACACCTCTCAGCCACAGCTTGACCTTTCACTTCCCACCACAACCTCACTCCTGGATCTGCAGCTCCACCATCATACAGAGAAAAAGGCCTGACTCTGGTCTACAACTTGACTCAAGCCTCTACCACATTCACAATGATGATGTCAGCTCCTACTACCTCCACCCTCACTTACTTCAATGCAGCCACTCCGGCCCTCTTGCAGCTCATAGAACACATCAAGCACATCCAGCTTCAAACACTTTGTATTTAAGTTCCTTCAGTCTAAAATGCCCTCCCCACCCTATCCAAAATACCCAGAGGGCCTGCTCCCTCACTTCATTTGGAGCTGCCAACTCAAATGTCACCTAATCAGAGAGGTCTTCCCTAACTTTACCTTAGTAAACATATCCCTCCTTCATCAATGTCTACTTTTCCCTAATATATTTCCATACCTTAATGACAATGGCAAACAAGGTATAAATCTTCAAAATAACACTTATCACCACCCAACATATTATATAGTAGGCCCTCCATATCTGTGTGTTCTATATCGGTGGGTTCCACATCCATGAATACAACCAACTATGAATCGAAAATATTGGATGCGGGGCCAGGCCTGGTGGTGCATGCCTGTAATTCCAGCTACTCTGAAGGCTGAGGCAGGAGAATCGCTTGAACCAGGGAAGTGGAAGTTGCAGTGAGCTGAGATCGCGCCATTGCACTCCAGCCTGGGCAACAAAGTGACACTCCATTTCAAAAAATTAAAGAAAAAAAAGAAATATTGGATCGGGTAATGGTTCTGTTGTGCCTGTACTAAACATGTACAGACTTTTTTCTATTGTCATTATTCCCTAAATAATACAATAACACCTATTCACAAGGCATTTACATTGTATTAGGTATTATAATTTTTTTCATTTTCCAGGTTACCATTGAGATAATTTTTGTTTTTTGAGACACAGTCTCGCTCTGTTGCCCGGCTGAAGTGCAGTGGTAGGATCTGGGCTCACTGCAGCCTCGACCTCCTGGGCTCAAGCAATCCTTCCACTTCAGCCTCCCAAGTAGGCGGAACTGCAGGCATTCGCCACCATGCCTGGCTAATTACAAGTGTGGGCCACTGTACTCAGCTTGCATACAGTTTAAATATTAAAAAGAGTAATTAAGTTTTTACTCAGAAGAGGTAAGAAGTTTGATTGAGATCAAAGACATAGGTAAAGGGTTTAGCTCTTAGAAGAGTAGCAATCTTTCTGCTTAGAAACTAGAGGACTGGAAGAGAGGATATATCAAGGAATTTTTAGGCAAAGAGGAAGAAGCTGTAGGATTTCTTTTCTCCTTCTCTTTCTCTCCCCCTCCCCTCCAACAGGGTCATACTCTGTTGCCCAGACTGGAGTGCAGTGGTCCAATTACAGCTCACTGCAACCTTGAATTCCTGGGCTCATGAAATCTTCCTGCCTCAGCTTCCTCAGTAGCCAATATTACACGTGTGTGCCACCACACCCAGCTAAGTGTAGGATTTCTTATCTTACTTTTTTTAATAATGTAGGGATTGAGGTTATCTATTCGGCATATAGTTAATTAGTGGTGAGGTTGGGATCCTGGGAGAAGAAAGCATTTAGGAAAAACATAGGGCAGCTACCAAATTCACCAAATATTTACTGACCACCTGCATTGTGCCAGGCACTCTTGTAGACAAGATTAGTGTTCTCGTGGAGCTAATCACTGGAGTGAACAAGAACAATACCAAATTGTAATGTGATATGAAAAGAATTAAAATATGGCAGTTGATAGTGACTGGTTATCTTCTTCTGAGGAGGTGACATTAAGATCTGAAAGACAAGAATTTAACCAAACTAAAAGAAAATCAAGCTATGTAAGTTTAAACCTCGCTGGGCATGGTGGCTCACGCCTGTAATCCTAGCACTTTGGGAGGCCGAGGGGGGCGGATCCCGCGAGGTGAGGAGTTTGAGACCAGCCCCGTCAACATGGTGAAACCCCGTCTCTAATAAAAATACAAAAATCAGTCGAGCATGACGGCACATGCCTATAATTGCAGCTACTCGGGAAGCTGAGGCAGGAGAATCGCTTGAATCTGGGAGGCAGAGGTTGCAATGAGCCAAGATCACACCATTGCACTCCAGCCTGGGCGTTGCAGCGAGACTCTGGCTCAAAAAAAAAAAAAAAAGTTTAAACCTCAAGGTGGAAATGAGCTGATTGTGTTTGAGGAATGGAAAGAATTCCAGTGTTTCTACAATAAGGTGGATGAGGACCATAGTGTCATGAGATGAGATTAAAGAAGTTGACCAGGCACTGTGGCTCCCATCTGTAATCCCAGCACTTTGGGAGGCCAAGGCAGGAGGATCGCTTAAGGCTAGGAGTTTGAAAACAGCCTGAGCAACATAGTGAGGCACCATCTCTTAAAAAAATTTCAGATTGAAGAAGTAGGCAGAGCCAGGCCACGTAGTGTTCTGTGGCTGTGGTAAGGAGTTTAGACTCAAAGTCTTGTGAGTTCTTTTTGTTTGTTTTTTGTTTTGTTTTGTTTTGAGATGGAGTTTCGCTCTTGTTGCCCAGGCTGGAATGCAATGCCGCGATCTCAGCTTACTGCAACCTCCACCCTCCAGGTTCAAGAGATTCTTCTGCCTCAGCCTCTCAAGTAGCTGGGATTACAGGTGCCCGCCACCATGCCCAGCTAATTTTTTGTATTATTAGTAGAGATCAAGTTTCATCATGTTGGCCAGCTGGTCTCCAACTCCAGACCTCAGGTGATCCACCTGCCTTGGCCTCCCAAAGTGCTGGGGTTACAGGCGTGAGTCACAGCACCCAGCATCTTGTGAGTTTTTAAGCATAAAAGTGGTATGACATGATATATGCCTTAGAGTCCTCTGTTTTATTGAAGATGAATTACAGGTGCAGAGTGGAAGCACAAAAGTCAGTTAAGAGGCTGTTGCAACTAACCAGACCAGAGACGGTGGAGAAATTTAATATGATTGCTGAGCAATAGTAAAGGCCTAGTTTGAGATAAGCTAGCATGACATGGCAGGCAGTATGAATTTAGCTAGCATAACCTTTTAGGTGAACATGAGAAATTTGACACTGGTAATTGAAATAACTGTCTATGAGATGCAGGATTGATAAAGGGGATGCATCAAGGCACTGGAGGCCATTATATACTGAATACATATTTACCGAGCATTTACTAATATACCAAGAACTCTGCTAGCTGCTAGGGTTACAACAGTGAACAAAAACAGAGGTCCATTTCTCATGGAGTTGATATGCTAATGAGGACAGAGAAGATAAACAATAAATATATAGTCATCTGTGGTATCTGGGGGGAATTGTTTCCAGAACCCTTGCAGACACCAAAATCCAGAAATGCTCAAGTTCCTGATATTAAATTGTATGGTCTTTGCATACAACCTATGCATATCTTCTTGTATACTTTAAATCACCTCTTGCTGGGTGAGCCTGGTGGCTTACACCTGTAATCCCATCAAGAGGCTGAGGCAGGAGGATCACTTGAGCCCAGAAGTGATAGCATCACTGGACTCCAGCCTGAGTGACAGACTGAGACCCCATTTTCTTAAAAAAAAATTATCTCAGCCGGGCGCGGTGGCTCACGCCTGTAATCCCAGCACTTTGGGAGGCCGAGGCAGGCAGATCACCTGAGGTCAGGAGTTCGAGACTAGCCTGGCTAACATGGTAAAACCCCGTCTCTACTAAAAATACAAAAATTAGCCGACCATAGTGGTGGGTGCCTGTAATCCCAGCTACTTGGGAGACTGAGGCAGGAGAATCACTTGAAACCGGGAGGCGGACGTTGCAGTGAGCCGAGATCACACCACAGCACTCCAGCCTGGGTGACAGAGCATGAGACTCTGTCTTTTAAAAAAAAAAAAAAAAAAAAAGGCCCAGCATGGTGACCCATGCCTATAATCCCACCCAGCACTTTGGGAGGTTGAGGCGGGCAGATCACCTGAGGTCAGCAGTTCGAGACCAGCCTGGTCAACATGGTGAAACCCCATCTCTATTAAAAATACAAAAATTAGCTGGGCGAGGTGGCACACGCCTGTAGTCCCAGCTACTTGAGAGGCTGAGGCAGGGGAATAGCTTGAAAATGGGAGGCAGAGGTTGCAGTTAGCCAAGATGGTGCCACTGTACTCCAGCCTGTGACAGAGCAAGACTCCGTTTCAAAAAAACAAAAATAAAAATAATTGGGCATTAATTGATCTATAGGAGATTTGAACCAGGATATATGGTTACCCTAACTATAACTCCAGTGCTTAAGGAAGTGATGACTGCAGCTATATTACATATGGGTTTAATAAATGAAATAGCTGAAATATTTAGATTTTATCACCTCCTCTTTACTCTTCACTCCACTGCAACCTGATTTTCAGCCATAAACAGTCTCCTAAAATGGCCCCTGCTGGGATCATCAATGAATTCCTAACTGTCAAATCCAAAAAAGTTTCTTCAGTTTTCAACTAACCTGTCTAAAGAGCTTTCAACACTACTGACACTCCTCTCTGCTTCATGAAGTTCTGTTCTTAACTCTGTAGGAAACATAATCCTCAATAACAGACTATCTTCAAACAAGACCTAGCATCCCCCCTACTCCCACTCCCTCCCTACCTCATAGGTTAACTAAAAGATTCATAATCTGCTGGGAGCAGTGGCTCATGCCTGTAATCCCAGCACTTTGGGAGGCCAAGACGGGCAGATCACTTGAGGTCAGGAGTTCAACACCAGCCTGGCCAACATGGTGAAACCCCGTCTCTACTAAAAATACAAAAATATTAGCCGGGCATTGTGGCATGTGCCTGTAATCCCAGCTACTCAGGAGGCTGAGGCAGGAGAATTGCTTGAACCCAGGAGGCAGAGGTTGCAGTGAGCCGAGATTGCACCACTGCACTCCAGCCTGGGCAACACAGCAAGACTCCACCTCAAAAAAAAAAAAAAAAAAAAAAAGATTTATACTCTAACCAATATATAAGTAATTAAAAATACAAAATTGGATACTTACCTAAGAATGGTCGCCCCCATTTCAGTCTTTTAGGAAAACAGATGGCATTACTTATTTTTTAAAAGTGACGTTTTCATGGAAGACTTTTTCCAGTTAAAACATACACTACAAAAAAGGTTGAAGACAAAAGTATTAATCTAAATGAGCTAAATTAAGTCACGTAAATTTTATTACTTATATATGTAATCACTTCTTAATGCTACACATTTTAAAATATGTAGGTTGAAGATCTAATGAGGCTGAAGATCTTTGCTCTCAGATTTTGGCCATTTTCTTATTGGATTGGCTTTTTCTAATTAATTAGTAGGCTTTATATATTCAGGACCAGGACAGACAACATAATTTGCAGAGCACAGTGCAAAATAAAAAGTGAGGCCTTTTCACCAAGATGGCACCAAAGAGAAAAAGGAAGCCCCTGCCTCTCCCAAAGCTGAAGCCAACAAAGGCTTTAAAGGCCAAAAACACACTGCTGAAAGATATCCGCATGCTACCCACCTTCAGGCTGCCCCAAGACACTGCAGCCAAAATATACTAGGAAGAGCACTCCCAAGAAAAACACGCTTAATCCTGACCAATGAGAAGACGGAAGACCACACCACACTTGCATTAGTTGTGTATGTCAAAGCCAACAAGCGCCAGATGAAACAAGCTGTGAAGAAGCTCTAGGACACTGACATGGCCAAGGTCAACACCCGGATTGAGTCTGCCAGAGAGAAGGCATATATTCAACAGATTCCTGACTATGATGCTTTGAATGTTGCCAACAAAACTGGAATAACCAAAACTGAGCTCAGCTGGCAAATTCCAAATATAAATTTTTCACCATAAAAACATTTTAAAATAAGTAAATAAAAATGTTGGGCTACTTTTTCAAAAATTAAGAATTTCAAGACGGTGACAGCTTACCAGTAAACTAAGCACGGGGACCATCTAAATGAGGGGTCCTGCGTGACTGCACAGATTGCACACCCATGAAGCCAGCCCTGGTCACGACCCTAATTCCCTATTACATATATTACAATTATTTTTCCCAAAACATGTGGCATGTTTTCACTTTCTTTAAGGTGTCTTTTGATGAAGATGAATTTTTTAAATGAGAGGAACATTATAAAACAAATTTCAGAACAATTTCGAAGTACATAAAGCTGATTGTTTTTCCAAAAGTAAGAAAATTGGTGAACTCAAAAATAACAAACTTGTTTATTCAGGATGTTGATAGTGGGGGAAGCTATGCATGTGTGGGTACAGTTATGACTGTGTAGGGTAATGGGTGTATGTGAAAACTCTCTGTACTCCTGCTCAATTTTGCTGTGAACCTAAAACTACTCCTAAAAATAAAATCCAGGGCCAGGAGTGGAGACATGTGCCTGTGATCCAGTTACTCAGAGGCCAAGGTGGAAAGATCACTTGAATCCAGGAGGCTCAGGCTGCAGTGAACCAAGATCACACCACTGCACTCCAGGCTGGGCAACAGAAATAGACCCTGTCTCAAAAAAAAAGAAAAAGGAAAAAAATCCTATATACTCTATGGAAAGATTTTCTGTGTAAATCTCTATTCTTAAGTGAAAAACACACTGTGCAAGGGGGAAGGTGGGAAGACCAATTTGCAAAATAACAGTTATAATATGCTACCTTTGAGATTGGTGGATTTTAGGGTAAAGATAGAAAGAAACAAGAATCTGCAGTTATTTATTTATTTATCTTTTTTTTCTTTTTGTTTTTGAGACAGTCTTACTCTGTTGCCCAGGCTGAAGTGTGGTGGCACAATAGCAGCTCACTGCACCCTAGAACTCCCCGGCCTCGGGTGATCCTCCACCTCAGCCTCCCAGGTAGCTGGGACTAGAGACGTGCACCACCACGCCCGGCTAATTTTTGTATTTTTAGTAGAGATGGGGTTTCACCATGTTGGTCAGGCTGGTCTCGAACTCCTGACCTCGTGATCCACCCACGTCAGCCTCCCAAAGTGCTGGGATTACAGGCGTGAGCCACTGTGCCTGGCCAGGAATCTGTATTTTTATTGTCTTTATTTATATAAAGAAACTCTAGAAGGTTACATGAGAAATTGAACAATAGTTTCCTAGGTGGGGTGGAGCATTGGAGGAATGGTGTGAATAGAAACAAGGTAGCTGAGGGATATAGGTGGGAAAGACTTTCCACTTGTTTTTGTATTTAAAAGTATTTCTAACTCCAGGATAATCCATTACTACAATACATATAGATTAGTAAATGAATGAACCAAAATAGGGCCTAAATACTATCAACACAAACACACAATAACAGGACCTATTCTTTTACCATCTCTGGAACTAAGACCTTAGCACTGCCCACCTCACTGAAGTCATCAACCCAAGATCTCTAACACTAGTCCCCTTGGAAAAGGATATTTTCTCCATAATTCCATGTTGCTTCTCTCGGGGTCCGGGTCAACTTTTTCTCCCCTAGCTATACAAAGTCTCATGTCTCTTCTGAACAAAAGCCTCACCAAGCCAGGCACAGAGATGTAAGCCTGTAATCCAGTTACTTGGGAGGCCAGAGGATCACTTGAGCCCATAAGTTCAAGACCAGACTGGGCAACATGGCGAAACCCAATCTCTACTAAAAATACAAAAATTAGCCGGGCGTGGTGGTGTATGCCTATAATCCCAGCTACTCGGGAGGCTGAGGCTATGCTGTTCCAACACCCTCCAAATCTGTCTCTCTGCTTCAAATCTTACTTTTTTTTTTTTTTTTTTTGAGACAGAGTCTCACTCTGTCGCCCAGGCTGGAGTGCAGTGGCATGATCTTGACTCACTACAACCTCCACCTCCCCGGTTCAAGCAATTCTCCTGCCTCAGCCTCCCAAGAGGCTGGGATTACAGGTGCCTGCTACCACATCTGGCTATTTTTTTTTGTATATTTAGTAGAGATGGGGTTTCACCATATTGGCCAGGCTGGTCTTGAACTCCTGACCTTGTGATCTGCTCGCCTCAGCTTCCCAAAGTCAAATCTTACCTCTCTACAATTAATCCGCACCAGATCAACCAGAATGTACCTTGTACAGCATAAATCATATCACTGGAGTGATCTGCTTAAAACCTTCCAAAGGCTTCCTGCTGTTAACCCTACCTGCGTTACAACTATGAACTACTAAGACCCTACATGATATTAAAAATGACCTACCCTATATGATCTGGTATCTGTCTACAACTAACCTCATCTTTTTTCTTTTCTTGTTTTTTTGTTTGTCTGTTTTTGAGACAGGTTCTTGCTCTGTCACCCAGCCTGTTGTGCAGCAGCATGATCACGGTTCACTGCAGCCTCAACCTCCTAGGCTCTAGGGATCCTCCCACCTCAGCCTCCCTAGTAGCTGAGACCTCAGGTGTGTGCCACCACGCCTGCCTAATTTTTGTTATTTTTTGCAGAGACAGGGTTTTGCCATGTTGCCCAGGCTGGTCTCGAACTCCTGTGCTCAAGAGATCCACCCACTTCAGCCTCTAAAAGTGCTGGGATTACAGGCATAAGCCACCATGCCAGGCTCTGACCTCATCTGCTTTCCTCTTCATTCAACTACTCTCTAGCCTTACTGGTATATTTTCTCTTCCTCACACTTTGTTCCTATTTAGGGCTCTTGTACATGCTGTTCTTTCAGCTTGCAATGTGCTGCCTCCAGGTCTTCTGCCACTTCATAACATTTACGTTTTAACTCCAAGTTACCTCTTCTAAGAGGCATTCTACACAGTCTCACAGTTAAGATAGCAACCTAGGTCATTATCTACCACATTACTTTATCATCTTTATAACATTTATTAATACTCACAATTCTCATTTATTAATATAAATGTTTCTTCTACTGGAGAATAGAACAGTCTTGAGGATAACTTTTAACCCATGACACTTTTTTTTTTTTTTAAACAGAGTCTTTGTCACCCAAAGATTGCAGTGGTGCAATCATGGCTCACTGCAGCCTTGACCTCCTGGGCTAGGGATCCTCCCACTTCAGCCTCTTGAGTAGCTGGGACTACAGGCGTGTGCCACCACACCCGACTTTTTTTTTTTTGTAGGGATGGGGTCTACTATGTGGTCCAGGCTGGTCTCAAACTCCAGGGCTCAAGCAATCCTCCCACCTCAGGCTCTGAAAGTGCTGGCATTACAGGCTTGAGCCACTGCACCCAGCTACAACTCTATTATTATTATTATTTTTGAGACGGAGTCTCACTCTGTCACCCATGCTGGAGTGCAGTGGTGTGATCTTGGCTCACTGCAACCTCTATCTTCCAGGTTCAAGTGATTCTACTGCCTCAGTCTCCTGAGTACCTGGGATTACAGGTGTGTGCCACCACGCCCAGCTAATTTTTATAGTTTTAGTAGAGATGGGTTTTCGCCATGTTGGCCAGGCTGGTCTCGGACCTCCTGACCTCAGGTAATCTACCCACCTAGGCATCCCAAAGTACTGGGATTATAGGCGTGAGCCACCGTGCCCGGCCTATTTTTTAACTTTTCTATTAATTCTGAATTATTTCAAAATCACATACATATAAATTTCACACTAAAAAAGAATAGATTCAGGAAACATTTTTTAAAAACCCCCATGTCCTCTTTCTTCTTACTCAATTCATTATGTAGGATGTAGCCTACTTATTACAGTAAGTTCGATAAAAGTTTACCTATTCTCAAACAGGTAATTAGGGGTAAGACTTCTAACAAAATTCTCTAGGCACAGTAAAAATGAGATGACAAGTCAAAAAAGCAAGTAGAACAGGTACCCATTATAATGAAATGAGGTGATATAGCAAGAGTATTATTTTTTAAATAACGATAATCTACACAGGAATGAGCAGTTGTACCATAGCAATTTGTATCAAATATCAGAGCCTCCCCATTTTATGTTCATTGTGTGCTTCTGGATCATGCCACCGCCATTATCAATGCATTAAATGGATAAAATTACCTATATTCAAAGTTGTAAGAATGACAGAATAGGTATGTTTATAGTTGAAAACAGTCACAGGGCAGGTGCAGTGGCTCATGCCTGTAATCCTAAAGCTTTGAGACACTAAGGAAGGAGGACTGCTTGAGCTCAGGAGTTAGAGGACAGCCTGGACAATGTAGCAGATCTCGTCTCTAAAAAAAAATAAAAATAAAAAATTAGCCAGGCGCGGTAGCTCACACCTGTAATCCCAGCACTTTGGGAGGCCGAGGCAGGTGGATCAGGAGGTCAAGAGATCATCCTGGCCAACATGGTGAAATCCTGTCTCTACTAAAAATACAAAAATTAGCTGGGCATGGTGGCGCGTGCTTGTAGTCCTAGCTACCAGGGAGGCTGAGGCAGGAGAATTGCTTGAACCCGGGAGGCAGAGGTTGCAGTGAGCAGAGATTGGGCCACTGCACTCCAGACTGGTGACAGAGCAAGACTCCATCTCAAAAAAAAAAAAAAAAAAAAAGATAAAGAAAAAAATTAGCTGGGTGTGTTGGTGCACACATGTAATCCTAGCCACTTGGGAGGCTGAGGCAGATGGGTCACCTGAGCATAGTTCAAGGCTGCAGTGAACTATGATGGTGCCACTGAACTCCAGCCTGGGCGAAGCAGCAAGATCCTGTTTCTAAAAACAAAAACAAAAAAGAAGAAAAAGAAAGAAGGAAAGAAAAGGGGAGCCAGGCACAGTGGCTCACACCTATAATCTCAGAACTTTGGGAGGTCGAGGCAGGTGGATCACTCGAGGTCAGGAGTTCAAGACCAGCCTGGCCAACACAGTGAAACCCCGTCTCTACTAAAAATACAAAAAAAAAAAAAATCCAGGCATGGTGGTGGGCGCCTATAATCCCAGTTACTCGGGAGGCTGAGGCAGAAGAACTGCTTGAACCCAGGAGGTGGAGGTTGCAGTGAGCCGAGATCGCGCCATTGCACTCCAGCCTGTGTGACAGAGACTCCATCTCAAAAAAAAAAGAAAGAAAGAAAGAAAGAAAAGGGAAGGGGGAAAGTAGAAAGGGGAAAGGAAAGAGTGGCGGAGGAAAGGAGGGAAAGAGGGCAAGAGGGAGGGATTCTCATCTCTATTGAGATATTACAAGTTCCCTTGCCTGTGGAAAACTCCATTGTTAATTTGTGAGGGGAAAAAAAAAAAGAGAGAAAAAAGGGCAAATAGTATTGTTACTTTAAAAAAAAGTTTTGACCTTCCAGAGCTCAGGGACCTCTCAGGGTCCCCATACTGTATTTTGAGTACCAATCCTGCTCTATTCTGTGGTCCACAATACCCTAGATAGGATCTCTATCTATCATTTGTATTTACCCCAACATATCAGAATTATCTGTTCATTTGCCAGTCTCTCTTGAGGTTTCTTAAAACTAAAACCATGAGCCATGAATCTTCTTCAACTTTGCACCCCCAGTGCCTCATACAGCACACAATACATATCCTCTCAAAAATGTTCCATGAATAAATGATGGATATAGGAAAATATTCACACACTCTAATACATTAATATAAAGGTGTATGTGAATAAAGCGGAGTTTCCCATGGCCAACTCTTTAGCTAAAAGAAATGTACAAAAGAAAAATCTTATGATAAATTGACAGCAATGCAAGAAGTAGAATAAAAGATATAGTCAAACCTGGTATGACCACATTAGATCAGAACTTTTCAGAAAGTTCAGACCTGAGGGAACAAGGAAAGCAGATTCTAAAGGGCATCTTAAACTGTAAACAAACACCCACTGCTCCAGTCTTCCACCAGAATAAAAAGTATCCACCTCTGCAAGCAGACAATTAAACCACTGTTTTTAAAAAGGTTGGGAAGGGAGGTGGTGTCAAGGCAGGGAGAGTTCCAGAGACTGGATGACTAAGAAAGAACATAAATAAGTATTCTCACCTTATGAAACTTATGTATATTTTAAATTTTGTCAAATTAGAATATGAGAAAACATATTTTCCTGTCTTTATTTGCATTAGTTTCTAAATCAATACCTCTTTCCATTTCTATGAATGACCTCTATCCTCCCAAACCAAGTAAACACCAACATGATAGCATTACTGAACACAGGACACACATTTGCCTCTCTTGCTTATTATTACACGTGGCCAGTACCTTGATGCTTAACAAATATATCTAGATTGTTCATTAATTGGATATATGCAGCAGCACGTGGGCCAAGGGAAAAGAATTCCTTTTGCAGAAAAGTCCTGGGATGAGGCTGGGGCAAGGTGTCACACAAGCCAAGACATGAAAGAAGCTCTTGGAAGAGGCTCAGGTGTGGAGGGAAAATTCTATGCTGAGTTTTACCATGAAGGCACTAGGGAAGTCACTGGAGCTGATGGCCTCCTTCTCTGGGCCTCCATTCTCAAACACAACATGAAGCTCTAAAATGCTTAGGCTCTCTACCTTGATTTTCAGAAAGTCTCTGTGGCTTGTCTATCTAGGAAAGTTCCAGCCTCTCAGCAGAATGAATTTGACATTCCAAAGATGTGAATTTTGACCAGAATCAATTCACTGGAGGCCCACATCAATACATAAAGCATTCAATTATTGTTAGATAATTTACAAACAGGTTAATACTGTTACCACATATTCTAGATAAGAAAATAGGTATAGAAGCAACCTGACTGACAGGCCAGGTGCAGTGGCTCACACTTATAATCCCAGCACTCTGGGAGGCTGAGGCAGAAGGATTGCTTGAGCCCAGGACAACATAGCAAGAATCCATCTCTACAAAAAATTTTTTAAAAAAAGAAGAAGTAACCTCACAAATCACTTGGCCTCTTATAGAGAAAAAATACATGAATATTTCAGAAAAAAACAGGCCAGGCATGGTAGTTCATATCTATAATCCTAGCACTTTGGGAGGCCAAGGCAAGAGGATGGCTTGAGCCCAGGAGTTCAAGACCAGCCTGGGCAACAGAGCAAGAGCCCCTCTCTCCGAAAAAATTACAAATCAGCCAGGCAAGGTGGTACAAGCCTGTAGTCCCAGCAACTCAGGAGGCTGAGGTGGAAGCATCGCTTGTGCCCAAGAAGGTTGAGGCTGCAGTGAGCCATGATCATGCCACTGCACTCAGCCTGAATAACAGAGACCTTGTCTCAAAAAAAACAAAAGAGCAAAAAGCTTGGAAACTATGGCTTTTAAATTAAGAGGACACAATGATGTTTTCATTCTGATTTGATATCCTTATCAACTCTTAAGAACAAAATCGCTGTAAAATAAGCTAAAATGTAAATCTGAATCACTAAATGCAAGACGCAATTGCTTAAGAATTCTTAATTTTACAATTTCTTTCCAAAGTATACTGTAAGCAGCCTTTAGAAAACTCAGTATGGCCGGGAACGGTGGCTCACACCTGTAATCCCAGCACTTTGGGAGGCCAAGGTGGGCGGATCACGAGGTCAGGAGATCAAGACCATCCTGGCTAACATGGTGAAACCCCGTCTCTACTAAAAATACAAAAAAATTAGCTGGGCGTGGTGGTGGGTGCCTGTAGTCCCAGCTACTCGGAAAGCTGAGGCAGGAGAATGGCATGAACCCGGGAGGCGGAGCTTGCAGTGAGCTGAGATCGTGCCACTGCACTCCAGCCTGGGTGACACAGCGAGACTCCATCTCAAAAAAAGAAAAAAAACCCTCAGTATTTGGCCAGGTGTGGTGGCTCACGCCTGTAAACCCAACACTTTGGGAGGCAGAGGCAGGCGGATCACCTGAGGTCAGGAGTTCGAGACCAGCCTGGCCAACGTGACAAAACCGTCTCTGCTTAAAATAAAAAAATTAGCCGGGCATGGTGGCGCATGCCCGTAATCTCAGCTACTCAGGAGGCTGAGGCAGGAGAATTCCTTGAACCCGGGAGGCGGAGGTTGCAGAGAGCCGAGATCGTGACACTGCACTCCAGCCTGGGTGACAGAGCGAGACTCCATCTCAAAAACAAACAACAACAACAACAACAAAATCAGTATTTATTAAAAACAGAATTAGGGGTCGGGCACGGTGGCTCACGACTGTAATCCAAGCACTTTGGGAGGCCGAGGTCGGCAGATCACGAGGTCAGGAGATTGAGACCATCCTGGCTAACACGGTGAAACCCCCGTCTCCAATAAAAATACAAAAAAATTAGCCAGGCGTGGTGGCACGCGCCTGTAGTCCCAGCTACTCAGGAGGATGAGGCAGGAGAATGGCATGAACCTGGGAGGCGGAGCTTGCAGTGAGCCAAGATTGCGCCACAGCACTCCAGCCTGGGCCACAGAGCGAGACTCCGTCTCAAAAAACACAAAAACAAAAACAGATTTAGGATGTACATCTTCTCTTTTGTTGTTGTTGTTTTGCTTTGTTTTGTTTTTTGAGAGAGTCTCGCTCTGTCACCAGGCTGGAGTGCAGTGGCGCAATCTCGGCTCACTGAAACCTCCCCATCCCCGGTCCAAGCGATTCTCCTGCCTCAGCTTCCTGAGTAGCTGGGATTACAGGCATGCCCCACCATGCCGGGCTAATTTTTGTATTTTTAGTAGAGATGGGGTTTCACCACGTTGGTCAGGATGGTCTCAATCTCCTGACTTCGTGATCCTCCCACCTTGGCCTCCCAAAGTGCTGGGATTACAGGCATGAGCCACCGCGCCCGGCCCCATCTTCCCATTTTTAAAGGATTCTTCCCCTTACAAAAAGAATCAGAACTTCCTTAATTAGATCAGCAGAGCAATAGTTTCTACAAGATTGAGAAAGCTGTGCTAATATAATTATACACATATCAGTGGTTTATTTATTAAATCTTCAGTGATTTTCTCAGACTCTAAGAGAAATCGGCCGGGTGAGGTAGCTCACACCTGTAACCCAGCACTTTGGGAGGCCAAGGGAGGCAGATCACTTGAGGTCAAAAGTTCGAGACCAGCCTGGCCAACATGGCAAAACCTCGTCTCAACTAAAAATACAAAAATTAGCCAGGTGTGGTGATGCACGCTTGTAGTCCCAGCTACTCTGTAGGCTGAGGCAGGAGAATTGCTTGAACCAGGAGGCAGAGGTTGTAGTGAGCTGAGATCCCACCACCGCATTCCAGCCTGGGAGACACAGTGAGACTCCATCTCAAAAAAAAAAAGATCACTGTTATATTATTCACCCACATGATAACTAAACATGCTCAGCAGAACAGGGATTTCCAAGAGTGACATAGTTGTATGGACAATGCTAGAACTGAAGAGAGGAAGCTCTGAACCTCAAAGAAATTGAGGCCTGCTTATTCAGGACTGCTCTAGAAAAATTAGACTTGAAAAGAGACCAACAGAATGTAAATAGCTGGAATGGCCAGCAGCAAAATAAGCTTGTATTAGGAGGATAGTGAGAAAATAGAGATTTCTTGGATGGGAATCACCCTGGGAAATAAGTCAACTTGCCAATGGTGATACTGTACACAGCTGGACGTTGAAGAATACCACCCTTAAAATACAAGAAACTGGAATATTGCAGATTCTAGGCAGGGGATAAGAGGCTTACTCTCCATAATAAACTTGTATTTTTAAACTTTATAATATGCGCAAGCATTCCACAGCTCCTATAACTTTTTGCAGTAGTGCCCTCAAATACATAAATTATATGCATACATATGGATGTGTTAACTACTGTTATAAATATGAGCCACTTATTACAGAAAATATGTCAATTTGCCTTCATTGTTTCTGGTCACAATCTGTATCTTGGGATAATACAGGATATGAACCAAATGTTTCAAAGTCAAATCTAAATCTTATTTATCCAGGCCAGGTGCAGTGGCTCATGCCTATAACCCTAGCACTTTGGGAGGCCCAGGCAGGAGAATTGCTTGAACTCAGGAGTTCGAGACCAGCCTGGGCAACGTGGTGAAACCCCGTCTCTACAAAATATAGAAAAATTAGCCAGGTGTGGTGGCACACACCTGTAATCCCAGCTACTCAGGAGGCTGAGGCAGAAGAATCACTTGAACATGGGAGGTGGAGGTTGCAGTGAGCCGAGATTGTGCCACTGCACTCCAGCATGGGCAACAGAGTGAAACTGTCTCAAAAAAATAAAATAAATAATAATAAAATGAACCTTATTTATCCATTACAGCACTGCTTGTAATGCCAATACACTATAAACTTTCTTAAAGTTTGTCAACAGAGGACTGGTTAGATGCACTATGGTACATCCACATAACGGAATGTTGTGCAGCTATAAAAAGAAAGAAAAGTCCAGGTGTGGTGGGAACAGTAGCTCAAACCTATAATCCCAGCATTTTGGAAGGCCAAGGTGGGAGGATCACTTGAGTCCAGTAGTTCAAGACCAACCTGGGCAACATGACAAGATCTCATCTACACTAAAAATTTTAAAAATTAACCATACATGGTGGTGGCACTTATAGTCCCAGCTATTTGAGATGCTATGGTGGAAGGATCGCTTTTGAGCTCGGGAGGTTGAGGCTGCAGTGAGCTATGATCATGTCATCGCACTCCAGCCTGGGGAAGACAGCAAGATCCTGTCTCAAAAAAAAAAAAAAGGTCTGGCTTCCAAGATGCCTTCTCTTACTAGTCCAGCTCACACTGACCTTGATCTCCTCATAAACTCGAGGGTTTTTTTTAAAAACACAATTAAGCACTACACCACATGTTGCCTTTAGTGCTGATTATTTTTATTATATATGTCATGTTCCCTCAATCAGATTGAGGGCTAGGAAAAGATACATTTATTTTCTCCCTATGACATATGGTATTTGAATTCCAAAATTAACAGAGCTTTTTATCCACTGCTCAGCAAGTTCCAAAATTTCATTTTACCATTTCTTTTTCTAACTATAAAACTTCTGACGGAACCCCATGTCCCATCCAAGAAATTAAAGGGGGAAAATATATTACTTATTGACAACAGTCAAAATCTCAGTTAAAAGAAGTGCAAAAAACAACCTCTCATGTAATATGTAAACCTATAAAACATTTAGAAGGCCGGGTGCAGTGGCATACACCTGTAACCTCAGCACTTTGGGAGGCCAAGGCAGGAAGATCATTTGAGCCCAGGAGTTCAAGACCAGCCTGGGCAACAAGGTGAGTTGTTCTACAACTCTATAAAGTTGTTGAACAACTTTGTAGTCTCTACAAAGTAGTGTGTCTCTACAAAGAAAAATACAGAGCCAGGTGTGGGAATGCACACCTGTAGTCCCAGCTACTCAAGAGGCTGAGGTGGGGTGGGGGTCACTTGAGCCTGGGAGGCAGAGGTAACAGTAAGATGAGAACATGCCACTGCACTCTAGCATGTACAACAAGCAAGACTCTGTCTCAAAACAAAAAAAAATTAGGAGAAAATCTAGGCCCTCTCTCTCTCTCTCCTTTTCTCTCTCTCTCTCTCTATATATATATACACACACACTATACATAATGTTTTATATATGAATATAAAATATAAGTTTTATATGTGAATATATTAGACTATATAACATATACTAATACATTTTATATATTTAAAAGTATTTATTTCTGCTGTTTAAAGGGAAAATCTAGTTGATCTTCAGTTTGGCTATGAGTTTTTATACAACACCAAAAAGCAAGATCTATGAAAAAAAAATTGGGTAAGCTGGTCTTTATTAAAACCTACAACTTCTGGCCGGGCACGGTGGCTCATGCCTGTAATCTCAGCCGAGGCGGGTGGATCATCTGGAGTCAGGAGTTCAAGATCATCCTGGCCAACATGGTGAAACCCCATCTCTACTAAAAATGCAAAAAAAAATTAGCCGGGCATGGTGGCGCGCACCTGTAATCCCAGCTACTCAGGAAGCTGAGGCAGGAGAATCGTTTGAACCCGAGAGGCGGAGACTGCAGTGAACCGAGACTGCGCCACTGCACTCCAGCCTGGGAGACAGAGTGAGATTCTGTCTCAAAAAAAAACTTACAACTTCTGTGAAAGATATGATTAAGAAAATTAAGCCGGGCGCAGTGGCTCACGCCTGTAATCCCAGCACTTTGGGAGGCCGAGGCGGGCGGATCACCTGAGGTCAGGAGTTCAAGACCAGCCTGGCCAACATGGTGAAACCCCGTCTCTACTAAAAATACAAAAATTAGCTGGGCATGGTGGCAGGCGCCTGAAATCCCACCTACTCAGGAGGCTGAGGCAGGAGAATCACTTGAACCCGGGAGGCAGAGGTTGCAGTAAGCCAAGATTGCACCATTGCACTCCAGCCTGGGGGACAAGAGCGAGACTTTGCCTCAAAAAAAAAAAAAAAAAAAGAAAATTAAAAGCCAGATTTTTCACTATTGGAGTAGGAGTTTACAGCAGTTAAACAAGAAGAGGAAGCGAGAATGGACTGGAGTTAGAAACATCAGTATAAACTAATGTTTAGCTTAACACAGACATAGTTAAGTATGGATAAATTTATAGACATACGTATATAGTATTCACATATATTTCCTTGTTCTATCAGCTGAGAGAGCTTAGAAGCAGATACCCCAGTAGTAAAGAGGGCACATTATGTTCAGCTCTTAGTTTCTAACACTGTTCTCCAATAAAAGGGACCAGTTCCCTTGGAGAAATGACTGATCCTAGGATGAGGTAAGAAATACACAAAGTAAGCCTTGAATATCTTGTAGTAATGTAACTAAAAAAGTGTTCAAACACACACATACACACACACGAACACACACACACAATGACAGGAAATCGTGAAAGGGACCAGGGCAAACTGAAAGAGCTCCCAATGGCCAAAGCTAGAATATTTTGAGCAACAAAGTAATAAAGTATTGGATTATAAACCAAAGTACAAAATAAATATCTACAAGTCTACACTGATGTAAGTAAATGATTAAACAAATAAATGGGAGGGCAGAATAAATCTCCCACACAGAATTCCAAATACTTTGTGTAGATACACCCCCATCAAGGAAAGGAACTATAACGCCCCACTCTTTAAGTGTGAGCTGCACATAGTGCCTTCCTTCCAAAAAGTATAATATGAAAAGGAGAGGGAAAGAGTAACTTTATAGCAGGGAAACCTAACAAACTACCTCAGCCAGCTGATCAAGGACAACATCAACAACGATAATTCATTTTTTAGTATATACTTTTGATATCATGTCAGAAAAATGGCACTTTACTTCCGTGGTCTTCCTCGCAAAAACCCGTAATTCCAGTCTAATCATTAAAAAAAAAAAAATCAGAAAAACTCAATTGAAAGACATTATGCAAAACAACTGACCAGTATTCCTCAGAACTGTCATGGTCATCAAAAACAAGAAATGTTGGGCCGGGCATGGTGGCTCACGCCTGTAATCCCAGCACTTTGGGAGGCCAAGGTGGATGGATCACGAGGTCAGGAGATTGAGACCATCCTGGCTAACACCGTGAAACCCCAGCTCTACTAAAAACACAAAAAAAATTAGCTGGGCATGGTGGCAGGCGCCTGTAGTCCCAGCTACTCGGGAGGCTGAGGCAGGAGAATGGCATGAACCCGGGAAGCGGAGCTTGCAGTGAGCCGAGATCGTGCCACTGCACTCCAGCCTAGGCGACAGAGCGAGACTCCGTCTCAAAAAATAAATAAATAAATAAATGTCGGCCGGGCGCGGTGGCTCACACCTATAATCCCAGTACTCTTGGGAGGCCGAGATGGGCAGATCACAAGGTCAGGCGTTTGACACCAGCCTGGTCAACGTAGCGAAATTCTGTTCCTACTAAAAATACAAAAATAAGCTGGGCATGGTGGTGCGTGCCTGTAATCCCAGTTACTCAGGAGGCTGAGGCAGGAGACTCGCTTGAACCTGGGAGGCGAGGGTTGCAGTGAGCAGAGGTTGCAGTGAGCCGAGATTGCACCACTACACTACAGCCTGGGTGACAGAGCAAGACTCTGCCAAAAAAAAAAAAAAAAAAAAAAAAAAGTCTAAGACACTGTCATGGCACCACTAAGGACAACTAAAAAATATTATTGTGGGAAAAAAATACATAATTGGTAAAATTGGAATATAAACTATATATTAGGTAACAATACCAATGTTAAGTTTTCTAAATGTGGTAACTATACTATTGATATGCAAGAAAATTACCTTTTTTTTTTTTTGGCAGTGTCTCACTTTGATGCCTAGGCTGGAGTGCAATGGCGCAATCTCGGCTCACTGCAACCTCCGCCTCCCAGGTTCAAGCGATTCTCCTGCCTCAGCCTCCTGAGTAGCTGAGATTACAGGCGCCCGCGACCACACCTGGCTAATTTTTGTATTTTTAGTAGAGACGGGGTCTCACCGTGTTAGCCAGGATGGTCTTGATCTCCTGACCTCATGATCCGCCCGCCTCGGCCTCCCGAAGTGCTGGGATTACAGGTGTGAGCCACTGCACCCGGCCCTGATATGCAAGAAAATTTCTACAGATAAACATAACAATTTAGATGGATCTTCAGAGAATTATGCTGACTGAAAAAAAAAACAGGCTAGGCATGGTGGCTTATGCCTGTAATCCCAGCACTTTGGGAGACCAAGGCAGGAAGATCACTGGAGCCCAGGAGTTCAAGACCAGCCTGGGAACTGTGGCAAAACCTTGTCTCTACAAAAATTTTAAAAAATTAGCTGGGTGTAGTGGCACATGCCTGTAATTCTCAGCTACTTGGGAAGCTGAGGCCAGAGGATTGCTTGAGCTCAAGAGTTTGAGGCTGCAGTGAGTTATGATCGTACCACTATGCTAAAGCCTGGGCAACAGGGCAAGACCGTATCTCTAAAAAAAGAAAAAAGCCAAACTCCTAGATGATTTCATTTATATAACATTCTCGAAACGACAAAATCATAAAAAACAGATTAGTGGTTGCCAGAGGTTAGAAAGGGTGGGAGGGAGGTGACTGGGGCTATAAAAAGGTAGAATGAGAGGTTTTTTTTTTTTTGGGGGGACAGAGTCTCGCTGTCACCCAGGCTGGAGTGCAAATGGTGCGATCTTGGCTCACTGCAACCTCCGCCTCCTGGGTTCAAGCGATTCTCCTGCCTCAGCCTCCCAAGTAGCTGGGACTACAGGCACGCGCCACCACTCCTGGCTAATTTTTGTATTTTTAGTAGAGATGGGGTTTCACCACATTGGTCAAACTGGTCTTGAACTCCTGATCTCGTGATCCGCCCACCTCAGCCTTCCAAAGTGTTGGGATTACAGGCATGAGCCACTGTGCCTGGCTTTTTTTTTTTTGAGACGAAGTCTCACTCTGTCACCCAGCCTGGAGTGCAATGGTATGACCTCAGCTGACTGCAACCCCTGACTCCCGGGTTCAAGCGATTCTCCTGCCTCAGCCTCCCAAGTAGCTGGGATTATAGTCATGTGCCACCACGCCCAGCTAATTTTTTGTATTTTTAGAAGAGATGGGGTTTCACCATGTTGGCCGGGCTGGTCTCGAACTCCTTACATCAGGTGATCCACCCACCTCAGCCTCCCAAAGTGCTGGGATTACAGGTGTAAGCCACCACACCCAGCCAGAATGAGAGACTCTTGTAATGGAACTATTGTGACTTTACGGTGGTGGTGGTCACTCAAATCTATATATATAATAAAACTGAATGACCTAAATACACACTGAAATAAGTGAATGTAAAACTGGTGAAATGTGAGTAAGATATATGAACTATAGCCAAGTCAGTTTCGTGGCTGTGGTATCTTTCCATAGTTATGCAAGATGTTACCACTGGAGTATTATGGGTAAAGGATAATGGATTCCTCTGTATTATTTTTTACAACTGCATGTGAATCTACAATTACCTCAAAATAAGAAAAAAAAATTTTTTTAATGGTGTCTAGAACTGAACATCATTCCTTTTTAGGAGGGGCTACAATTCTACCAGTGCTATTTAGGACCACATCAGCTTTTCTGTCAAGAGAATCCCTCTGCTCTACCCCAGCATTTCGTACTCATAGACTATGGTTCACCCAGAGAGTTAAGACACACTTAAGTGATACAGTTCCCAAAGATCTAAAAAACCTCAGAGTCAAAGCTTAAAAAGTTAGCTTGTCCAAGCTAAATGTTTCTAAGGCCAAAGTCTTTCTTCAGTTTAATTCACACATGATTAAGGGCCTACTCTATTTTTTTTTTTTTTTTTTTGAGACAGAGTCTTGCTCTGTCGCCCAGGCTGAAGTGCAGTGGCACGATCTCTCCGCCTCCTGGGTTCACACCATTCTCCTGCCTCAGCCTCCCGAGTAGCTGGGACTACAGGCGCCCACCACCACACCCACCTAATTTTTTGTATTTTTAGTAGAGACGGGGTTTCACCATGTTAGCCAGGACAGTCTCGATCTCCTGACCTCGTGATCTGCCCGCCTCGGTCTCCCAAAATGCTGGGATTACAGGCGTGAGCCACCGCGCCCAGCCGATTAAGGGCCTACTCTATACCAGGCATTATGTCAAGTGTTTTAGTGGTGGTGATAGCAGAAATTAAATTATACAAGACATTACAAGAGATGATTTCTCATCCTCAGGTGGGGTAAACAATTAGATATGAGCATTCCAAAGAAATGGGGTAAAAGCTAACAAAGGTGTAAGATACACAAGTGGGGCCCTTACCACAACCTAAATGGTTTGAAGGAGGAATACACCTGGGCTGAAAAAGGCTGAATTAAGAGCCAAGTTGGGGACAGGGAAAGGAGCAGAAAGCTTTCTCAATGTGGATACTATACTAACAGCTCTACATGAATCAACACATGATGAGATGATGAGGTATAATCCCATTTCTCCCATTTTTAAGAGGACATGGAGGGACAGAAAGAAAAGACAACTTGCCCAAGATCACATGACTAATAACTATAAACTCAAACAGTCTGGTTCCAAGACAGTCATAGAAAGATTGAGTTGGGTGGGTGCAGTGGCTCATGTCTGTAATCCCAGAGCTTTGGGAGGCCCAGGCGGGAGGATCACTTGAAATCAGGAGCTTGAGACCACTTTGACCAAAATGGTGAAACCACAACTCTACTGAAAATACAAAAATTAGCCAGGTGTGGTGGTGGGCGCCTATAATCCCAGCTACTAGGGAGGTTGAGGCAGGAGAATCACTTGAAGCCAGGAGGTGGAGGTTGCAGTGAGCTGAGGTCACACCACTGCACTCCAGCCTAGGTGACAGAGTGAGACCATCTCAAAAAAAAAAAAAAAAATTGAGTCTTGGGTTTCAGTATCAGCCTTGGGAAGACCAGGGCTATTTCACTCCTATTCTTTATTCCTCTCTCCTTAAATATCTCTTCCCTTTACTTTTTCTAGCTCTCTCTAGATTTCCCCAACCCTCCACCTTCCTTTCCTCCACTCAACCGTTATCCTTTGTCTCTGTCTCCACATATATGTTCCAAAGGTTGATCTCAAATTTGGCCATAATAAACTAGTCAAAACCGCCTAGGCATGGCTCACACCTGTAATCCCAGCATTTTGGGAGGCCAAGGTGGGCAGATCACTTGAGCTCAGGAATTCTAGCCCAGCCTGGGCAACATGGCAAAACCCCATCTCTACAAAAAATACAAAAATTTGGCCAGGCGCGGTGGCTCACGCCTATAATCCCAGCACTTTGAGAGGCCAAGGCAGGCGGATCATGAGGTCAAGAGATCGAGACCATCCTGGCTAACACGGTGAAACCCCGTCTCTACTAAAAATACAAAAAGAAATTAGCCGGGCATGGTGGCAGGCGCCTACAGTCCCAGCTACTCAGGAGGCTGAGGCAGGAGAATGGCATGAACCTAGGAGGCGGAGCTTGCAGTGAGCCGTGATCGCGCCACTGCACTCCAGCCTGGGCAACAGAGCGAGACTCCGTCTCAAAAAAAAAAAAAAAAAAAAAAAATATATATATATATACATATATATATATACAAAAAAATACAAAAATTGGTCTGGTGTGGTGGTGTATTCCTGCAGTCCCAGCTACTCTGGAGGCTCAGGTGGGAGGATGCCTTGAGCTCAGGAGGCAGAGGTTGCAGTGAGCCAAGATTGTGCCACTGCACTCCAGCCTGGGTGACAGAACCACATCCTGTCTCAAAAAAAAAAAAAAAAAAACTAGTCAAAACCATAACAAAAGATTACAAATTCTTAATGCCTGGTGTTACAAAAGAAAAAAAAAAAGAAGAAAGAGAATTAAAAAAAGATTAGAAACAATTTAAACATCCATCCATATATAAATACAGAAAAAATATGTTACATTGACACAATACAAAGCAGTCCTGAAAAAAGAATAAAGCAGTTCTACACCTACAGATACATGGCATCAAATATATTAAGTGATAAGAGAAGACATAGAATAATGACCATGCTATGCTGCCATTTGTGAGAGTGGGGGTTTACATGTATATATTCATAAATTATTCATAAATGCACAGGTTATCTCTAGAACATACAGTAGTACACAGTATACAGGAGGATGTGTGCAGGTTACATGCAAATACTACACCATTTTATCTAAGAGACTTGAGCACCCATGGATTTTGACATCCACAGGGAATCCTGAAACCAATCCTTCACAGATACCAAGGGATAAATTGCATTCAAATAAATAATTACGCACTTAGCCTGGTGCCTGCACAAAGAAATCCTCAATACATGGCAGCAACTGCTCCTCTTTTTAGGTATTTTTCACTCACACACACACACTCAGTGATAATCTTTTTACATATTTGAATAAGGTAGTTAAAAACCACAAGGTGGGTTGGGTGCAATGGCTCATGCCTGTAATCCCAGCACTTTGGGAGACCGAGGCAGGTGGATCACTTGAGCTCAGTAGCTTGAGACCAGCCTGGGCAATGTGGCGAAACCTCTATCTCTACAAAAAATACAAATATTAGCCAGGCATAGTGGCGCATGCCTGTGGTACCAGCTATATGGGAGGCTGAGGTGGGAGGATTGTTTGAGACCAGGAGATTGAAGCTGTAGTGAGCCTGGGCAACAGAGTGAAACACTGTCTCTAAAAAGTAAATAAATTAAAATAAAATAAAAACCAGCCGGGCATGGTGGCTCACGCCTATAATTCCAGCACTTTGGGAGACCAAGGCGGGTGGATCACTTGAGGTCAAGAGTTTGAGACCAGCCTGGCCAACATGGTGAAACCCCATCTCTACTAAAAATACAAAAATTAACCGGGCATGGTGGCAAGCACCTGTAATCCCAGCTACTCAGGAGGCTGAGGCAGGAGAATCACTTGAACCCAGGAGGCCAGAGGTTGCAGTGAGCCAAGATCATGCCATTGTACTCTAGCCTGGGGACAAGAGTGAGAGTTTGTCTCAAAATAAATAAATAAATAAATAAATAAATAAATATAAATTAAAAAATAAAAAATAGAAACCACAAGGTGACAGTTTCACTGGAGATTGTCAGTTAATTGCTAGTAACAATGAGCCTACCCTCACTGTGAGTCACCAAATGGTATCAAGAATTCTGAGGGTTTATTCACCTCATTTGGGTGAGCAGATGATGTACCATATTAGGACCAATCCATGGCTAATATTACAGAGAATTAAGTACACAAAAAATCATTCTGAAAAAGATCTAAACCTTAGAGGTCCTATGTATTTCCTTATTTTCAGCACAACTTAAAAGTATAGTAATTGGCCGGGCGCCGTGGCTCACGCCTGTAATCCCAGCACTTTGGGAGGCCAAGGCAGGTGGATCGCTGGAGGTCGGGAGTTCAAGACCAGCCTGACCAACATGGAGAAACCCCGTCTCTACTAAAAATACAAAAAAAAAAGGCCGGGCGCGGTGGCTCACGCCTGGAATCCCAGCACTTTGGGAGGCCGAGGCGGGCGGATCACGAGGTCTGGAGATCGAGACCATCCTGGCTAACACAGTGAAACCCCGTCTCTACTAAAAATACAAAAAATTAGCCGGGCGAGGTGGTGGGCGCCTGTAGTCCCAGCTACTCAGGAGGCTGAGGCAGGAGAATGGCATGAACCCCGGGGGGCGGAGCCTGCAGTGAGCCGAGATCGTGCCACTGCACTCCAGCCTGGGCGACAGCGAGACTCCATCTCAAAAAACACAAAAACAAAAACAAAAAAAAATTAGCCGGGCCTGGTGGCGCATGCCTGTAATCCCAGCTACTTGGGAGGCTGAGGCAGGAGAATCACTGCAACCAAGGAGACAGAGGTTGTGGTGAGCTGAGATCATGCCATTGCACTCTAGCCTGGGCAACAAGAGTGAAACTCTATCTCAAAAAAAAAGTAGAATAATTAAAATATGCTGGTAGAGAAGAGCATTAATTAATTAATCCTTGCAGGCACCCCTAAAACTACTGAGCCAAAATACACAACCAGGTAAAGAGTCAATGCAGCAACATAAAATGTAGATGCTAGTAGGCTGATGGCCCAATTCAAACCTTGATGCTAGGGGAACTCACAAGTAAAACTCAATACTTTATATAAATAAAGCACTGGGCCAGAATGTATAGGAAGTAAAAGGTATACGATCTAGAAGGGGAGACAGGTACACCAACACAAAAAACTATTAGCTAGGCACAGTGGCTTGTGCCTCCCGAGTCACCAGAGGCTGAAGTGGGAGGAGCAAGTACTTGAGCCCTGGAGTTTGAGGCTGCAGTGAGCTATGACTGCACCACTGCACTCCAGCCTTGGCAACAGAATGAGATCCCATCTCTAATAAGGAAAACAAAAGCTATTAAATAATTGAGCTTAAGTCAAGATGGGGCTGGGCATGGTAGTACATGCTTGTAGTCCCAGCTACTCAGGAGGCTGAGGTGGGAGCTATCGATAGCTTGAGCCTAGGAGTTCAAGTCCAGCCTGGGTAACATAGTAAGACCCTGTCTCTATTTAAAATAATAGTCAAGATGGAAACTCATATTTAGTGATTCAGTTTGACCAGAGAATAAAATCATGGAGGTCCTGACTTCATGACTCCCTATTATTCACTGCCTCCAGCCTGCACACAGCCATGCAGCCATCTCCATCCTGGAATTCTCTCGCTCAAAACCCAATATGCTCCTAAATGTCTAAAATCTAACTCCTCTGCCTGGCAGTCAGGCAGAAACAAAGAACTGTGTCATCAAGTTCTGGCTCTAGCTCATTTATTCACTGTGTGACCTTGGGAAAGTTCCCCTAACTTCCTTTTTCTTATTTGTAAAACAAGATGGTTTAACTATATGCTCTTTAATGTCCATTTCAGCTATAAATTCCACTTGGTCAAGCAACTCTACAGCTCACAATGCCTCAGCTTTTGTTCCAGTCAAACAACTCTCCAAGATCCTTCCCACAGCCTACAAGGTGCTGCATGGACTCTACCTCTCTTTTTGGCTCATCTTACACCCTTATCCTACACACCTCTTGACCTCACTCTCTCCTCTCAGGCTAGAATGGCCTCCTTTTAGTTCCTCCAAAATGCCAGGCTCCCTCCTGCTAAAGAGCCTTCCCATGTGCTGGACTCAATGCTTCCTTTTTTAAAATAATAAATATTTCATAACATCCCTTTACCATTGGAAACAAAATGTATACATAATACAAACTAAACAAAACTTTAGTTACATATATGTATATGTTATATAGAGTCTTAACTGTAATATAAAGAGAAATAAAAGGAATATAACTTAGTACAAAATTATATATATGCTAATGGTAAATGCTCTGGTACGACTACATTATAAGTCATAAAAAGGTAGTCGAAGCTTAAACCTAAACTTAAAATTACTGAATATCACAGCTACAAAGGCAGACTGATGTGCACATATTGTCTTGGTGATTAAACATCACTACCGGGCCGGGCGCAGTGGCTCACGCCTGTAATCCCAGCACTTTGGGAGGCCAAGGTGGGTGGTTCACAAGGTCTGGAGATCGAGACCATCCTGGCTAACACGGTAAAACCCCGTCTCTACTAAAAATACAAAAACTAGCCAGGCGTGGTGGCACGTGCCTGTAGTCCCAGCTACTCAGGAGGCTGAGGCAAAAGAATCACTTGAACCCTGGAGGCGGAGATGGCAGTTAGCCGAGATTGCGCCATTGTCCTCCAGCCTGGGCGACAGAGTGAGACTCCGTCTCCAAAAAAAAAAAAAAATCACTACCAACATATGCCACTGGTGACATAAATTTTAAATTTTAGAAAGATAACTCTTGGTAAAGTTCTGAACAAACTAAAGCATAATCTCCTCTAGATTTCCAAAGAAGGTGAATTCTGGGAAAACTGAATATTAAAACCATGCCATTTTTATATTTTGTTTATGTGTAAAATGAAGTTAGGATTTAGGCAATGGTTTCAACCTGGGCTATACATTAGAATAAGAAGGACATTTTTAAACAATACTGATGCCGAGGTATCATCTCAAAGATTTTTATATAATTCGTATGAGGTACAGCCTCATCATCTTTTAAAAACTTCCTAAGTAGGCCAGGCATGGTGTGGCTCACACCTGTAATCCCAACGCTTTAGGAGGCCAAGGCGGGCAGATCATTTGAGGCCAGGAGTTTGAGACCAACCTGGAAAACATGGTGAAACCCCATTTTCACTAAAAATACAAAAATTAGCTGGGCATGGTCACAAGTGTCTGTAGTCTCGGGCTACTTGGGTGGCTGAGGCAGGAGAATCGCTTGAACCTCAGGCAGAAGCTGCAGTAAGCTGAGATTGTGCCACTGCACTCCAGCCTGAGCAACAGAGCGAGACTCTGTCTCGATCAATCAATCAATCAATAAAGCCTTCTCAAGTGATTTTGATGTGCAGCCAGAGTTGAGATCCACTGTTACGGACTAAAACAAATAGGTTTTCACCTATGTGAACTGAAAATTGATGATCTTACAGGACACAAAACAAATCTTTGCTTTGCAAGACTGTTGCACACTTTATATTACTAAGGCTAACATGACTGGCCTTTGCACACTAAATGCTAATATATCCCCCAATAATTGTACAAGCTAAAATCGTCCCCTGCTCTCATTCCTGAAACAGCCCCTAAACATCAGTCAACCCCAGATGAGAAACACTGACCTACATAATTCACCTTTCACATCTCAATTCAAACATCACCTCAGAATTTCCTGTTACAATATTATTACATTACTCATTAATAGGAATAAATGTAATAACAATGATAGTATTCCCCACATATTGTAACCACACCTTTGTGGTTTTTTAACCTAACTCATTTATGTGGTAAAATGATTCCACATCAGTACATAAACACTTTCTTCATTCTGTTTGTTTGTTTGTTTTGAGATGGAGTCTTGCTCTGCTGCCCAGGCTGGAGTGCAGTGGTGCAATTTCAGCTCACTGCAACCACTGCCTCCGGGGCTTAAGCAATTCTCCTGCCTCGGCCTCCCAAGTAGTTCAGATTACAAGTGCGCACCACCACACCTGGCTAATTTTTGTACTTTTATTAGAGACAGGGTTTCACCATGTTGGCCAGGCTAGTCTAGAACTACTGACTTCAGATGATCCACCCACCTCGGCCTCTCAGAATGCTGGGATTATAGGCATGAGCCACCGTGCCTGGTCCACTTTCTTCATTCTGTTAAATGGCTACAGAGCATTCAATCATAGGAACGTCCTATTTTTTTTAAAGTAATTCCCCTAGTGAAAAACATTTAAGTTACTTCAGGAATTTTGCCATTATAAACAATAATGCAACAAATAGCCTTCACCATACATGATTTTCCACACATGTGAGTATACCAATAGGATAATGCCTACAAAAAGAATTAATGGGGGCTGGGCACGGTGGCTCACGCCTGTAATCCCAGCACTTTGGGAGGCTGAGGCGGGCAGATCACGAGGTCAGGAAATCGAGACCATCTTGGCCAACATGGTGAAACCCCGTCTGTACTAAAAATATAAAAATTAGCTGGGCGTGGTGGTGCGTGCCTGTAATCCCAGCTACTCAGGAGGCTGAGGCAGGAGATCCCTTGAACCCGGGAGTCGGAAGTTGCAGTGTGCCGAGATTGTGCCACTGCACTCCAGCTTGGCGACAGAACGAGACTCCGTCTCAAAAAAAAAAACAAAAAACAAAAAAAAAATTAATGCTCAGGGCTGAGCAGGGTGGCTCATGCCTGTAATCCCAGCACTTTGGGAGGCTGCGGCGGGTGGCTCACCTGAGGTCAGGAGCCACTGGACCATCATGTACAAATTACAGAGATATTAGACAATACTTGTGAGCAAAATGAAGACCTAAAACCCAGAAGCTCCTCAGTTAGAAAAAATATTAATAGCCTGGGCATGGCGGCTCACGTCTGTAATCCCAGCACTCTGGGAGGCCGAGATGGGTGGATCACCTGAGGTCAGGAGGTCAAGACCAGCCAGACCAACATGGTAAAACCCCACCTCTACTAAAAACACAAAAATTAGCTGGGAGTGGTGGCAGGCACCTGTAATTCCAGCTACTTGGGAGGCTGACACAGAAGAATCGCTTGAACCTGGGAGGGAGAGGTTGCAGTGAGCCGAGATGGCGTCACTGCACTCCAGGTTGGGCAACAGAGTAAGACTCCATTTCAAAAAATAAAAATAAAAATAAAAAAAGGAAAAATATTAATAATGGAATGGTGAGTGAATGTGCACATCAAGAGTTAAGACAGCTTGGCCGGGTGCTTTGGTTCACACCTGTAATCCCAGCACTTTGGGAGGCTGAGGCTGGCAGATCACTCAAGCCCAGAAGTTTGAGACTAGCCTGAGCAACATGGCAAAATCTTTCTCCATGAAAAATACAACAAGTAGCCAGATGTGGTAGCACACACTTATAATCCCAGATACTGGGGAGGCTCGCTTGAGCTCAGGAGGTCCACACTGCAGAGAGCCAAGATGGTTCCACTGCACTCCAGCCTGGGTGACAGAGCAAGACCCTGTCTCCAGAAAAAAAAAAAGAATTCCAGTTGGCTATCCCCAGGAACTCTTGCTCAAAATTTAAGGGGAATGATAACTAGCTCATAAATATGGAACTTGACTTTTGAAAATATATAACTAGGCCGGGTATGGTGGCTCACGCCTATAATCCCAGCACTTTGGGAGGCCGAGGCAGGCAGATCACAAGGTCAGGAAGGGCAGATCAGGAGTTCGAGACCAGCCTGGCCAATACGGTGAAGCCCTGTCTCTACTAAAAAATACAAAAGTTAGCCGGGCATGGTGGCATGCACCTGTAGTTCCAGCTTCTCAGGAGGCTGAGGCAGGAGAACAGCTGGAACCTGGGAGGTTCAGCCAAGTTCACGACACTGTACTCCAGCCTGGGCGACACAGTGAGACCCCGTCTCAAAAATAAAAGAAAAAGAAAAAGAAAATACGTAACTGCAGCCAGGTACGGTGGCTCAACACTTTGGGAGGCTGAGGTGGGTGGATCACCTGAGGTCAGGAGTTCGAGACGAGCCTGGCCAACACGGTGAAACCCCATCTCTACTACAAATACAAAAATCAGCCAGGCGTGTGGCATGCGCCTATAATCCCAGCTACTTGGGAGGCTGAGGCAGGAGAATCGGCTTGAACTCAGGAGGCGGAGGCTGCAGTGAGCCGAGATCACGCCACTGCAAATATATATATATGAAATATATATACAAAATATATATACATGAAATATATATACGAAATATATATGAAATATATATATGAAATATTTATACATGAAATATATATATGAAATATACATGAAACATATATACGAAATATATATACATGAAATATATATATATATATTTGCAGTGGCGTGATCTCGGCTCACTGCAGCCTCCGCCTCCTGGGTTCAAGCCGATATTTATCACTGCAGAAAAACGTTTTAGTTAACAAACTACATTTTTTTTCAGATAACACAATGGCAACAATTTGTAATGGTTTATGAAGCTACAAGAAAACACTGACTTTAATAGAATCTAAATACAACACCTGCCCATGGTCCCAGCTACTCTGGAGCCTGAGGTGGGGGGATCGCTTGAGCCCAGGAGTTACAGGCCAGCTGGGCAACACAGCAAGTCCCCATCCCTAAAAAAATAAATAAATAAATACAAGGCCTATACTAAATCAAGAATAAACAATTTTAAGTGATCATATTTCAACTATTTAATGAAATATGAATAGTTATTGTATAACTATGAACACGTAACTTGTCAGATGTAGTAGTAGACTGGCTACAGAAAAAAAAAAAAGCAACGGTCGGGCAAGGTGGCTCACGCCTGAAATCCCAGCACTTTGGGAGGTAGAGGTGGGCAGATCACGAGGTCAGGAGATCGAGACCATCCTGGGCAACATGGTGAAACCTCGTCTCTACTAAAAATACAAAAATTAGCTGGGCGTGGTGGCGCATGCCTGTAATGCCAGCTACTCGGGAGGCTGAGGCAGGAGAATCACTTGAACCAGGGAGTCAGAGGTTGCAGTGAGCCGAGATGGCGCCACTGCACTCCAGCCTGGCGACAGAGCGAGGCTCTGTCTCAAAAAATAATAATGAAAAAATTTTTTTAAAATAAAAAAACTATCAGTAGGCTAACTTATTAAACAGTAAAGGAAAACTTCAAATCGGGTTATAATTCTGATCATCTGAAATACTGATTACTTAAATCACAAGAGCTCATTCATTTAAGCAAGTAAAGTACAAATGTATCAAAATGGAGTTTGAGCTCTTGTTGACAGTTACCAATGACTCAGCAGGTAAGGAATTCATGGAATTCAGGTCTTCATGGTCTAGAAAGCACTGTAGCTAAACCACCCAGTTAATACCAAATCATCTGCTGGTTATCTAACTCCTTCCATCTTTTCTCAACTTCACAACTGCCATTACTTCTAAGTGGCAGGAGAAGAAGATAAATTTGAAATCAGTAAATATTATAAATTAGTTATTAGAAATACAAGAAAAAACTGTGGTCAGGAATGTGGTTAAACTGTAGTTTAAAACAAAGCCTTTGGATTACCCATGGATTTAGTTTAATCCATATAATCCTCCCCCTGCAGGCATGGATAATCAGGATCGCATTTCCCTTGAGGGCAAATCAGCATTTGCCTGGTGGTCTCCTGAATGCCTGAAGCACCAGAAGACAAACTACAGGACCAGGGATGCTGTCCTTGGGTTTACACTGGGGAGAATTCTGAGCTGCAGACCTATCTCTAGCAATACTATAATATAGGAGATGACTGTTGAGATTCACATTCTTGATTCCAGCAGTAAGCCAGCTACTCCCAGTTAAAGGGTCAACCTCAGGTGATCTGCTAAATATCTGAGGAGCTATTAAAAGAAAATAAGGAGATATGGCCGGGCGCGGTGGCTCATCCCTGTAATCCCAACACTTTGGGAGGCCCAGGCAGGTGGACCCACCTGACGCTGGAGTTTGAGACCAGGAGAATCACTTGAACCCGGGAGGCGGAGGTTGCAGTGAGCCAAGATCACGCCATTGCACTCCAGCCTGGGCAACAAGAGCAAAACTCCACTTCGGAAAAAAAAGAAAAGAAATGAAGGAGATATACATTCTCGGGGAGAAGGGGGGTCACAAAAAGAAAGATCCTAGGCTGGGTGCCATGACTCACACCTGTAATCTCAGCTCTTTGGGAGGCCAAGCAGGCAAATCACCTGAGCTCAGGAGTTTGAGACCAGCCTGGGCAACATGGTGAAACACTGCCTCTACAAAATACCAAAAAAAAAAAAAAAAAAAAAAGTTAGCTGGGCATAATGGTGCATGCCTGTACTCCCAGCTACTTGGGAGGCTGGAAGGATCACTTGAACCTGGGGAGGTCAAGGCTGCAGTGGGCCACGATTGCACCACTGCACTCCAATCTGGGTGACAGAGTGAGACCCTGTCAAAAAAAAGATTTGAGAAGGCAGCTACAGAGATGGGAAAGGACTCCTTCAAGTATGCCTGGGTCTTGGATAAACTGAAAGCTGAGCATGAACATGGTATCACCATTGGTATCTCCCTATGAAAATATGAGAACAGCAAGTATTACGTGACCATCACTGATGCTCAAGAAGACAGAGACTTTATCAATAACATGATTATAGGGACATCTCAGGCTGACTGTGCTGTTCTGATTGTTGCTGCTGGTGTCGGAGAATTTAAAGCTGGTATCTCCAAAAATGGGCAGACCTGTCAGCATGCCCTTCTGGCTTATATGCTGAAGTGTGAAGCAACTAATTGGTGTTAACAAAATGGATTCCACTGAGCCACCCTACAGCCAATACAGATATGAGGAAATCATTAAGGAAGTCAGCACTTACATTAAGAAAATTGGCTACAACCCCGACACAGTAGCATTTGTGCCAACTTCTGGTGGGAACAGTGACAACATGCTGAAGCCAAGTGATAACATGCCTTGGTTCATGGGATAGAAAGTCACCCATAAAGATGGCAATGCCAGGGGAACCATGCTACTCGAAGCTCTGGACTGCATCCTACCACTAACTCATCCAACTGACAAACCCTTGCATCTGTCTCTCCAGGATGTCTACAAAACTGGTGATATTGGTACTGTGCCTATAGGCCAAGTGGAGACTGGTGTTCTCAAACCCGGAATGGTGGTCACCTTTGCTCCAGTCAATGTTACAACTGAAGCAGTCTGTTGAAATGCACCATGAAGCTTTGGGTGAAGCTCTTCCTGCAGACAATGTGGACTTCAATGTCAAGAATGTGTCTGTCAAAGATGTTCATCACGGCAACGTTGCTGGTGACAGCAAAAATGACCCACCAATGGAAGCAGCTGGCTTCACTGCTCAAGTGATTATCCTGAACCATTCAGGCCAAATCAGTGCTGGCTATGCCACTGTACTGGATTGTCACACAGCTTACACAGCTTGCAAGTTTGCTGACCTGAAGGAAAAAGATTGATCACCATTCTAGTAAGAAGCTGGAAGATGGCCCTAAATTCTTGAAGTCTGGTGGTGCTGCCATAGTTGATATGGTTCCTGACAAGCCGATGTATGTTGAGAGCTTCTAGGACTATCCTCCTCTGGGTCATTTTGCTGCTCGTGATATGAAACAGAGTTGCCGTGGGTGTCATCAAAGCAGTGGACAAGAAGGCTGCTGGAGCTGGCAAGGTCACCAAGTCTGCCCAGAAAGCTCAGAAGGCTAAATGAATATTATCCCTAATACCTGCCACCTGAGTCTTAATCAGTGGTGGAAGAATAGCCTCAGAAATGTTTGTTTCAATCAGCCATTTAGGTTTAATAGTAAATGACTGGTTAATGATAACAATGCACTGTAAACCCCTCAGAAGAAAAGGAGAATGTGTTATGGACCATTTGGGTTTTTTTTTTTTTTTTTTTTTTGGCATGTGGCAGTTTTAAATTATTAACTTTTAAAATCAGTAGTTTTTAATGGAAACAACTGGACCAAAAATCGGTCACAGAATTTTGAGACCCATCAAAACAAAGTTTAATGAGAAAAAAAAAAAAGATATGGTAACTCTAAACCAAATAGTTCAGAGCATACATACACATACATTCTTACAACACATACACTCTCTCACACACGTGTGCAATGGGAGGGTCTCAGATTCAAAAACTAAGTTGTCTAATTAAACTAAAAATTCCTGGCCAGGCGCAGTGGCTTATGCCTGTAATCCCAGCACTTTGGGAGGCCAAGGCAGGCGGATCGCCTGAGGTCAGGAGTTCGAGACCAGCCTGACTAACATGGTAAAAACCCCGTCTCTACTAAAAATACAAAATTAGCTGGGCGTGGTTGTGGGCACCTGTAATCCCAGCTACTCGGGAGGCTGAGGCAGGAGAATTGCTTGAACCCAGCAGGCAGAGGTTGCAGTGAACCGAGATTGCACCATTGCACTCCAGCCTGGGCAACAAGAGCAAAACTCGGTCAATAAATAAATAAATAAATAAATATTCCTGATCTCTAAAAATACTAAATACGATTGAATACAGGATCAAACTACCACATCCTAAAACCAGTCCCCTTCAGTCAAGACCAAAATTCAAGGCCTCAAAAGGACAAAACAAGGTGGTTTTGTTTGGTTCCTTATTTTCAAAAAGACTAATGATTCAGGACGCAGTGAACAAAATTCACACTCGTTTTTGTCATTAATTGCTTAATGTCTAAAGGCTTGGTCTTTTCAGGGGTAGAGCACCTTAACGAAGATTGAGAGAGTTAAGAACGCCTAATAGAAGGCTGGGTTCAGTGGCTCTAGCCTGTAATCAGAGCACTTTGGGAGGCCAAGGCAGGAAGATGGCTTGAGGCCAAGAGCATGAGACCCAGCCTGGGCAACATAGCAAGAGCCTGTGTCTTCTACCTAAGAAATTTTTTTTTTTTTTAGTTAGCCAGGCAGGCATGATGGTATATGCCTATAGTACTATTAATAACCACTTAGGAGGCCGGTGCAGGAGGATCACTTGAGCACAGCAGTTCGAGGTTACGGTGAGCTACGATTGTGCCCCTGCACTCCAGCCTGGGTGACAGAACCAGACCTGGTCTCTTCAAAAACAAAACAAAAAGGCCGGGCCCGGGGGCTCACACCTGTAATCCCAGGACTTTGGGAGGCCGAGGCGGGCGGATCACAAGGTCAGGAAATCGAGACTATCCTGGCTAACACGGTGAAACCCTGTCTCTACTAAAAAAATACAAAAAAAAAAAAAATTAGCCGGGCGTGGTGGGGGCGCCTGTAATCCCAGCCACTCAGGAGGCTGAAGCAGGAAAATGGCGTGAACCTGGGAGGCGGAGCTTGAAGTAAACTGAGATCGCGCCACTGCACTCCAACCTGGGTGACAGAGCGAGACTCCGTCTCAAAAAAAACAAAACAAAACAAAAAAAGGTACCTGATAGAATAATAACTCTAGGGTCTCTGGTTACTGTCTAATTTGCCCAAATCCGGAACCAAAAAAAGGGGGAAGTGTGTTCAGGATATACATTGTACATTCAATCAAAAGATTTTAGAACTAATTTCATTCCTACATTTATTCATTCAACAGTAATTAAATTTCCTTTTTTTTTTTTTTTTTTTGAGATGGAGTCTCGCTCTATCGCCCAGGCTGGAGTGCAATGGCGCGATCTCGGCTCACTGCAAGCTCCGCCTCCCGGGTTGACGCCATTCTCTTGCCTCAGCCTCCCGAGTAGCTGGGATTACAGGCGCCCGCCACCACGCCCGGCTAATTTTTTGTATTTTTAGTAGAGACGGGTTTTCACGGTGTTAGCCAGGATGGTCTCGATCTCCTGACCTTGTGATCCGCCCGTCTCGGCCTCCCAAAATGCTGGGATTACAGGCGTAAACCACAGCGCCCAGCCCCATTAGTTAAATTTTCCAGGCATTGTTCTGGTTCCTGAAAATACTCCAGGGAAGACAAGGTCCCTGCCATCATGAAGCTTATATTATATTGGAGGAAAAAGACCATAAATAAATGAACAATAAAATAAGCAAGCTGGGAGAGGTGAAATGTGCCTAAAGCTACTGGGGAGACTGAGGCAGGAGGATCACTTGAGACCAGGAGTTCAAGGCTGTAGTGCCCTATAATACTACCTGTGAATGCCCACTGGACTCCAGCTTAGGCAGCATAAGGAGACCCCGCCTCTAAAAAAATTTTATCTTTTATTTTTTATTTTTTTTCTGAGACGGAGTTTCACTCTTGTTGCCCAAGCTGGAGTGCAATGGTGCACCTTGGCTCACTGCAACCTCCGCCTCCCAGGTTCAACCGATTCTCCTGCTTCAGCCTCCAGAATAGCTGGGATTACAGGCGCATGCCACCACACCAGGCTAATTTTTTTTTTTTTTTTTTTGTATTTTTAGTAGAGATGGGGTTTTGCCATGTTGGCCAGGCTGGTCTCGAACTCCTGACCTCAGGTGATCCGCCCACCTCAGCCTCCCAAAGTTCTGGGATTACAAGCGTGAGCCTCCGTGTCCGGCCAAATTTTTTTATTTTATTTATTTTTTAGCACTCAAACAGATTATGACAGATAAAGGAAAATTTAATAAAAATAAATAAAGGCTGAGATGGGTGGATTGCTTCAGCCTAGGAATTCAAGACCCCTGAGCAACATAGCAAGATCCCATCTCTATTTTAAAAATAAAATAAAATAAAAATAAACAATTCGCTGACATGCAGATAAAGTTTGGATTTACTTCTTAGTGTAATGAGAATCCACTGGAACAGGAGAATAAGTAAAAATCACTCCGACTGCTGTGTGAAAAATAGAGTAAGAACAGAGGCAAGGAGACCAGTTAGGAAGGTACTACCCAGGAAGAACTGGGGTAGTGGAAATGAAAATAAACATATGTGGGATATATTTTGGAGATAAAATTTAGAGTGTGCTCAAGGATTGGCTGAGCGTACAGTGAGGGAGGATGAGACAAAGGGATAAATTAAACATAACCACTAGATTTTACACTCAAACAGGATGGTGAGTGGGGCAGCGGGGTGCTACGACATGAAAACTGCTAGGGTTAGCCGGGCGTGGTGGCGTGCGCCTATAATCCCAGCTACTTCGGAGGCTAAAACAGGAGAATCGCTTGAACCCAGGAGGCGGAGGTTGCAGTGAGCCGAGATTGCGCCACTGTACTCCAGCCTGGGCAACAAGAGCGAAACTCCATCTCAAAAAAGAAGAAAGAAAACTGCTAGGGAAGGAATAAGAATGGGAATTAAGAGATCCATGCGAACCCATTACATTGAAAGACGCCTAAAAACAGACGAAATGAAGGTGTCATGTAGGCAGGCAGAAGACTGAAGTTCAGGACTGGAGATAAAAATCTTGAGAGGCAACAGCAGTTGACAACAATTTACTTATTTTTAGTTTCTCTACTAAAAATAAATAAATAAACCACAGGACAGGACAACATGAGATCATTCAGAAAGAATACAGGTAGAGAAAGGAATAGGGACAGGCCGGAAGCCCTGGGGCATTAGAATGTTTTGAACTCAACAAGAGAAGGAAAAGTCAAAGAGAGTGAAGAGGAGGAAAGCCATAAAACTCGAATATCCTAGAAGGTTCCTTTACATAATGTGATTTTCTAGTACACCACCACAACCACCCCCTGCCCACCACGGTAAGCCAAATTCTATAAATAAAAAAAGGGGCCCAGGCGCGGTGGCTCACCTCTGTAATCCCAGCACTTTGGAAGGACGAGGTGGGCGGATCACCTGAGGTTAGGAGTTCTAGACCAGTCTGGCCAATATGGTGAAACCCTGTCTCTACTAAAAATACAAAAAAACTAGCCAGGCGTGGTAGCGCACGCCTTGTAATCCCAGCTACTCGGGAGGCTGAGGCAGGATAATTCCTTGAACCCGGGAGGCGGAGGTTGCAGCGAGCCAAGATGGCGCCACCGCACTCCAGCCTGAACGGCAGAGCACGACTCCGTCTCAAACAAAACAAAACAAAACAAAAAATCAAAAGGAACAAGTCCAAGAGAATACACAAATAATAAAGCAGGGGCCGGAGTGGATGACGCCTGTAATCCCAGCACTTTGGGAGGCCGAGATGGGCGGATCACGAGGTCAGGAGATCGAGACCATCCTGGTGAACACGGTGAAACCCTGTCTCTACTAAAAACACACAAAAAAATTAGCCGGGCGTGTTGGCTGGCGCCTGTAGTCCCAGCTACTTGGGAGGCTGAGGCAGGAGAATGGCGTGAACCCGGGAGGCGGAGCTTGCGGTAAGCCGAGATCGCACCACTGCACTCTAGCCTGGGCAACAGAGCGAAACTCCGTCTCAAAATAATAATAATAATAATAATAATAATAATAATAATAATAATAATAATAAAGCAGGAACTCACTTTCCTCAGTTAAGTATTTTATTTATTTATTGGGGGCAAGGCGCGGTGGCTCCCGCCTGGAGTCCCAGCACTTTGGGAGGCCAAGGCGGGCGGATCACGAGGTCAGGAGATCAAGACCGCCCTGACTAACACGGTGAAACCCCGTCTCTACTAAAAAAAAAATACAAAAAATTAGCCAGGCGTGGTGGCGGGCACCTATGGTCCCAGCTACTGGGGAGGCTGAGACAGGAGAACGGCGTGAACCCAGGAGGTGTGAACTCCAGGCTGGGCAACAGAGTGAGACTCCGTCTCAAATAAATAAAATAAAATAAAATAAAATTAAATTAAATTAAAATTAAAAATAGTGCTAGGCGCAGTGGCTCACGCCTGTAATCCCAGCACTTTGGGAGGCCGAGGCGGCCAGATCACCTGAGGTCAGGAGTTCAAGACCAGCCTGGCCAACATGGAGAAACCCCTAAAAATACAAAAAATTAGCTGGGCGTGGTGGCGGGTGCCTGTAATCCCAGCTACTTGGGAGGCTGAGGCAGAAGAATTGTTTGAACCGGGGAGGCGGAGGTTGCAGTGAGCCAAGATTGCACATTGCACTCCAGCCTGGGCAACAAGGGCAAAACTCAGTCTCTAAATAAGTAAATAAATAAAAACAAAATAAAAAATAAAAATAAATAATTTATTTATTGGGGCCAGGCACAGTGGCTGACGCCTGTAATCCCAGCACTTTGGGAGGCCAAGGCGGGAGGAACACGAGGTCAAAAGACTGAGACCATCCTGGCCAATATGGTGAAACCCCATGTTTACTAAAAATACAAAAATTAGCGGGGCATGGTGGTGTGCACCTGTAGTCCCAACTAATTTGGAGGCTGAGGCAGGAGAATCGCTTGAACCCGGGAGGTCACAGTGAGCAGAGATCGTGCCATTGCACTCCAGCCTGGCGACAGAGAGAGACTCCATCTCAAAACAAACAAACAAACAAAACAGAGGCCCATAAGACTGGGTAACATCCCCATAGCCCCAGCTGTTTTTACCCAGGTTGAGGCCTAAAACCAAGAGGTGACTTCTGACTCCCAGCCTTTTCACAGTGGCTAGCAGTAGTTCTACTGTTGAGTTCAACAGTCTAAGCTAGACAACTGGGAAAACCTCAAGAAAGAACATAATTTAGACTACAGTGTTCATTTTTCACTTTTTTCCATATAGTTGGCTGACATTCACAAAGCAAGTTGAAGCAAAAGCCTTTATGGATGAGTCTTTAAGAACACCAAGAAAGATAGGCAAGAGGTGCAAAATGACAAATCAAAACCCGACTTGATTTTCAACACTTCTAAAAAACACTCCGAAGGTGGTGGACTCAGGGTGTGAATCAGGGGTGTAAATTAGATTTTTGCTTCTTAAGTCATTTTGGCTTTAGTGAATACAATTCCAGTTTAAACCTTTAAGATTTTTACTTTCGGCCGGTCGCGGTGGTTCATGCCTGTAATCCCAGCATTTTGGGAGGCCCAGGCTGGCGGATCATTTGAGCCCAGGAGATCAAGACCAGCCTGGCCAACATGGCAAAACCACCTCTCTACCAAAAATACAAAGATTGGGCCGGGCGCGGTGGCTTCCTCCTGTAATCCCAGCAGTTTGGGAGGCCGAGGCGGGCGGATACCTGAGGTTGGGAGTCCGAGACCACCCTGACCAACATGGAGAAACCCCGTCTCTACCAAAAAAAGTACAAAATTAGCCGCGTGTGGTGGCACATGCCTGTAATCCCAACTACTCGGGAGGCTATGGCAGGAGAATCGCTTGAACCCGGGAGGCGGAGGTTGCGGTGAGCTGGAGATCGCGTCATTGCACTCCAGCCTGGACAACAAAAGCGAAACTCCGTCTCAAAAAAAAAAAAAAAAAAACAAAATTGAAAGATTGGCCAGGCGTGGTGGCACGCCCCTGTAGTCTCAGCCACTAGGGAGCCTGAGGCAGGAGGATCGCTTGAACCCAGGAGGCGGAGGTTGCAGTGAGCCAAGATGGCGACATTGCACTCCAGCCTGGGCGACAGACCGAGACCCTGCCTCAAAAAACAACAATAATTTTTTTTTAAAAAAGAAGCAAGATTCGGTCTCAAAAAGATTTTTTTTTTTTCTTTTTGAGACAGGGTATCCCTCTGTTGCCCAGGCTGGAGTCCAGTGGTGCCATCTCGGCTCACTGCAACCTCCGCCTCCCGGGTTCAAGGGATTCTCCTGCCTCAGCCTCCCAAGTAGCTGGGATTACAAGCGCCCGCCACCACGCCCTGCTAATTTTTGTGTTTTTGGTAGAGACGGGGTTTCACCATGTTGCTTGGGCTGGTGTCGAACTCCTGGAATCAATTGATCCGCCCGCCTCGGCCTCCCAAAGTGCTGGGATTACAGGCGTGAGCCAACGCACCTGGTCAGAAAAAAGACTTTACTTTCTTCCATACCTGCATTCTGAAACTGGGTTAAGATCCTTATCTGACCACCCTTTCCTGTGCTACATTATTATGACTTAAACAGTTCTGCTTTTACCATAAAATCTTACAATGTAGCATAAAAATCCCCAAATGATTAATGAACTGCTGAGACCTCTGACTCGTTGGAGACAATTTTATTACGAATCATATCTCCAAACTTCCATTCAGTGCTTCAAAATAAGTACTCATTTAATTATCATGACTTCACCAGACAGTCACACTGCCCACAATGATGTTTACAAAAGCACTTGTCACTCCCTTTGGATGTAGCAATGCAGAAAAAAGAGTCTGTTTCCATACTCTTCGTGTGTTTATAACTCTGTAACAAGTGGCAGAGTTCAAGTGTCACTTGAGATGAAACAGCAAAGCACTTCAAGTTTACGTCCCACCATCTTTCATCCTAAGCGAATCCCGAATTTGCTCGGTTTCATTTCAGCAGTAATTCCCACTCAGTACCTGAGACAGGGTTCCAATTCAGCCCTGCGGGAAGAGACTGCAGGATTCTAGTAAGGGACTATAGGATTCTATTTTGGCCACTGCGAGGTTAACAGGCTCCAATATTAAGCAACTCCAGTATCGGTTACTGCAACACCAGAGCAGATCGGAAATAAATGTGCCCCCAAACGCACGCCAGCAGCCAGGAATTAGCAATAGCTAACACGAGATGCTGCAGCAGGGGTATCATTTACTTAGCACTTGTTCAGTTATGCCTAACCTCACAACAACCTTATGGTGTATGTATTATTATTTCCATTTAACACATCAGGATATTTTGGCCCAAGGCCCCAGGACTGGTCAGCAGCGGCGTTGGGATTCGAAAACATGTCCATAACCTAATAACCCTGGGTCCACGCCTCTGAAATACACTTCTGCGCAAAAAGGCACCTGAGGGTCGGGAAGTTCCGGAGGTGTCCGCATAGACGCGGGGCGCGAGTACGCCGTCTCTCCACAGAAACGCCCCTCAGGAACGGGACCCAAAGCGACAGTGACCCGGGACGCCCGGCAGCGTCTCTGCCGCCCAGGGGCCGGGGGGCGCCACTCACCTTGGAGAGCCCAGGGCGGGCCGCAACCAAGCCAGACGCCCCCACCGGCCGGTAGGCGGTTATCCTCCAAGCTGGCAGGAAGCGCGGTGCAACCACAAGAGTCGCCAGCGCCGCAGGTAGCGGCAAGCTAGAACGCACCGCCAGCACGCCCGGGGGCACCGCAGCCGGCGCCGCGACCCAGCCGCCCCTCAGCCGCGCCGCATCCGGGTCCCGGCCGCCGCACTCACCTGCCTGGCGTTCCGCCGCCGCCGCCTGCTACTATTCCAAGTGCGCAGTCAGCAGCCCAGGCCGCCGCAACCGCTCCACTCCGGCGCCCCCATCCCTGCCTCTCTCGATCACCTCCCGCCTGCCCCGCGCAGCACTACACTCGCCCCCTCCCCACTGCCATGGCCCGCTCCGCCGCAGCGCCGCACAGGCCGACAGAGCACGCGCGCGCCGCCGCCGAACCCGCGCCCGTGTGCGCGCGCGCCAGCCTCTCAGGCCTGCATCCCAGCAGCCCCCGCCCCGCCCTGCGCCGCCCTCGGGCCAATCCCGGGCCCCGCGGTGGCGGCGGCGGCGGCGGCGGCAGTTGGGCTGGCAGGGTGTGGGGAGAGGCCTCACTGCCGATTCCTCTACCGTTGCCAGCCCGGCTGCGACGCTGCTGCACGGCCTTTCCTAACTCTCTTTGCGACTCCCAGAGGACTGCGGAATAGGGAATCCCCGGCAAGTCGCCTTCAGGAGAGACCCATCACCCGCTGCGGCCTCCATAACCTCCTCCCGAGAGATTCCGCTCTTCCTAGGTTCCTTGCTGGCCTTTTCTTCCCAGCCCTTCTCCCTGTTCTGCGACATGGACTGACTCCTAAATTCTTGGACGCAGCACTTATTTTTTTCCCGATACCCGTCTCCGTCTTTCACTCCCTTTGTGAGGATAGGGCGCTAGCTCGGCTGCCTCACAGCTGGCCCTTCAGTCCCTACACTGTGAATGGTTGTTTCTAGGGAAAAGTCCAGGCTTTCAAGCCCAAGATTCTTGTTCTTTGTTCAATTTTGCAGTAACAACACCTAACATTTGTCTGCAGAGCCTTAAACTTTACCCCTTTTTGCCTACCTTGTTTCCTGTTACCTTTGACCCCAACCGCGAAAAATCACAGTCCTCTTTCTAGTGGGACACTTAAATTTTACTTACTGAAAACCAACATTTTAACTCACTCCAAAGCTAGTATATTCTAACGTAATGCTCCTATATTACCCTGGACAAATAGTTGAGTAGTCAGGGATAAAATCTAGAAGTACAACATAATAAAAAGCAAACGTGACAAATCAATTAAGTGACAAACCAATAGTTTATTTGAGAAATGATCCTAGTTTTTTTATTTTTTATTTATTTACTTATTTTGAATGAGAGTTTCGCTACTGTTGCCCAGGCTGGAGTGCAATGGCGCGATCTTGGCTCACCGCAACTCTGCGTCCCCCGGTCAAGCGATTCTCCTGCCTCAGCCTTCCTGAGGATTACAGGCATGCGCCACCACGCCTGGCTAATTTTGTATTTTTAGTAGAGACGGGGTTTCTCCACGTTGGTCAGGCTGGTCTCGAACTCCCGACCTCAGGTGATCAGCCCGCCTCGGCCTCCCAAAGGGCTGGGATTACAGACATGAGCCACCGTGCCCGGCCAATGATCCTGGTTTTAATTGACTTTCGATTTAAAGCAAGAACATTGAAAAATAAATTCCAGAAGAGGCTGTAATACCAACACTTTGGGAGGCCGAGGTGGGCAGATCACTTGAGCCCAGGAGTTCACACCTAGCCTGGGCAATATGGCGAGACTGACAAAAATGACGTGAGTGTGGTGATGTGCATCTGTTGTCCCAGCTACTTGGGAGACTGAGGTGGGAGGATAATATGAACCCAGGAAGTCGAGGGAAGTCGAGGCTGGTGTGAGTCGAGATAGCACGGTAGCACCACTGCACTCCAGCCCGGGAAATAGAGCAAGACCCTGTCTAGGAAAAAAAAAAAAAATCCAGAAGAATTAAAAAATATAAAAATTTACAAAACAGAAACTTAAGAGGAAAAAAAAATTTTTTTTTGAGACAGTCTCATTCTGTTGCCCAGGCTGGAGTGCAGTGGCACCATCTCAGCTCATGGCAACCTCCACCTCCCAGGTTCAAGCAGTTCTCTTGCCTCAACCTCCAGAGTAGCTGGGATTACAGGCACCCGCCACCACACACGCCTAATTTTTTTTTTCTTTTTTTGAGACGGAGTCTTGCTCTGTCGTCAGGCTGTAGTACAGTGGCACAATCTCGGCTCACTGCAACCTCCGCCTCCTGAATTCAAGGGATTCCCCTGCCTCAGCCTCCCAAGTAGCTGGGACTGCAGGCGCGCACCACCATGCCCGGCTAATTTTTTGTTTTTTAGTAGAGACGGGATTTCCCTGTGTTGGCCGGGATGGTCTCCATCTCTTGACTTCGTGATCTGCCCGCCTCAGCCTCCCAAAAGTGATGTGATTACTGGCCAATGAGGCAGAAATTTTAAGCAAGACAGGAAGCCCAGAACCATTATAGAAAAAAGAAAAATATTTGCCTACATAAATATTTTGAAGGTTTTGCATGACCTCACAGTGATAAGTTTTGAAAAAGAAAAAACACAATAAGTTGGGAATGATGGCTCACACCTGTAATCCCAACACTTTGGGAGGCCGAGGCGGGTGGATCACCTGAGGCCGGGAGTTTGAGACCAAGCCTGGCCAATATGGTGAAACTTTGTCTCTACTAAAAATACAAAAATTAGCTGGGCGTGGTGGTGCGGGCCTGTGATCCCAGCTACTCTGGAGGCTGGGGTGGGAGAATCGCTTGAACCCAGGAGGCAGAGGTTGCAGTGAGCTGAGATTACGCCATTGTACTCCAGCCTGGACAACAGAGCAAGACTCTGTCTCAAAAATAAATAAATAAATAAATAATAGAAATGCATGGCCGGGTGCTGTGGCTCACTCCTGTAATCCCAGCACTTTGGGAGGCCAAAGCGGGCAGATCACCTGAGGTCAGGAGTTCAAGACCAGCCTGACCAATATGGTGAAACCCCGTCTCTACTAAAAATACAAAAATTATCCGGCCATGGTGGCGGGCATTTGTAGTGCCAACTACTCGGGAGGCTGAGACAGAATTGCTTGAACCTGGGAGACGAAGTTTGCAGTGAGCTGAGATAGTGCCACTGCACTCCAGCCTGGGTGACAGAGCTAGACTCCATCTCAAAAACAGAAAACATAAATTAATTAATTAATTAATTTAATTAAAATCCATTTATAGAACCTCTTTTATGTTAGAGATATAATGTGTTGGCCAGGTGTGGTGGCTCACATCTGCAATCCTAGCACTTTGGGGGCCAAGGTGGGTGGATCCCTTGAGCAATTTTTTAATTTTTATTTTTGAAAAAAGATATAATGTGTTTGCCATATTTTTCTGCAGTTCTATTCCATCTATTGTGTTTTTTCTTTTTCTTTTCTTTCTTTTTTTTTTTTTGAGTTGGAGTCTCACTCTGTCGCCAGGCTGGAGTGCCGTGGCATGATCTCGGCTCTCTGCAACCTCTGCCTGCGGAGTTCAAGCGATTCTCCTGCCTCAGCCTCCTGAGTAGCTGGGACTAAAGGGGTGCACCACCACGCCCAGCTATGTTCTTTTTTTTTTTTTTTGTATTTTTAGTAGAGACAGGGTTTCACCATGTTGGCCAGGATGGTCTCAATCTCTTGACCTTGTGATCTGCCCACCTTGGCCTCCCAAAGTGCTGGGATTAGAGGCCATGAGCCACTGCACCCGGCCTTATGTTTCTTTTTCTTTTCTTTTTTCTCTTTTCTTTTCTTTTGAGATGGAGTCTCACTCTGTCAACCAGGCTGGAGTGCAGTGGCATGATCTCGGCTCACTGCAACCTCCACCTCCTGAGTTCAATCGATTCTCATGCCTCAGCCTCCAGAGTACCTGGGACTACAGGCCCACACCACCACACCTAGCTAATTATCGTATTTTTAGTAGAGACAGGGTTTCACCATATTAGCCAGGCTGGTCTGGAAGTCCTGACCTCATGATCACCCGCCTCAGCCTCCCAAAGTGCTGTGATTACAGGTGTGAGCCACCGCGCCCAGCTGCTTTTTTTTTTTCCTGAGGGAGTGTCTTGCTCTGTTGCCCAGGCTGGAGTGCAATGGTGCAATCTCTGCTGCTCACTGCAACCTCCACCTCCTGAGTTCAAGCGATTCTCCTGCCTCAGCCCCCCGAGTAGCTGAGATTACAGGCACCTGACACCATGCCCAGCTAATTTTTATATTTTTTTAGATTCGGGGTTTCACCATGTTGGCCAGGCTGGTCTTAAACTCCTGACCTCAGGTGATCTGCCTGCCTCTGCCTCCCAAAGTGGTGGGATTACGGGTGTGAGCCACCGCACCCAGTCAACAATAAGAAACTTGAGAGATGAGATCATCCTGGATGTAGGATGGGTCCAAACCCAATGACAAGTGTCCTTATAAGAGAAGGGGAAAGAGAGATATGACACAGAGAAACATAGAGAGGAGGGTAATGTGAAGAAGGAGGCAAAGGTTGGAATGATACATCTACAAGTGGAGAACACCAAAGATTGCTGCCTCTGTTTCTCCGCTTCCTCAACTGCCTTCAAAAATCAGCACAAGGGCCTGGGAGTTGTGGCTCATGCCTGTAATCTCAGCACTTTGGGAGGCCAAGGTGGGCAGATCACCTGAGGTCAGGAGTTCAAGACCAGCCTGGTCAACATGGGGAAACCCCATCTCTACAAGAATACAAAAATTAGCTGGGCATGATGGCAGGTGCCTATAATCCCAGCTACTCAGGAGGCTGAGGTGGGAGAATCGCTTGACCCCGGGAGGTGGAGGTTGTAGTGAGCCAAGATCACGCCACTGCACTCCAGCTTGAGCAACAGAGCAAGACTCTTTTTCAAAAAAAAAAAAAAAAAATTAGCACAAGGCCAGGCGCAGTGGCTCATGCCTGTAATCCCAGCACTTTGTGAGGCCGAGGCGGGCAGATCACCTGAGGTCAGAAGTTCAAGACCAGCCTGGTCAACATAGCGAAAACCCATCTCTACTAAAAATACAAAAATTAGGAGGGCATGGTGGCGCACACCTGTAATCCCAGCTACTCAGGAGGCTGAGGCAGGAGAATCGTTTGAACCCAGGAGGCAGTGGTTGAAGTGACCCGAGATCGTGCCGATGCACTCCAGCCTGGGTGACAGAGTGAGGCTCCATCTCTTAAAAAAAAAAAAAAAAAATGATCCAGTCACATGTGCCAAGGCCATCAATCTTGGGAGGGAAAGGACAGAAAGTAAAAAGCAGATGGAGAACAGAGGGGAAGAGGGAAGGGTGAGCAGTGGCCACTTAAAAAACAAATTCTGCAACAGAAAATTAAACTTAAGGACCAGATGGGAGGGCAGTGACATTGGAGGGAGAGGGTGAAGCAAAAACCATTTTTGAATTTCTGTTTTCTTCAGGCAAGGTAATTTCACAAATGTGTGATTACTAATATCACTTATAAATATAGAATGTTAATGAGGCTTTAAAAGAGCTATCTGGGGACAGGGAACAATGGCTCACACCTGTAATCTCAACACTTTGGGAGCCACAGGCAGGAAGATCTTTTGAGGCCAGGATTTCAAGACCAGCCTGACCTTGAACTTGAAACAGAACTGGACCCTGTCTTTTTTTTTTTTTTTTTTTTTTTGGAGACAGAGTCTCTCACTGTGTCACCCAGGCTGGAGTGCAGTGTCATGATCTTGGCTCACTGCAACCTCTGCCTCCCAGGTTCAAGCCATTCTCCTGCCTCAGCCTCCTGAGTAGCTGGGAGTACAGACCATGTCCAGCTAATTTTTTTTTTGTATTTTTAGTAGGGGCGAGGGTTCACCATGTTGACCAGGCTGGTCTTGAACTCCTGACCTCAGGTGATCAACCTGCCTCGGCCTCCCAAAGTGCTGAAATTACAGACGTCAGCTGCAAAGCCCAGCCTTTTTTTTTTTTTTTGAGACGGAGTCTTGCTCTGTCACCCAGGCTGGGGCTGGAGTGCAGTGGCGCCATCTTGGCTCACTGCAACCTCCGCCTCCCAGGTTCAAGCAATTCTCCTGCCTCAGCCTCCTGAGTAGAGGATTACAGGCACGTGCCACCACACCTGGCTAATTTTTGTATTTTTAGTAGAGCCAGGGTTTCACCATGTTGGCCAGGTTGGTCTCAAACTCCTGACTTCAAGTGGTCTGTCCACTTCGGCCTCCCAAAGTGCTGGGATTACAGGCATGAGCCACTATGCCTGGCTGACCCTCTGTTTATAAAAAAAAAAAAAAAAAAGTTTTTAATTAGCTGAGTGTAGTGACATATGCCTGTAGTCCCAGCTACTAGGGACGGATAGCTTGAGCCCGGGAGTTTGAGGCCGCAGTGAGCTATGATCATGCTACTGCATTCTAGCCTGGACTACAGAGCAAGACCTGTTACAAACAAACAAACAACAACAACAAAAAAGGGCTGTCTGGGCCGGGCGCGGTGGCTCGTGCCTGTAATCCCAGAACTTTGCGAGGCCAAGGCAGGTGGATCACTTGAGACAAGGAGTTCGAGACCAGCCTGGCCAACATGGTGAAACCCCCTTTCTATCAAAAAAATACAAAAAATTAGCCGGGCATGTCTGTGCGTATCTGTAGTCCCAGCTACTTGGGAGGCTGAGGCACAAGAATTGATTGAACCCAGGAGCAGTGGTTGGAATGAGCCAAGATCCTGCCACTGCACGCCTGGGTGACAGATTGAGACTTTGTGTCAAAAAAAAGGGGGCTATCTGGAATCAAATATCCAGTCTCCTCATATTTGTCTTTTATCTACTGCCTCCCCAGGAACAAGATTAGTGCCTGACAAATAGTAGATGCTTAGTAAATATTCTTTTTTTTTTTTTTTTTTTTTTTTTTTTGAGACGGAGTCTTGTTCTGTTGCCCAGGCTGGAGTGCAGTGGAGTGATCTCGGCTCACTGCAACCTCCACATCCCAGATTCTAGCTATTCTCCTGCCTCAGCCTCCTGAGCGGCTGAGATTACAGGCGTCCGCCACTATGCCGACTAATTTTTTGTATTTTTAGTAGAGACGGGGTTTCACCATGTTGGCCAGGCTGGTCTTGAACTCCTGACATTGTGATTCACCTGCCTCAGCCTCCCAAAGTGCTGGGATTACAGGCGTGAGCCACCGCGCCCAGCTAATATTCTTTTTTTGAGATAGTGTTTCATTCTGTTGCCCAGGCAGGAATGCAGTGGAATGATCACAGTTCACTGCAGCCTCAACCTTTTGGGCTCAAGCCTTCCACCTCAGCCTCCAAAGTAGCTGGGACCACAGGCACACACCACCACACTTGGCAAATTTTTTAATTTTTTTTTTTTTTTTTTTGAGACGGAGTCTGGCTCTGTCGCTCAGGCTGGAGTACAGTGGCGCTATCTGGACTCACTGTAAGCACCGCCTCTTGGATTCACACCATTCTCCTGCCTCAGCCTCCCGAGTAGCTGGGACTACCTGCCACCACGCCCAGCTAATTGTTTTTCTATTTTTAGAAGAGACAGGGTTTCACCATGTTAGCCAGGATGGTCTCGATCTCCTGACCTTGTGATCCGCCTGCCTCAGCCTCCCAAAGTGCTAGGATTACAGGTGTGAGCCACCATGCCCCTGAATGAATTTTTTATAGCTGAGGAAAACTGAGGCCCAGAGAAGTTAACAGGCTCACTCAAGGTCACAGAGCCAGCTGGTACACAGATCTTTCAGGCTCCTAACTTTGCTGAAATGCCTGCCAGTTGCTCCTCATGACTGGCCAAAATAGCCTTGCCATGTGCCTTGGGTTCCCAAGTACTGATTATATCAACATTCCCAAACAAGAGGAAAATTCTCTAGGAATACTGAGGAACCATTCCTGGGCTGCTGGGATGGATAGAATCTTGGTAGGTTTGTGAGAAGAATCAAAGAGCACTTTTATAGGAGCTGGAGGGAAGATTTATCCCGCCTGGTGACATCCTTCCTGACTTCCTCCCTCCGGAATATTGACTCTATGGCTGAAGGCCTGGGAGGATTTGGGCTCAGCTTGTGAAATCTTCCCTACCAGCCCTCCATGATCCAAGCCACATCTGCCTTATTATCTTAGCCAACTCTTCTTCAAGGCCTCAGCTTCAATTTCACTTCCTCCTGATTGCTGGCTTCCCCATGCTTCTTTAGGGACCAGTAATCCACTATGAGACTCTCACTTCACTGTTGAGAAATGACTGGTTTTCCTGCCTGTCTCTCAGTGGGTTCCAAGCAACTTGAGGGCTGGAATGCTCCCCTATATATGGCCAGGTCCAAGCACGAATGGTCTCACTTGCTATGTTGCCTGGCTGGATGGATTTGACCTCCTGGGCTCAAGCAAATCTCCTGTCCTAGCTTCCAAAGTAGTTGGAACTACAGGTGCATGCTAATGTGCCCAGTAAGGCTTTCTTTTGAAAAACAAATTACTCTCCTGTATGTACTTTTTTTTTGAGAGAGAGAGAGAGAAAGAGTCTTGCTCTGTCATCCAGGCTCACTGCAGCCTCAACCTCCCAGCCTCAACTGATCCTCCCAGCTCAGCCTCCTGAATAGCTAGGACCACAGTCACGTGCCAATACGCCTCCAGCTAATTTTTTCTTTCTTTCTTCCTTTTTTTTTTTTGAAACACATGAAACGGAGTCTTGCTTTTTCACCAGGTTGAAGTGCAGTGGCCCAATCTCGACTCAGTGCAAACTCCGCCTATTGGGTTCAAGCGATTCTCGTGTCTCAGCCTCACAAGTAGGTAGGATTACAGGCACCTGCCACCATGCCTGGCTAATTTTTGTATTTTCAGTAGAGACGAGGTTTCTCCATGTTGGTCAGGCTGGTCTCAAACTCCTGAGCTCAAGCACTCCACCCACCTCAGCCTCCCAAAGTGCTGGGATTACAGGTCTCTATGTGCATTTTTATCCATGATTTTTAGGAAAGAGTTCAGTGTTCAGCTACACCAGTGTAAAATTTGCAGGGCTAGAAGCTGTAGGAAATAAGACAGACATTCTGAAAATGGGGAAGACCCCAGGTGTGGTGGCTCAAGCCTGTAATCCTAGCACTAAAGGAGGCCAAGGCAGGAGGATCACTTGAGCTCAGGAGTTCAATATCAGCCTAGGCAACATAGTAAGACCTTGTCTCTATAAAATATTTTAAAATATAAAAAAAAGAAAAGGAGGAAAAAGCCAGGCAATGGGACTCAGGGGGACTACACATATTCTCCTGGAATGCAAACTAAGAGATATATAATGTTTTGAAGGAAAATTTGATAAAACACACATACATACACACACAAATACATATATATATGTATTACATTTATATACACCACACACACAAAGAGGAGAGAGATTATAGCTGAATATCGTGATATTATGCAACTTTAAAAAGAATAAGGCGGCTGGGCACGGTGGCTCACGCTTGTAATCCCAGTACTTTGGGTGGCTGAGGCGGGCAAATCACGAGGTCAGGAGTCCAAGACCAGCCTGACCAACATAGTGAAACCCCATCTCTACTAAAAATTCAAAAATTAGCTGGGCGTGGTGGCACGTGCCTGTAATCCTAACTACTTGAGAGGCTGAGGCAGGGGAATAGCTTGAACCCGGGAGGCGGAAGGTTGCGGTGAGCCAAGACCGCACCACGGCACTCCAGCCTGGGCAACAGGGCAAACTCCGTCTCAAAAAAAAAAAAAAAAAAGAAGGCACTGATCTGAAACAATCTCTAAAATATTGTTTTGTGAAATCGGTAAGATGCAGAACAGTAAAGAAAGCTGCCATAGATTATCATCAGAAAAACACAAGAAACTAACAGTTGTCTGGAAGAAGGAAAACTAGAGGCTGGGAAAAAAAGGTGGAAGGGAGATTTAATTTTTATGGTTATTTTCTTTTATGCTATTTGAAATTTTATCATGTCCACTTATTATATATACAGTATGTATATGTACATATATATACACACAGTAAGGAAAACACATAAAAGGGCTGTAATTAGGGCGGGTGCGGTGGCTCATGCCTGTAATCCCAACACTTTGGGAAGCCGAGGTGGGCGGATCACGAGGTCAGGAGTTTGAGACCAGCGTGGACAACATAGTGAAACCCCATCTCTACTAAAAATACAAAAATTAGCCAGGCATGGTAGTGCACGCCTGTAGTCCCAGCTACTCGAGAGGCTGAGGCAGGAGGATTGCTTGAACCTGGGAGGTGGAGGTTGTGGTGAGCCGAGATCGAGCCACTGCACTCCAGCCTGGCAACAGAATGAGACTCCATCTCAAAAAAAAAGGGCTGTAATTTAGCGAGCTATGATCATGATTGAAAAAGGAGAGGGAGGCTGGGCGCTATGGCTCACGCTTGTAATCCCAGCACTTTGGGCGGCCGAGGCAGGCAAATCACAAGGTCAGGAGTTTGAGACCAGCCTGACCAATACATTGAAACCCCATCTCTACTAAAAATACAAAAATTAGCTGGGCATAGTGGCGCGTGCCTGTAATCCCAACTACTTGAGAGGCTGAAGAAGGAGAATAGCTTGAACCTGGGAGGCGGAGGTTGCAGTGAGCCGAGATCGTGCCATTGCACTCCAGCCTGGGCGGCAGAGCAAGACTCCGTATCAAAAAAAACAAAAAAAAATTCCCGCCTGGGCAACAGGCCTCCGTCTCAAAACAAAAAAAAAAAGAAAAAAAAAGAAAAAAGGAAAAGGAAAAGGCAAAGAGCAGGAGAGGAAGGGAGGAAGGGGTGGAGCCTGGTGAGGAGGGAGTCAGTATGGCAGTGAGGGCACTTGAAGGGCGGGAAGTAGGCTCAGGGACTAGCCTTACAAATCAAGAATGCCATCACATTGTATGTTTTTTTTGTTCTGTTTTTGTTTTTTTGAGACAAAACAAAACTCTGTCACCCTGGTTGGAGTGCAGTGGCGTGATTACGGCTCACTGCAACCTCTACCTCCTGGGCTGAAGCAATCTTCCTGCCTCAGCCACTGAAGCAGCCGGGACTACAGGCGCAAGCCACCATGCCCGGCTAATTTTTGTTATTTTCTTTGTAGAGACAGAGGTTTCACCATGCTGCCAGGCTGGTCTGGAACTCCTGAGCTCAAGCGATCCACCAGTCTTGGCCTCCTGAAGTGCTAGGATTACAAGCATAAACCACCACGGCCAGCCTTGTTTATTTTTTATTTTTATTTTTTTTTCTTTGAGACAGGGTCTCACTCTGTCACCCAGGCTGGAGTGCAGTGGCGCAGTCTCGGCTAATTTTTGTATGTTTTTGTAGAAATGGGGTTTCATCATGTTGCCCAGAACGGTCTCAAACGCCTGAGCTCAAGTGATTGGCCAGCCTCGGCCTCCTAAAGCGCTGGGATTACAGGCATGAGCCACCCAGCCCAGCCTCCTTCATGCTGTATGTTAAGTGCAATTAGCCTTCAATCCTATTAACTTGTGGCTGTAGAATAGTGTCATTCACTAAAGAAATATAAGTTGGTGTTGAGAAACAATAAATCAGACACTTTAAAAACCAATTAGCATTGGTATGTGAAGTTAGTTAGATCAAAGATCGTATCCCAGGTTCCCAAGGGGTTTGTGGAATGTGAGCTATTCATCAGCAAATGTGCTGCCCTGTTTGTTTTTGTGGACAAGCCACCCTAGGCTACAATTTAACCTGTTTTTACGTTTAAGGAAGATAATATAATTAAATTAACATTTACATAATCTGCTACCTTGAACACCTTGAATCAAGAATTTTCTGCCCCATTAAGGAGTCAAAGGCAGAAATAACTAAATTCGAATGCCAGTGGCCCATCTGCACTTTCACCCGAATTCATTCAAAACTGCATTTTTGGTGGAGAGCCTATGTACAGCGCCTTAGGGAGCTCACAAGGCCTTATACTGGCAAAACAAACCCTAAGTTCAAAGGGATTACTTTAGCTTTGAAAAAAGTGCTCTGTCCCAGCCTTTTTCCTTTAAGAAAACAGCAAACCAAAGAGCTGACTTACTTAAGGGAGTTTGGTGCTTTTTTTTTGTACCAGGTTGTGATCGTTAAATCAAGCAGCACTCACAGGTCTACAGCAGTCTTGAAATACCTATGCAAATGAATGGGGGAGCTTGCACGTACAAGATGGGTCTCAAAAACAAAAACCTGGATTGTGCAATCTGTAAGGGTGGGGACATGAGCAAAATGTGAAATGACTTCCTTAGACTTCAGTCCCCTAGACTGATCAAGGGGCGGATAAATTTTGTTCCTCTTACGCAGTCAAGACTTACACGTTGGCCGGGTGAGATGGCCCACGCCTGTAATGCCAGCACTTTAGGAGGCCAAGGTGGGTGGATTGCTTGAGCCCAGGAGGTGAGCCTGGGCAACATGGTGAAACATCATCTCCTCAAAAAATACAAAAATAATTTGGGTGTGGTGGTGTGCACCTGTAGTCCCAGTTACTCTAGGAGCTGAGGTAGGAGGATCACTTGCTGCTTGGGAGGTGGAGGTTGCAGTGAACTGAGATCCCACTAGAGTCAGAGGCATTTGAACCACAGCAACTCCATTTTGAATAGGGGCTGGGTAAAATAAGGCTGAGACCTACTGGGCTGCATTCCCAGACAATTAGGCATTCTAAGTCACAGACAGGATGAGATAGGAGGTCAGCACAAGATATAGGTCATAAAGACCTTGCTGATAAAACAGGTTACAGTAAAGAAGCCAGCCAAATCCTACCAAAACCAAGATGGCGATGAGAGTGACCTCTGGTAATCCTCACTGCTACACTCCCACCAGTGCCATGACAGTTTACAAATGCCATGGCAACGTCAGGAAGTTACCCTATGGTAACCTGTATGGTCTAAAAAGGGGAGGTATAAATAATCCACCCCTTGTTCAGCATATAATCAAGCAATAACCATAAAAATGGGCAACCAGTAGCCCGTGGGGCTGTTCTGCCTATGGAGTAGGCATTCCTTTATTCCTTTCTCTGTTAGTGAACATAACCTTCACTTTACGGACTCGCCTAGAATTCTTTTTTTTTTTTTTTCCCGAGTCGGAGTCTCGCTCTGTCGCCCAGGCTGGAGTGCAGTAGCGCGATCTCGGCTCACTGCAAGCTCCGCTTCCCGGGTCCACGCCATTCTCCTGCCTCAGCCTCCGGAGTAGCTGGGACTATAGGCGCCTGCCACCACGCCCGGCTAATTTTTCGCATTTTTAGTAGAGACGGGGTTTCACAGTGTTAGCCAGGATGGTCTCGATCTCCTGACCTCGAGATCCGCCCGCCTCAGCCTCCCAAAGTGTTGGGATTACAGGCGTGAGCCACCGCGCCCGGTGGCTTTTTTTTTTTTTTTTCTTTTCTTTTGAGTCGGAGTCTCGCTTTGTCGCCCAGGCTGGAGTGCAGTGGCGCGATCTGCGCTCACTGCAAGCTCTGCCTCCCGGGTTCGCGCCATTCTCCTGCCTCAGCCTCCAGAGTAGCTGGGACTACAGGCACCCGCCACCATGCCCAGCTAATTTTTTTTTTTGTATTTTTAGTAGAGATGGGGTTTCACCGTGTTAGCCAGGATGGTCTTGAGACTGAGTTTCGCTCTGTCGCCCAGGCTGGAGTGCAGTGGCGCCATCTCGGCTCACTGCAAGCTCCGCCTCCCGGTTTCACGCCATTCTCCTGGCTCCGTCTCCGGAGTAGCTGGGACTACGGGCACCCGCCACCATGCCCCGCTAATTTTTTTTTTTTTTTTTTTTTTTTTTGTATCTTTAGTAGAGACGGGGTTTCACCGTGTTAGCCAGGATGGTCTTGAGACTGAGTTTCGCTCTGTCGCCCAGGCTGGAGCGTAGTGGTGCGATCTCGGCTCACTGCAACCTCCGCCTCCCGGATTCTAGTGATTCGCTTGCCTCAGCCTCCTGAGTAGCTGGGATTACAGGTGCACACCACCACACCTGGCTAATTTTTGTATTTTTAGTGGAGATGGGGTTTCACCATGTTGGTCAGGCTGGTCTCGAAGTCCTGACCTGAAGTGATCTGCCCGTCTAGGCCTCCCAAAGTTCTGGGATTACAGGTGTGATCCACTGTGTCCGGCAAGACACTAACTCTTAAAAAAATTTTTTTTTCTTGACCATGGGCCACCTAGTTAAAAAAAATTTTTTTTTAATTAAAAAAAAAAATTACAGGCGTGAGCCACCGTGACCAGCCTTAATTTAAAAAATTGAAAAGGCTGGGCACGATGGCTCACAGCTATAATCCTAGCACTTTGAGAGGCCAAGGTGGGAGTATCACTTGAGCCCAGGAGTTTCAGACCAGCCCTGGCAAGATAGTGAGACAACCTTTCTACAAAAAAATTTCAAAATTTAGCTGAGTGTAGTGATGCGTGCCTGTAGTCTCAGCTACTTGGAGAGACTAAGGCAAGAGGATCTCTTGCGCCCAGGAGTTCCAGTCTGCAGTGAGCTATGATTTTGCCACTGCCTTCCAGGCTGGGCGACAGAGTGAGACTGTTTCTAAAAAAAAAAAGAAAAAAAACTGGGCTGAATGCAGTGGCTCATACCTGTAATCCCAGCACTTTGGGAGGCTGCGGCAGGCAGATCACTTGAGGTAAGGAGTTTGAGATCAGCCTGGCCAGCATGGCAAAACCCTGTCTCTACTAAAAAATAGAAAAATTATCTGGATGTGGTGGTGTATGTCCGGCTAATTTTTGTATTTTATAATTTTGTAATTCCAGCTACTTGGGAGGCTGAGGCATGAGAATCACTTGAGCCCAGGCAGCAGAGGTTGCAGTGAGCCAAGATCACATCACTGCACTCCAGCCTGGGTGATGGAGTGAGACTCTGTCTCAAAAAAACAAAAACAAAAACAAAAACAAAACCTATTTACTGGGATAGGTGGTGGAGATATAGGGGTGAACAAAACAACATGTTGCTTGCAGCTGATGCTGCAGAGGAAGAAATAGTCATTAATGAAGTCATCACATGATGAACTGCAAATTACAGCTAAGTGCTATAAAGTGGGAGTGCCTGATGTTGTGACAGCAATAATAATAGGGGGAATTTTGGTGTGAGTTGGCTGAAGGTAATGTCAAGACAAGAAATGATTAAAATAATTTTTAAATGAAAAAAATAAATAATATGAGAAATTGACATAGTCAGAGGCGAAAGCAAAGGTTTCCCTTAAGAAGGGACACTAGGCTCAGTCCGAGGGAAGAATAGACTTTAACCAAGCAAAGAGTGGAATGAAAAATGTTGCAATCAGAGAGAACAGCCTAGGCAATTGTCCTGTGGCAGTAAGGAATGTATCAGTTTGAAAGACCAAAAAAGGCCAGTGTGACTGGCATGTAGAAAGCATGGTATGACATCCTGGGGTAGACATAATCACCATTAACTAGTATTTCCAGCTCATTTCCCCTCCAGAGGACTGCTGCCTTGAAGTTAGGTGGAATCCTTGAAGTTGGGTGAAGTCATGAGACTTGCTTTGGCTAATGCAAATCACTTGCTTTGGTAAGCACAAGTGGCAGCTGCTACCTCTCGGTGGAAGCATTCAAGAGGTGCAGTGTGTTTCTCCAGGTCCTTTCTTTCCCCTATGCTGAAACAAAGGTGCCACAAGAAAGAGGGGTTCCAGGCCCCGGCGCAGTGGTTCATGCCTGTAATCCCAGCACTTTGGGAGGCCAAGGCAGGCGGATCACCTGAGGTCAGGAGTTTGAGACCAGCCTGGCCAACATGGCAAAACCCCATCTTTACTAAAAATACAAAAATTAGCCAGGCGTGGTGGCCCCTACCTGTAATACTAGCTACTTGGGAGGCTGGGGAGGAGAATCGCTTGAATCCGGGAGGCAGAGGTTGCAGTGAGCCAAGATCTTGCCACTGAAAGAGGGGGTCAGAATAACTGAGCCAACACAAGAAGTACAGCTACCTTGGAGAGCTGCCAGGAGGGTGGCTGACTGCATGAACTGGAAATAAACATTTGCCATACTTAAATTACTAAGATTCTGGAGCTGTTTGTAACTGCCACAAAGGTAGCCTACCCTACTTATATAGGCCTTATTAAGGGGGGTAAAGCAAAAATACTTCAGAACTTAAATAGAAAGAATTTCTGTTTTTAATTTTTTTTTTTTTTTTTGAGATGGAGTTTTGCTCTTGTTGCCCAGGCTGGAGTGCAGAGGCACCATCTTGGCTCACTGCAACCTCCGCCTCCCAGGTTCAAGTGATTCTCCTGCCTCAGCCTCATGAGTAGCTGGGACTACAGGTGTGCACCACCATGCCCAGCTAAGGTTTGTATTTTTAGGAGAGATGGGGTTTCACCATGTTGCCCAGGCTGGTCTCGAACTCCTGACCTCAGGTGATTCACCCACCTCAGCCTCCCAGAGTGCTGGGATTACAGGCGTGAGCCACCGCGCCCAGCTAAATTTTTTTTAGGAGTCAGAGTCTCACTCTGTCACTCAGGCTGGAGTGCACTGGTGTGATCATGGCTCACCACAACCTCAACCTCCTGGGCTCAAGCAATCCTCCTGCCTTAGCCTCCTGAATAGATGGGACTACAGGCTCACTCCACCATGCCTGGTTAATTATTTTATCTTTTTTTTTTTTTTTTTTTTGGAGACGGAGACTCGCTCCATCACCCAGGCTGGGGTGCAGTAGCATGATCTTGGCTCACTGCAAGCTCCGCCTCCCAGGTTCACGCCATTCTCCTGCCTCAGTCTCCCGAGTAGCTGGGACTACAGGTGTCTGCCACCACGCCCGGCTAATTTTTTGTATTTTTAGTAGAGACGGGATTTCACCATGTTAGCCAGGATGGTCTCAATCTCCTGACTTCATGATCCGCCCGCCTCAGACTCCCAAAGTGCCGGGATTACAGGCATGAGCCACCGTGCCCAGACTATTTTATCTTTTGTAGGGATGGACTCTTGCTTTGTTGCCCAGGCTGATCTCGTACTTCTGGCTTCAAGTGATCCTCCAGCCTTGGCCTCCCAAAGTGCTGAGATTACAGGAGTGAGACGCCACATCTGGCCAGAATTTCTTTAATCTATATCTACAACTTAACTGCATTCACCAACATTTATTCATATAAATTTCAACATCTATTTTTTTAAAACTGCATCTAGTTTGCAGCATCTGATTTTTTTGAACTCCTGGCCTCAAGTGATCCTGCTGCCTCAGACTACAAGCATAAGCCACCACAGCATCTGATTTTCTATCCGAACATCTTCAACACTGAAGAAAAAAATGTTTTTCATCTTATAAAATTGAATAGATATGGTGGGGGAAGGGATTTCTTTTTAAGTTAAATATAAAACATCCATTGAGTACTTCTTTTTTTTTTTTTTGAGACAGAGTCTCGCTCTGTCATCCAGGCTGGAGTGCAGTAGCGGGATCTCAGCTCACTACAACCTCCACCTCCCCGGTGCAAGCTATTCTTCTGCCTCAGGCCTCCCCAGTAGCTGGAACTACACGCACTTGCCACCACGCCCAACTGATTTTTGTATTTTTAGTAGAGACGGGATTTTGCCAAGTTGGCCAGGCTAGTCTTGAACTCCTGATCTCAGGTAATCTGCCTGACTTGGCTCCCAAAGTGCTGGGATTACAGGCGTGAGCCACTGTGCCCAGCCCATTGAGTGCTTTTCTACTATCTATTAGCACAAGGGTAATTACCTGAATTTATTTAATCCTCCTAATAACATTATTATTACATGTGTTTTCCAGATGGAGAAACTGAGCCTCAGAGTGGTTAACAACTTGCCCAAGGTCATACAGCTGGGAAGGAGTGTACCTGAAATTAAAATCAAATTGTCTGATTCCTTCATAAATGGGCCTATTTATTTATTTATTTATTTATTTTTGGGATGGAATTTCACTCTTGTTGCTCAGGCTGGAGTGCAATGGCACCATCTCGGCTCACTACAACCTCCGCCTCTCAGGTTCAAGTGATTCTCGGCCTGGCACGGTGGCTCACGCCTGTAATCCTAACTCTTTGGGAGGCCGAGGCAGGTGGATCACTTGAGATCAGGAGTTCAAAACCAGCCTGACCAACATGGTGAAACCCCGTCTCTACTAAAAATACGAAAAAATTAGCCGGGCATGGTGGCAGGCGCCTTTAATCCCAGCTACTCGGGAGGCTGAGGCAGGAGAATTGCTTGAACCCAGGAGGCAGAGGTTGCGCCACTGCACACCAGCCTGGACAACAGATCAAGATTCCGTCTCAAAAAAAAAAAAAAAAGATTCTCCTACCTCAGCTTCCTGAGTAGCTGGGATTACAGGTGCCTGCCACTATGCCCGGCTAATTTTTGTATAGTATTTTTTTTTTTTTTTTGAGATGGAGTCTTGCTCTGTTGCCCAGGCTGGAGTGCAATGGCACGCTCTCGACTCACTGCAAGCTCCGCCTCCTGGGTTCAAGCGATTCTTCTGGCTCAGCCTCTTGAGTAGCCAGGACTACAGGCGTGAGCCACCATGCCCAGCTAATTTTTGTAGCTTTAGTAGAGACGGGGTTTTGCATGTTGGCCAGACTGGTCTTGAACTCCTGACCTCAGGTGATCTGCCAGCCTCAGCCTCCCACAGTGCTGGGATTACAGGCGAGAGCCACCACGCCCGGCCTGGGCCTAATTCTTACCAGAACTCTGTTCATATCTCTGAGACTGAAAACTCCATCAGACTGAATGCCTTCAAGGCAAGAATGATATCTTATTTGTCTCTGCATGCCCAGCACTGGGTCAGCCACCTAGATAATCCTCGATGCATATTTTTGGAAGTAATGAATAGCTGATTAAAAAATATTTACATGAGTGGGGCACGGTGGCTCACGCCTGTAATCCTAGCACTTTGGGAGACCAAGGCGGGTGGATCACCTGAGGTCAGATGTTCACGACTAGCCTGGCCAACGTGGCGAAACCCCCACTCTACTAAAAATACAAAAATTAGCCGGGCGTGGTGGTGGGCATCTGTAATCCCAGTTACTTGGTTGGCTGAGGCAGGAGAATCACTTGAACCTGGGAGGCAGAGGTTGCAGTGAGCCAAGATTGCGCCACTTCACTTCCGCCTGAGCGAAAGAGCAAGACTCTATCTCAAAAACAAAAGAATAAATGTGTGTACGTATGAATTTATGACTGATAAGCTACATTAGCCACTAGGGATTATATTTTGGCAATTTTTTTTTTTTTTGGAAATGGAGTCTCACTGTCACCCAGGATAGAGTGCAGTGGCGCAATCTTGGTTCACTGCAATCTTCGCCTCCCGGGTTCAAGCAATTCTCCTGCCTCAGTCTCCCAAGTAGCTAGGACTACAGTTGCACGCCACCACCCCCGGCTAATTTTTTGTATTTTAGTAGAGACAGGGTCTCACTGTGTTGCCCAAGCTGGTCTCAAACTCCTGAGCTCAGGCAATCCACCTGCCTTGGCCTCCCAAAGTGCTAGGGTTACAGATGTAAGCCACTGCGCCCGGCCATATTTTGGCTATTTATTTATTTACTTATATCTCCTACCAGGTTGTAAACTTTGTCTACACTTTCAGGACAAAGTGTAGACAGAGTGTTTATTTTTATACCTCCCACAGTTGACACAGGGCCTTGCTCTAAGTAAGTCCTCAGCTAATGAATGTTAGGTCCCTTCACCTGAATTCACATAGCCAGCAAATGCTGAAAGAGGGATTAGGACAATAGCCCCTGTTGCTTTCACATCATACTGCCTCCCACCCTCCCTCTAAGATTTTAGTTAATTTGGTGTTTTCTAGGAATATGCAATTCATGGCCTAATCGTACATGGCAGCAAAAAAAAAAAAAAAAAGAGTAAAAAAAAATTTGTATTCAACTTTGGAAACATTAAGTCATCTGTTATTTGAAGGAAAAAATATATATAGAGAAAACACACCTGACTGTGCATATGATTAAATGGCCTTGAGGATGTAATATAAGCCAACCAAAGTACAGAAATCCAGAGTTCACCCTGCAACAGCATCCTGATATTGTGTCTGCACTTCCACTCTGGTTCTTTGAATGAGCTTCCCAGGTGTTATTTTCTAGTGATGACGTGTCTCAATATCCGGATCTCTGGGGAGCTCTGAACTGGACAGATACAATCTTAGCATACTTTTGCCAGACACAGCTTAATGCAAGCTTTCTTAAACTTTTTTTGATCCAATTCCCCGTAAGAATGCATTTTGCATTGCAACCCAATACATAGGGAAGTGTGTCTGTATGTGTATTGATAATGTGTGCTGAAATAAAAATTTAATAAGACCTTTATTCTGTGTGATGCACTTTGATATCAGCTAGTCCATTTCTATATTCTTTCTTTTTTTATTTTTCCTCTGATGGCGAGATTTCTGTTTTGTTTTGTTTTGTTTTTGTTTTGAGACAGGGTCTCACTCTGTCACCCAGGCTGGAGTATAGTGACACAATCATAGCTCACTGCAGCTTTGACCTCCTGGGCTCAAGAGATCCTCCCACCTCAGCCTCCTTAGTAGCTGGGACCACAGGCACTTGCCATCACACCTGTCTAATTTATTTTTTTGTTTTTTTTGGTAGATACAGGATCTCACTATGTCACCCAGGTTGGTCTTCAACTCCTTGGCTCAAGCGATCCTCCAGCCTTGGCCTCTGAAAGTGTTGAAATTACAGGCGTGAGCCACCATGCTTGGCCAACAATTTTTTATTTTTATTTTTTGAGACAGGGTCTCGCTCTGCTGCCCAGGCTGGGGTGCAGTGATGAGATCACAGCTCACTGCAGCCTTGACCTCCTGAGCTCCAGTGATCCTCCCATCGCAACCTTCCCAGTAGCTGGGACTACAGATGCATGCCACCACGCCTGGCTCCTTTCCATGGCTAACGGGTTTTTGCCATGTTGCAGAAACTGGTCTCCAACTCCTACGCTCAAGCAATTTGCTCTCCACAGCCTCCTAAGGTGCTGGGATTACAGGCTTGAGCCGCTGCACCTGGCCGACATTTCTGTTTTATCTTTTATGTTATAAAATTGCTATACAAGTGTCAGTCAGATAGGTATAATTTAATATGCAGGGTTGGGGAAGCATCCTGGAGTAGCTAACATTTAAGCTGAGATCTAAAGGCCAAATAGGAGTTAGTCACATAAGATTTGAGAGGTGAGGGAGTAGGGAGAGAATTCTAGGCAGAGGAAAGAACACTGTCCATACACAGAGGTAAGAAAGAGTCGGGGGTGGCCAGGTGTGGTGGCTCATGCCTGTAGTCTCACCTACTCGGGAGGCTGAAGTGGGAGGATCATTTGAACCCAGGAGGTCAAGGCTGCAGTAAGCACAACTGCACTCCAGCCTGGGCAACTGAGTGAGACCCTGTCTCAAAAAAAAAAAAAAAAAAAAAAAAAAAGAGTCAGGGGCCAGCCTGGTGACTCACGCCTATAGTCCCAGCACTTTAGGAGGCCAAGGTAGGAGGATCACTTGAGCCCAGGAGTTCAATACCAGCCTGAGCAACATAGCAGGACCCCATCTTTACACAAAATAAAAAGATAAAATAGCTGGGTGTGGTGGTGCACACCTGTAGTCCCAGCTACTCCAGAGGCTGAGGTGGGAGGATCATTTGAGCCTGGGGAGGTCAAGGCTGCAGTGAGCTGTGAGCACACCACTGCACTCCAGCCTGATGACTGATGAGACCCTATCTCAAAAATAAAGAAAAAAAAAGAAAGAGTTGGGTGCATATAAGAAACCATGTTATGACCAGGCGTGGTGGCTTATGCCTGTAATTCCAACTTTGGGAGGCTGAGGTGAGTGGATCACCTGAGGTCAGGAGTTTGAGACCAGCCTGGCCAATGTGGTAAAACTCTATCTCTACTAAAAATACATTAAAAAAAAAAATTAGCCAGACATGGTGGTGTGAGCCTGTAATCCCAGCTACGCGGGGGGCTGAGGCAGGAGAATCACTTGCACCTGGGAGGTGGAGGTTGCAGTGAGCCAAGATCATGCCACTGCACTCCAGCCTGGGTGACAAGAGTGAGACCCTGTCACAAAAACAAATAAACAAACAAACAAATCTTATATGCCCCACTGCCTTGCAAAAAAAGGACTGGACTTCCGTTGTTTCTGTCCCCACTTTTTCTTTGGAAACCCCCATTCCCTACTTTACATAGGGTTGGTGAAACTGCTATGTGGGACCACAACCCCTACCCCACAGGGATGGATGGGTGGCACAGGCTGGTCAATCAGAGACCTCCATCTCCCTGGCCACAGTAATGATTGGCTCAAGATTGAGGAGGTAACCTCAACCAGACCTATCAAAGTCATCTTTATAAGTGATATATGGAAAGGATGTCTTTTCTCTGTCACTGGGAATGCAGATATAAGATCAAGTAAAGCTAGAGCTTTCTTTCATTGTGTGGAGACAGCAGGTCAAAAAATGAAACCAAAATACAGGGAAAAGGAGAGCTAAGAGCAGGACCAAGAGAGGAAGAAGCAAGAGCATATCATTTGAAAGTTTGGGTCCAGACGTGCAACACTATAACTATTCAAACTAATAACTCCACTCTTCCCTTTTGCTGGTTTTAGTTGGTTCTCCATTATCTGCAACTGACTCTAAGTGTGAAAGGCATGAAAGGAAAGGTAGACAGCCAATTTATTTATTTATTTATTTATTTATTTATTTATTTATTTATATATATTTTGAGACAGAGTTTTGCTGTGGTCCAGGCTGAAGTGCAGTGGCACAAC